>NW_012132914.1:0-300000 GCF_000001405.40 Homo sapiens
TCTGCATTGGTTATTTTAGTTAGCCATTCTTCTAATTTTTTTTTCAATGTTTTTGACTTCTTTGCCATGGGTTCGAACTTCCTCCTTTAGCTCAGAGTAGTTTGATCATCTGAAGCCTTCTTCTCTCAACTCATCAAAGTCCTTCTCCATCCAGCTTTGTTCCATTGCTGGTGAGGAGCTGCATTCCTTTGGAGGAGGAGAGGCACTCTGATTTTTAGAGTTTCCCATTTTTCTGCTCTGTTTTTTCCCCATCTTTGTGGTTTTATCTACCTTTGGTCTTTGATGATGCTGATGTACAGATGGGGTTTTGGTGTGGATGTCCTTTCTGTTTGTTAGTTTTCCTTCTAACAGTCAGGACCCTCAGCTGCAAGTCTGTTGGAGTTTGCTGGAGGTCCACTCCAGAACCTGTTTGCCTGGGTATCAGCAGAAGAGGCTGCAGAACAGCGAATATTGGTGAACAGCAAATATTGCTGCCTGATCGTTCCTCTGGAAATTTTGTCTCAGAGGAGTACCTGGCCATGTGAGGTGTCAGTCTGCCTCTACTGGGGTGTGCCTCCCAGTTAGGCTACTCAGGGGTCAGGGACCCACTTGAGGAGGCAATCTGTCCGTTCTCAGATCTCCAGCTGCATGCTGGGAGAACCACTACTCTCTTCAAAGCTGTCAGACAGACAGGGACATTTAAGTCTGCAGAGGATTCTGCTGCCTTTTGTTTGGCAATGCCCGGCCCCCAGAAGTGGAGTCTACAGAGGCAGGCAGGCCTCCTTGAGCTGCAGTGGGCTCCACCCAGTTCCAGCCACCTGGCTGCTTTGTCTACGTACTCAAGCCTCGGCAATGGCAGGCGCCCCTCCCCCAGCCTTGCTGCCGCCTTGCAGTTTGATCTCAGACTGCTCTGCTAGCAATGAGTGAGGCTCCATGGGCATAGGACCCTCTGAGCCAGGCATGGGATAAAATCTCCTGGTGTGCCATTTGCTAAGACCATTGGAAAAGTGCAGTATTAGGGTGGGAGTGACCTGAATTTCCAGGTGCCGTCTGTCACCCCTTTCTTTGACTAAGAAAGGGAATTCCCTGACCCCTTGCCCTTCCCAGGAGAGGCAATGCCTTGCCCTGCTTTGGCTCACGCTCGATGCACTGCACCCACTGTCCTGCACCCACTTTCTGACACTCTCCATTGAGTTGAACCTGGTACCTCAGTTGGAAATGCAGAAATCACCCGTCTTCTGCACTGTTCATGCTGGGAGCTGTAGACTGGAGCTGTTCCTATTCGGCCATCTTGGCTCAACCCCCTAGTTAATTTTTGTGTCTTTAATAGAGAAAGGGTTTCATCATATTGGCCAGAGTCGTCTCAAACTCCTGACTGAAGTGATCCACCCACCTTAGTCTCTGAAAGTGCTGGGATTACAGATGTGAGCCACTGTGCCTTGTCAATTGCTGGACTTTCATGATACACATGGAGTATCCACAGTATCACAAGGGCCATTTTTTCCATAATCCAATTTATTTATATTATTGGTAGTGAGCTAATGTTGATGTCGCCAAGGTAGCAATTTAGTGACTATACCCATGATAAACGTTTCCATGCATCACGTGGTCAACAGCATTTGCTACCAAGTGCCACGTTCCATGCTCAGCAGTAGGAACATAGGATGATTGAGACAAAGTTCCTGACCTTTAGCAGCAATATCGAACAAGTGAGATTGTCAAGAAAGAAGAAATCATTGTAAAACATACCATACCCCTACAATTCCGTAATCATGCTCCTGGATATTTAATGAAATGAGTAAACCCACAGCTGGATGTTTATAGTAGCTTATTCATAATCACTAAAACCTGGAAGCTAGCAAGTTGGCCTTCAGTCAGTGACTGGATAAGCAAACTGATCCATCCAGTCAGTGAACTATTATGAAGCCTTAAAAAGACATGAAAGATTCTTAAATGCACGTTATTGTACAAGTGAAAGAAGGCAATGTGAAAAGACTCATCCTGTTAGACATTTGCCTTTTTCTATGGAGATAGTAGAAAGCCCAGTGGTTGTGAGGGGTTGGGAGTACAATGGGATGAATGGGAAGAGGACAGAGGACTTTTAGGGGAACAAAACTAGTCTCCATGATGCTCTAATGGTGGATATGTGTCATTATCCCTTTGTTAAAATCCATAGAATGTACAAAACCAGCAATGATCCCCCATGTGAACTATGGACATTGGGTGATAATGATGTGTCCCTGTGGCTCATTGATTGTGACGAATGCTCTGTGCTGGTGTGGGTGCTGATCCTGTGGGGGTGCTGTGTATTGAAGGGGGAAGAAGGTAGATGAGAACTCTGCAGTTTCTGCTTAGTTTTTCTGTGAATCTAAAGCTGCTATAAAGAAAAAAATAGGCTGGGCGTGGTGGCTCACGTCTATAGTCGTAGCATTTTGGGAAGCTGAGGTGGGTGGATCACCTGAGGTCAGGGGTTCGAGATCAGCCTGACTAAAATGACAAACCCTGTCTCTATTAAAAAATAATAATAATTATAATACAAAAATTATCCAGGTGTGGTGGTGCATGCCTGTAATCCCAGCTACTCTGGAGGCTGACACAGGAGAATTGCTCGAACCCTGGAGGCAGAGGTTGCAGTGAACTGAGATCGTACCACTGCACTCCAGCCTGGATGACAGAATGAGACTCCATCTCCAAAATAAATAAATAAATAAACTCAAGGCTGGGTGCGGTGGCTCATGCCTATAAGGGCTCACTCCCAGCAATTTAGGAGGCCGAGGCAGGTGGATCGCTTGAGCCCAGAATTTCAAGACCAGTCTGGGCAACATGGTGAAACCTGGCAAAAATAAGCCAGGCATGATGGTGCATGCCTGTCGTTCCAGCTACCAGGGGGACTGAGGCAGGGAGATCACCTGAGCCTAGGAGGTCAAGGCTGCAGTGAGCCGTGATCATGCCACTGCACTCCAATCTGGACGACAGAGTGAGACCTTGTCTCAAAATAAAATAAAATGAAATAAACTCAAGATTTTTAAAAACTGTAATGTTTCCTTTCAAAGATAAAATTGTATTGTTCTAAATATATTTTAAAGAAGAAATGATTATTGTTCAGTGTCTTTAAAATTAGTTTTCAAAATCTCATTTGTTTTGACATTTCAAACCAAGTTAAGTATTCTTTTTCTCACCCTCCTTGGGACGGAGTCTTCCTCTTTCACCCAGGCTGGAGTGCAGTGGTGCATTCTCGGCTCACTGCAACCTTTGCCTCCCAGGTTCAAGCGATTCTCTTGCCTCAGCCTCCTGACTATCTGGGATTACAGGCACCTGTCACCACGCCAGGCTAATTTTTTGTATTTTTCGTAGAGACCGGGTTTCATCATGTTGGACAGGCTGGTCTGGAACTCCTGACCTCGTGATCTACCCACCTCGGCCTCCCAAAGTGCCAGGAATACAGGCATGAACCACCACACCTGGCCATTAACCATTCTTAAAATATCACGTTGCATTCTTTCAAAGTTCTAATCTTTCATATACATAAATTACAACACAAATAGTTATACTCTAATAGTATTCACACTATAGTAAATTTTTTTTTCATGCTCTGTCGCCCAGGCTAGAGAGCAGTGGCGCGATCTCGTCTCATTGCAATCTTCTCCTCCCGGGTTCAAGTGATTGTCCTGCCTCAGCCTCCTGAATACCTAGGATTACAGGCGAATGCCACCACTCCCAGCAAATTTTGTGTATTTTTAGTAGAGACGGGGTTTCACCATGTTAGCAAGGCTGGTCTCAACATCCCGAGGCTGCCTCGGCCTCCCAAAGTGCTGGGATTAGAGGTGTGAGACACCATGCCCAGCCATAATAATAAATGTTATTTTATCTTTTTTTTGAGATGGAGTTTTGCTACTGTTGCCCAGGCTGGAGTGCAATGGCTCAGTCTGAGCTCACCGCAACCTCCACCTCCCAGGTTCAAACGATTCTCCCGCCTCAGCCTATCGAGTAGCTGCAATTACAGACGTGTGCCACCACGCCTGGCTATTTTTTGTATTTTAAGTAGAGAAGGGGTTTCTTCATGTTGCTCAGGCTGGTCTCAAACTCCCGACCTCAGGTGATCCACCTGCCTCAGCCTCCCAAAGTGCTGGAATTACAGGCATGAGCCACTGCACCTGGCTCATAATAGTACATTTTTAAAAACACCATAAAATATAATCCTTGCAACACTCAATTATACCATCTGGTCCGATCTATCAGCAGATGGCACCCGAGACATACGGATTGGAAATTTTGATCTTATTATGAATGAATCCAGTCCAGAAATGCCCACCCTGCCCCCTGCTGGCTCCTGGGGCTCTGCTCTTTGGGGGAATCATGATGAAATTGTGGCAGAGAGTAGAAGTTGAGCCCCATTGCATGCCCTGAGTTCTTGTTGCCTCTCTATTATCAGGAAAAGGAGGTGAGATTGAAAGATGAAAAATGCTGGGACTTCTGCTGAGAAGAGAAAAAAGAACAAGATGTATTGATCTTACTGTATGCCAGACCCCATGCCAAGCCCTAAACATGAACCATCTCATTGGATCCTACCAAGGTCCCATAAGCTGTTGGATATCATCATCCTCATTTTACAGGAAGCTGAGGCTCTAGGCTAACATCCCTGACAGCAACACCAGCCCCTGAGTACACAGCAGGATCCTTCACTTGGGTGCCCACTATGCAGGCTTCCTCACCACAGGGAAGGTCACTCATCACCCACAGGCACTTGATCGTTATCCACCCTTTGATGATGTCAGATTCCAGAACATGCTGCACTAGTCACTTCCTTCATAGGGAGAGAGGGAAGGTGTTATGAGAAAATCTCTCATCAATCTGACCTAGCTCCCCAAAAAGATGTAACTTTTAAAATGTCAGATGGAAATATTTAAAAAGTGTTACATGCCTGTATAGTTTTAGTATTTTACTTAAAGGGAATGTGGCTGTCTTTACTGGCTACAACAAGTTTAATTCAAGAAGGGCTGCTGGTCATCAGGGGAACAAGCAAGGGTTGGTGCTGCCCAGAGTCTCCAGCTAATACACAATATGGACATCCCCTTCCAGGGCAGCGGGAAGAGACTGGCTCCTTGTGCAGTGAAGCTGACATCCACCAACTAAGGCTTCTGGAAGCATGTGGAGACTCACAGGGAGTGGGCAGGGTCTCAGCATCTGGATAGCGGTGAAAGACGCTGAGAAGAAGGTGCTTTCCGTGTGGATTGGCTCACTGTTCTTGCCCAGCAATGTTCCAGGCCTTTGGTGTCCACCTAGTGTGTATTAACCCACTGAACAGCCACAGAAACTAACAAGGAGTTAACAGACATCTAAAGAAGTGAAGAACTGGAGGAGGCCAAGCCAAGCGTGGTGGTCCACGCCTATACTCCCTGCATTTTGGGAGGCCAAGGCAGGAGAATCACAAGCTCAGGAGTTCCAGATCAGCCTGGGGAAGACAGCGAGGCCTTGTTTCTACTAAAAAAAAGTATCCAGGTGTGGTGGCTCACACAGCTGTAGTCCTAGCTACTCAGGAGGCTGAGGTGGGAAGATCGCTTGAACCCAGGAAATTGAGGCTGCAATGAGGTATGATTGTGCCACTGCACTGTAGCCTGAGTGACAGGAGACCTTTAAAAAACAAAAACAAAAACAAAAACAAAAGCCTGACACAGTGGCTCACACCTGTAACCCCAGCACTTTGGTAGGCCTACTTGCGTGAATCACCCAAAGTCAGGAGTTTGAGACCAGCCTGGCCAACATAGTGAGGAAACCCTGTCTCTACTAAACATACACAAATTAGCTGGGCATGGTGGTGCATGCTTGTAATCCCAGCTACTTGGGAGGCTGAGGCAGGAGAATCATTTAAACCCCAGGTGGAGGTTGCAGTCAGCTGAGATGGCACCATTGCACTCTAAACTCCAGCCTGGGCGACAAGAGTGAAACTCTGTCTCAAATAAAAGAATGGGAGGAAACTGGTTACAATAACCAAATTTCATTTAAATGCCTTGATTTTCTTGGGCTGCATCTTATTGATTGGACAACTCAGTCAGTGCCTTTTGTTTTTTCCATCAATAACTGAAGATTCCTGAGGCTTAAACTGGAAAACAGGTTACTTAATAATAGAGGGCACCAGACAGATTCTGCTCAGTTTTCCTTTATTTCTGATTGTTTCTTTACAACCATCCATGCAAGAGTAACTCCCTCATGTATTCTCAAGCCTGAATTCCACTCTAGACATTCAGATTCCCATTTTCGACTCTACAGGATACAGGTTCCCAAAGTCCCATTGAATCCATGGCAACATTTCCCCCAAGTCCTGCCCCTGCTTGATCAGCTTTCCTTTCCCACTTTCAGAGCCCATGTGTGAAACGATGGGTTCTGTGCTCCCTTTAGGATGTACCTAAGACCTAGGTTTTAGTTTCCAAGTGTCCAGAAGAAAGCGTTTGACATACCCATCCAAATAGGCAGGCATTCAACAGCAGTATTGATCTGCCTCCAGGTCATAAAATGACCTGTCGCCATGGTCAGGGCAGTTGTCAGTACAGAACAAGATCCTCTTGGGGTGCCTTAAGTGCCTCACTTTCTTCATCAGCTCAGCCCTAATTTGAGCAAATCTGCTCCAGCAGAGAGTACCATCAGCACCATAACTTTCCTGCGGGGCAGGATACAGCTCCAGGCATAAGTTTTTGAGTATGATTGTGTGGCTCAGCAGGTTCTCCAGGGTGGCCATGCAGATGGGATTTCCACAGAAGCTGAAGGTGTTGAGCTCAAAGCAGCGGCTCAGGGCAGGCAGGATGGCGTTGACTTGGGAGTCTATGATGCCACAGTCATCTAAATCCAGGTACTCAAGGGTGGCTGCAACTTTTTCTAGGAGAATTTGGAGAGGCACAAGACTGTAATTGGTCAGTCTGATGCCACTCAGGTCCAGGGTCTTTAGTTGACTGATACTCGGGCACTGGGATAGATGCTTCAAGTCTGATTCCAAAAGCACACAGTTAGTTATTGTGAGGACCTTTAACGAGGTCTTCAGACAGCTGGGGAGAGAGAGCAAGAAGTTAATTCTGGGGAATCATAGGGGTGAGTGGAGGGTGGTGGGGAATGGCTTCAAGGTAATGGATGGAGACCATTTTGCCCAAGTCCAGGATCATTCTCATGGCCGGATGGTCAACACTTCGGATGATGTGTGATGAAGAGCTTTGCCACCGAGGTCAATTCCACTTTAGGCCCGGCCCAGTAACTCACACCTGTAATCCCAGCACTTTGGGAGGCTGAGACTGGTGGATTCCTTGAGATCAGGAGTTTGAGACCAGCCTGCTGAACATGGCAAAACCTCGTCTCTACTAAAAATCCAAAAATTAGCCAGGTGTGGTGGCGGGAGCCTGCAATTCCAGCTACTTGGGAAGCTGAGGCAGAAGAATCGCTTGAACCCAGGAGGTGTAGGTTGCAGTGAGCAGAGATCATGCCACTACACTCCAGCCTGGGTGACAGAGTGATACTCTATTAAAAAAAAAAAAAGGAGAAAAAATAATTCCATTTCAGGCTGAGTCATTTCACCATCATTTATAGGAATGGATCAAGTTCACAGAATCCCTAAAGCTCCCTTTCCTCATCTGTCAGGCAGAAAACCACATCCCTGGGCCACAGAAGCCCAGTGGAGATGCAGGCATAAAGGACAAACCCAGACAGGATCCTGCAACATCAGCTGGGGTGGGCAGGCTGCAGGCGTCCCTGACACACCTGTATCATCAGCAAACCATCTATCACTTTCATCATTCTTTGTGCCTGCTCCCTGACCCTCTGTTTCAGAATCATACATTTCCTAGGTAATTAATTTACCTGGAGCTCAAAAGAAACTTTTACAATGGGAATTAGAGATGGGATCATTCATGTTCACCAAACTGTGGGGCACAAAGCTGATTTTCTGACATGTGCAGGTTTGCTGAGCATTCCCCTCTTCAGTGCCCACTTCACTTCCCTACTTCACATCATCTTCTTAAAAATTATCTTGTTGGCTGGGCGTGGTAGCTCTCGCCTATAATCCCAGCACTTTGGGAGTCCAAGGTGGGTGGATCACCTGAAATCAGGGGTTGGAGAATAACCTGGCCAAAATGGTGAAAACCTGTCTCTACTTAAAATATAAAAATTAGCCAGGTGTGGTGGCCCACGCCTGTAATCCCAGGTACTCAGGAGGCTGAGGCAGGAGAATCGCTTGAACCTGGGAGGCAGAAGTTGCTGCGAGCTGAGATGTCACAAGTGCACTCTACCCTGGATGATCAAAGTGAAAATCCATCTCAGAAAAAAAAGTTATCTTGTTTGATTTTACTTTTATTTATTCATTTCTGACAGGGGTCTTGGGATGTTACCCAGACTGCTCTTAAACTCCTAGGCTCAAGCTATCCTCTTGCCTCAGACTCCCAAACTGCTAGGATTACAGGCATGAGCCAACGCCCCTGGCCTATTTTTCATCATCTTAACTTAGACACACATCCTCAGGAAGAATTCAGAAAGGCACCCTCACTAGATCTGAACCCCCCAGTAGCTAGCTTCCTAGCATGGCAGCCTCTCTATAGCATCTCCCCTGACTGATCCCTCTGACTCTATTGGGAGGGTTGCATGATACCCATTTCAGGACAGGGCCGCCAACAGGACAATGCATGGACATTCTAGTGTCCCCTTCACTGTTACATCCTCATAGGCTGGCTCACAGTAGATGCCCACTAGTGTTCACTGTAACAGGCTCTGCTGTGGTCTGCAGAGAAAGCTCACCACCCTCCCTCACCTGAGCAGCTGGTCCAGGTGGCCTTCGAGGAAAGAAACAGAGTTCATATAAAGCTTTTGGAGGCAGCGCAGCTTGAGGAACTGAGTGGTGAACTGGGTAACAATCTCCTTCTTCTGCTCTGGGGAAACGTAGCGAGAGACATCCATGTGGGAGAGAACGAGCTTCTGAAGATTCCTCAAGTGGCCCAGGTATGGGGTAAACTGTGTCAGGATGGGCAGTATCCACTTGCAATTCACTTCCACCTCCTGGATACAGTCTAGGTTCACCATTTTCAGGATGCTTCTGATATTGCGGAAGGGCATTCCCAAAATTTTCAGCTTCTTACAGCACAGGTGTAGTAAATCTCTCCTCTGCTTGACCCATAGAAGGAGGCAGGTGAGGTATTCATCCAGAGTCCTGTTCTTGAGCCAAAGTTCTACAAACACAGTCAAGGGCTGCCGTCCTCTCATCCTTGGACAGTCCTGCACTGGTTTTTTGTTCCTCTTGGCATTGAGGAAGCACCCATGGGCCATAGCTTCAGACCAAACCATCCAGAAGTTCTCACAGACATCCTGTAAATCCAGCACTTGAAGTTTCCATCTCCTGTGGGAAAATAGAGGTGAGACTGAGAATTTAAGAACTCATTTCTGAACTTAAACTCCACATCCTGCATAGCAGCTCCTCCCCTCCCTGCTTGTTGTCCCTCTCTCTGAGTTTTCTTCACCCTGTTTTCCCCTTGGATCCTACCCACTTCCACATTTTTTTGTTTTTTTTTTGAGACCAAGTCTCCTTCTGTCGCCCAGGCTAGAGTGCAGTGGTGTGATGTCACCTCACTGCAACCTCTTCTTCCCGGGTTCAAATGATTCTCCTGCCTCAACCTCACAAGTAGCTGGGATTACAGGAACCCACCACCATGCCCAGCTAATTTTAGTATTTTTAGTAGAGTTGGGGTTTACCATGTTGGACAGGCTGGCCTCCAACTCTTGACCTCAGCCTCCCAATGGGCTGGGATTACATTGTGAGCCACCGTGCCCGGCCCAGTTCTCACTTTTCATGGTGCCTTTCAGTGCCATTAGAGGAGAGGTTCCTGTTACCTCTATGGACCTTGCCTGGTGAGCAGTGCTTTCCCTGAGGAGCTGGTGAATGGCCAAGTCCTCTCGGCTTCCTCACCACCACCATCCCCCTTGGGCCTCCTCACTTCACATGACCCAGCTGTTCCTTCAGTTGGACACCTGGGCCCTCCCCACCAGCCCACCTGGGCCACCTCACCTGGGACGAACCCCTTGGGTAAGCAGTGCATCCAGCCCATCGAGCACAGCTTGGAAGGCCTCCAGACAAGGCATCTTTATCAGAGGCCTCAGAGGGAGGCGGCGGAAGGGCCAGGCCTGCACCATCAGCTTCAGGGCCTCACAGCGTCTCCTGCTGAAGGCCTCCATGAACAGTGGGGGGAAAAGTTCCGTGGGCAGCTCCTCCAGGGTGGAGACGGCCAAGGCTTGGTCCCTCAGCAGGCTCCGCCCCGCAAGCTCCAGGAGTCTGGGTGGAATCCGGATGCTCATCTTCATGAATCTGCAGGGAAAACTTCCAGAGGACAAACCCAGAGAAAAGGCATCACTCTCAGGCCAAGCCCATGCAATCTCATCTTCTCCCAGGGCCAAAGTCACTGCTCTGGCAATGGTGAAACAGCCCTCAGTTTACTCCAATTCTACTCTGTACTCAGTGGCCATTAAGCCAGCATTCTGCCTCTGCTGCATCAGCATGAGCGTCTCCGAAGCAGTGAGGAAGCAGGGCCACCACGAGCCCTTCCTTTCTATCCAGTGCTCCATCCAGTGACTAGTGAGTGTGGAGGAACCTGAAAGTGAACCCCTCCTACCATTGGGGGAAATTATTAATTACTTAAGGTTCTAAAACAATGGGAATGGGAGTGTCACAAGCCTACATGCCCACAATTTCAGTTCCTAAAAATAAGCTTGTTGGGAACATTCATGGGGCATCCCTAGAACAGGTTCTATTTGTTTTCTTTTCATTATTTAAGCTTGCTTTCTCTTTCTCTCTTTCTTTTTTCCTTCTTTCCCTCTCTCCCTCCCTTCTTTCTTTCTTTCCTCCTCTCTCTCCCTTCTTTCTTTCTTGTCTTCTTTCCCTGCCTCCCTTCTCTCATTCTCTCTCTCTTTCTCTCTCTCCCTCTCTCACTCTCTTTCTGACAGGGTCTTGCTGTCACCCAGCCTGGAGTGTAGTGGTGGGATCTCAGCTCAGTGCAGCCTTGACCTCCCAGCTCAAAGGATTCTTCCTCCTCAGCCTCTCAAGTAGCTGGGACCACAGTTATGCATCACCACACCCAGCTCATCTTTTATTTTTTGACTTTTTGTAAAGACAGTGGATTTCGCTATGTTGTCCAAGCTGGTCTTGAACTCCTAGTCTCAAGCAATCTACCCCTCTTGGCCTCCCAACATAGTGGGATTATAGGTGTGAGCCTCCGCCCCAGCCTCATTATTGAAAATTTCAGTGAGATGCAGTGGTCTCCGCCTGTAGTCCAAGCTAATAGGGAGGCTGAGGTAGGAGGATCACTTGAACCCAGGAGGCAGAAGTTGCAGTGAGCTGACATTATACCACTCCACTCCAGCCTGGGAAATAGGCTAGATTGAACAGAGAGACAGAGAGAGCTACATTTGATTAGAATTCTTAATCTCTACCCAGTTAATCCTGATTGGATTTCTGACTTTCTTAAATATTAACTGATCGAATTAGATATTCATCCATCAAAATGAAAGATTTAGGGATAGGGTGAAAGTCCAGGACTCATTCACTGATTCCCTTCACAAACATGGAGTTTTACTAATATGTGTCCTTCAAAGTCCTGAGTGTGAGATAGGGAAGGGTTGAACCTCTTCCTGATATTAGACAGAAAGAAAGAAAACTTGAAAGTATCTTTGTTGAGGGATCCTTGGCCATGTCAAATTTATCAAAATATTTCAGAGTTAAAACAGTTTTCAAAGACAGAGATGACAGTCCCTAAGAAAACACAGTAGAAATCTTCATATATCCAAAGATCACCTAGGTGGCGTAATTCTTTTTGGTGTTGAGGGAGCTGAATCTCACTTCATCGGCCAGGCTAGAGTGCAGTGGTGTCATATCGGCTCACTGTTACCTCGGCCTCCAAGATTCAAGCAATTCTCATGCTTCAGCCTTCCACGTAGCTGGGACTACAGGCATGCACCCCCCACAGCCATGTCTCCATTTGGGTGGAAGAGGATGTGATTGGTTTAAAATTAAGGTCAAAGATCCTTTTTGATTGATTTTGTTTTTGTTTTTTGGACAGGGTGTCTCTCTTTTGCCCAGGCTGGAGTACAGGAGTGGTATGAGCATGGCTCACTGCAGCCTCAATCTTCTGGGCTCAAGTGATTCTCCCACACCAGCCACCCAAATAGCTGGGACTACAGATGCATGTCACCATGCTCGGCTAATTAAAAAAAAAAAAAGTAGAGGCCAAGCACCAGTGACTCACAGCTGTAATCCCAGCACTTTGGGAGGCCAAGGCAGGTGGATCACTTGAGGTCAGGTGTTCGACACCAACCTGGCCAGCATGGTGAAACCCCACCTCTACTAAAAATACAAAAATTAGCGAGGCATGGTTTCAGATGTCTGTGACACCAGCTTCTGAGGATGGAGACTGAGGCATGAGAATTGCTTGAACCCGGGAGGTAAAGGTTGCAGTGAGTTGAGATCATGCCACTGCACTCCAGTCTGGGCAACACAGTGAGACTCCATCCCCACCCTCAAAAAAAAAAAAAAACGTTGTGTAGAGGAGGGCTTTTGTCATGTTGCCCAGGTTGGTCTCAAACCCCTGGGCTGAAATGATCCTCCCACTTTGGCCTCCCAATGTGTTGGGGTTAAAGGCATGAGTCACTGCTCCCTTCAAGAATTTTGAAATGACATCAACCAAAGCACAATCAACTTTTTTGAAATAAAGACAGAACTGCATTTAGAGGAAAAAATTCAAAGCTTCAAATTGTTCATATGAGAAAAAAAAAGGACAGGATATAGCTCTGTGCCATCGTAGGCTGCACTGTCACCATCCCAGACTGACTGACTGTAGGTCAGATGGGAGTGTCCTTACAGAAATTAGTGACTTACCAGATCTGGATGTAGTCTAGAAGGTGCTCAGACCTCAGGAAGAACCAAGCAGGAACTCCAGGCTTGAAGACTTTGGGTCTCTCCTGTGGGTCTTTAGAAGATTTTATTGACCTTTCTAATCACAACTCCCACCCATGCCCTTCCACGTTTGCACTGCTAGCTTCCAATCAAAAAGCAATATCTGATTGCATTTGTGAAGCTCCATCCAGTTAATCCTGATTGGGTTTTTGGCTCTCCCCAGATTAATGGATTGAGTCAGATATCCGTTCATATCACATATCTATATTCAGTTCGTGAAGCAAGAAATTGACAGTGTTAGGGATAGGGTAGAAGTCAAGAATACATTCATTCAAGGGTGGGTGAGGTGGCTCATAGCTGTAATTCCAGCACTTGGGAAGGACAAGGTGAGTAGATCACCTGATGTCAGGGGTTCAAGACGAGCCAGGTCAAAAAGGTGAAACCCTGTCTCTACAAAAATACAAAAATACAAAAATTAGCTGGGCATGATGGCAGGCACCTGAAACCCAGCTACTTGGGAGGCTGAGGCAGGAGAATTGCTTGAACCCAGGAGGCAATGGTTGCAGTGAGCCAGAATTGTGCCACTGCACTCCAGTCTGGGTGACAGAGGGAGATTCTGTCAAAAAATAAAAAAATCATTCATTCATGAACTCCAGAAACACTGATGGCATTTTACTAATATGTGAACTTCATAGTCTTGAGTGTGAGGCAGGGACGGATTTGATCTGTTACGACATTAGACAGAAAAATAAAATCTGAAAGTAGTGTTGTTAGGAGATCTTTGGCCACATCAAAATATAAAAATGCTTTCTACTTTAAAAAGCTTTATAAAAACAGAGGAGTCATCCCTACGAAATCAGAATAAAAATCTCAATGTATTGAATGGTTTTTGGGATTTTGTGTAACCTAAGGTAGCAGATTACATGCTCGTTCTGGTGGAGGAGAGGTGCCACTGAGGGCGTGAGTGGTCTCAGGGCTTAGGTTAAGGCTTCTTTGGAAGAAATTGAAACCACATCTCTAAAGTTTATAAATTTAATCAGTGAAGAAGGGAGGGAGAGAAACAAAAATAAACGAAGCTTGCAACACATTCAGCCTTCATCAGGAGGTCTTCTTGCTCTCTGAACTGGTTCCTCATGGTTGCTGGCAGCCTACTGTTCCAAAATCATATAGACCTTAGATTACAGTTCCCCTTAACTTCCCTGCAGACAACGATTCAAGCATTGTAAAACATTAATTTTTTCATCTGAGATATTCTTTCAGGTTCTGCATGTCAGTGAAACTGCTGATGCCAGCTGATCTGAAGGGCCATGCAATGCACCAACTCACCAAAGAATGCAGTTTCTACATCCTGTTGACTTCTTCCCTCTTACCGCTACCCCAACTTTCCGGCCTCTTGCTATCCAGGATCCACTGGAAACCTTCAGTACTCCTTGGGGAGATGAATTTGAGGATCTCCTCCTAGCTTCTCATTCAGCCACCTTGTGATCATTAAACTCTCTGCTGCAAACCCTGCTGTCTCAGAATATTGCTAAGCTACTGTGCAGCAGGCATAGGAACCTGATGGTCCTGTAATAAAGTCATGTCAAAATTACAAATGGAAGTGAGGGTGGAGCTGGTCAGGGTTGAGCTGGGTTTTTAATGGGAACCTGGGAGTGAAGCAAGACTTGCTGAACATGTTGGGGGTTATTGAGTGGGTGTAAGAGGAATCTATCTAACATTGCACTGATGCCCTTTTGGTTTTAATCCTTATGACCAAGTATGAGTCTTTCAAAACAATTTGTATAATCCTCCTTATTTTTCCTTTCAAAACCTTCAACTTCCTTTATCTCCCCAAATAATCTCGCATCTATTGCCACTTCTTTGCTTACTTCATAATAAACATTTTTTTTTACAGAGTCTTCTTCTCTGTTAAGTAGACCATATATTTTGTTGCCACACAAGATGAGTAACATGGTTCTATGGACAGAAAGGGTCGAAAGGATCCCATTCCTCAACAGCTGGGGGTGATGTAAAGGTCATGGTTATTCTTTGTCATATCTGCACCTGCATTTTGCCAGTGAAAACTTGCAGGTCACATTGGGCAGGCTCCCAAATTCACCACCTGTGGAAGGTCTTTCGATTGGCTTACATCCTGTCCCTGAGTAAAGAGTCTGATTGTGAGTTCATGAGTGCTTCAAACTCTACAAGTATTGATGAAGGCTTCCACCCACTGACAGTGAGAAGGCACTGATTTGATGCTGATCATGAAGTTTTGCTGGTTGTCTTGCAAGGAATATGTTTTATTCTTTTATCGTGTCATCTAAAGCCAATGATTGTAACCTCTGTATTGTCCCTTCCAATGGAAAAAACAAAAACAAAAACTCAACTCTATTTGACCCTTGTCAGGTCAATAAAACAAAAGAAAAGTTAAAAAAATAATTGATAGGAGGAGTCCCATTCCCAGCCTGGGCAATAGAGTGAGACTCCATCTCAAAAGGAAAAAAAAAAAAAAAGGCCGGGCATGGTGGTGGCTCACACCTGTAATCCCAGCACTTCAGAAGGCCAAGGCAGGTAGATCACGATGCCAAAAAATTGAGACCATCCTAGCCAACATGGTGAAACCCTGTCTTTGCTAAAAATACAAAAATTAGCTGAGCATGGTGGCACCCACCCATAGTACTAGCTACTCGAGAGACTGAGGCAGGAGAGTCGCTTGAACTCAGGAGGAGGAGGTTGCAGTCAGCCAAGATTTCACCACTGCACTCCAACTTGGTGACAGAGCGAGACTGTCTCAAAACAAACAAACACAAACGAACAAACAAAGAAAAAAGCTGGAAAAATAAATTCTGAAAGAATTTCCATCTCTATGAATTCATCTTCAGAAGTGATAGCATTTCCTGCTTGGCATTTTTTGCCTACATTTTTGGCATAAGATCTATCAACAAAAAGTATGAACCCAGGTTTGTGTAATGGAATATCTTAAACATCAATAGGAGGAGTCAATAGTTCTGATGCCACACACACACACACGTATGGTCTTCTCCACCATCAGAAAATGGCAACAAAGTGGTAGAGTTATGCAGAGTGTAGCATTTGAAATGGAGATTTGAAGGTGACAAGGAAAGGATTTTGTAAGACATTAGTGTACAAGTTGAGCAATGTTGGTTCCTGTCACAATATTTTTATTGATTTATTTATTTTATTCATTTATTTTTTGAGATGGAGTCTCACTGTGTCACCAGGCTGGAATGCAGTGGCACGATCTCAGCTCACTTCGACCTCTGCCTCCCCGGTTCAAGCAATTTTCCTGCCTTAGCCTCCTAAATAGCCGGGACTACAGGTGCATGCCACTACACCTGGCTAATTTTTTGTATTTTTAGTAAAGACGGGGTTTCACCATGTTAACTAGGATGGTCTCAATCTCCTGACTTCGTGGTCTGTCTGCCTCGGCCTCCCAAAGTGCTGGGATTACAGGCCTCAGCCACCATGCCTGGTCGATTCACATCAAAATTTAAGAGGTACTCAATTGCATATGAAACTTGTAGGCAAAGTTTATTTCTTTTTTCTTTAAAGCATTAATTAATTTATTTATTTATAATGTATTTATTTATTAATTTTTTTTTGAGATAGAGTTTCATTCTTGTTTTCCAGGCTGGAGTACAATGGTGCGATCTCGGCTCACTGCAACTTCTGCCTCCTGGTTCAAGTGATTCTCCTGCCTCAGTCTCCCAGTTAGCTGGAATTACAGGCACAGACCACCACACACAGCTAGTTTTTGTATTTTTAGTAGAGAGAGAGTTTCACCATGTTGCCCAGGCTGGTCTGGAACTCCTGACCACAGGTGATGCACCCACCTCGGCCTCTGAAAGTGCTGAGATTACAGGCGTGAACCAGTTAGTGCCTGGCCTAAACTCATCACTTTTAATACTTTCTACATCACATGAGGAAGAAGAGCAGAAACACTTGAGTACTTCATGAAGGTCAAGGTTGGTATGAGTTTGGGTTCTAATATGATCAATTTCTGCTTCTAGGGAACCAAGCAGCTCAGGTTAAGGAAGGTCAGGAAACTCTAGGGTTTTCTCTCCCTCCAAAGAAAGCTTTACGCATCACCTTAACGGAGAAAGCAAATCTCATCCCCATGTTGTCACTTAATAAAAAGCCATACTTTCCTAAAAATGGTCCAAATGTCATTTGGACTGCTTCAAACACAGGAATTTTCTGAACTTCATGTGAAACCCCTCCTCAGAAATATTTTCCTTTCTCCAAGGGATTTGCTGATATATTGGCTGTAAACTGGATATGGCAGCCCTGGTTTCCACCAATTCTGTACCTAAGTCTGCAATGATCTTAATCTCAGCTTCTCCATTTTTATTTAAGGCTATTATAGAAAACAATTTACCAGAGAGTTATTTTAAATTCCATCAATATGGAGACATCAGAAATGTCCTCTAGCCAGATGTGGTGGCTCATGCCTGTAATCCCAGCACTTTGGGAGGCTGAGGTGGGGGAATAACCTGAGGTTGGGAGTTCGAGACCAGCCTAACCAACATGGAGAAACCCTGTCTCTACTAAAAATACAAAATTAGCCAGCTGTGGTGGTGCATGAATGTAATCCCAGCTACTTGGGAAGCTGAGGCAGGAGAATCACTTGAACTCAGGAGGTGGAGGTTGCAGTGAGCTGAGATCCCACCATTGCACTCCAGCCTGGGCAACAATAGTGAAACTCTACCTCAAAAAAAAAAAAAAAAGGCAGAAAAGTAAAGAAAAACAAAAAAGAAATCTCCTCTAATGTGAACAACCTGTGGGACAAAACATTCTGTCCAATAGAGACCTGGTGCATAGGTGGACAATTTTCATTCCAATGGCCTGTTTCAAAGGTGGCAGGCAACTCTAGCAGGGTTTCTGTGTTTACACCAAACTGGATTTGAGTTTTAATAGTAAGGGGAGTTCCCCCATAAAAAACCAACAGAAAATAATGGATGCTATGAAGAATATGGAGAAATGAGAACCCTGGTACAACATTGGTAGTTATGTAAATTAGTACAGCTACTATGGAAAGCAGAATGGAGCTTCCTCCAAAAAATAAAAATAGGATTACCATATAAACCATAAATCCCACTGCTGGACATATATCCAGAAAAAAAAAAAGTAATATATCCAGGAGATATCTACACTACCATGTTGGTCAGGCTGGTCTTGAACTCCTGACCTCAAGTAATCCACCTGCCTCAGCCTCCCGAAATTCTGGGATTACTGGCATGAGCCACTGCACTCAGCCTGCACTCTCCTATTTATTGCAGCACTATCCACAATAGCCAAAATTTGGAATCAACGTAAGTGTCCATCAGCAGATGAATGGATCAAGAAAATGTGGTAAATATACACAACAGAATATCACTGAGCCGTAAACATGAAGGAAATCCAGTTATCTGCGACAACATGGAAGGAACTGGAGGGCGTTATGTTGAGTGAAGTAAGCCAGATACAGAAAGACAAACATGGCATGTTCGCACTCATATTTGGGAATTAAAAAACATGAAACTTAAAAATAGTAAAATGATGGTTATCAGAAGCTAGGAAGGGTACTGGGAAATAGAGAATAAGAAGGGGATGGTTAATGGGAACAAAAACACAGACAGGAATAAGATCTAGGGTTTAGTAGCACAATAGGGCAACTCATGTTGACAATAGTTCGTAGTAAATTTCTACATAATTAAAATAATGGAATTGGAATGTTGCTAGCAGAAAGAAAAGATAAATTCTTGAGATGGTGGATATCCCAGTTACCATGATTTGAATATTACACATTTTATGCTTGTATCAGAATATCAGGCCAGGTGCAGTGGCTCATGTCTACAATCCAAGCACTTTGGGAGGCTGAGGCAAGTGGTTTTCCTGAGGTCAGGGGTTCGAGACCAGACTGGCCAACATGGTGAAACCCCCTTTCTACTTAAAATACAAAAATTAGCCAGGTGTGGTGGCGGTGCCCTGTAGTCCCAGCTACTCAGGAGGCTGAGGTAGGAGAGTTGCTTGAACCCAGGAGGGTGATTTCTAGAGACTTCTGATACATAAATGTCTAAAACAAGTTGATCAATCGTGGAAGACACCAGAAAGTTTCCATTCAGGTTCCATTTATTTTTGACATTTTTAAATAACCATCCTTGCGGTGGCAACTCCTGCATCAGTCTAGAACTTCAGGCTCCATTTCTGAGTCTAGAACACAGGTCCCTGAAGGCCTCATTGATTCCAAGTCAGCATTTTTACCCAGTCCTGCCCCCGGCTGAGTCACCTTTGTTTTTCCACTCGCGGTGAGCACGTACCTGAAACACACAGCTGTGTGCTTCCTTTAAGAAACGGCTGACCGGGCCCAGCTGCACACACTTGTAAACCTGGAACTGTGGAAGGCCAAGGCAATCAGATCACTTGAGGTTAGGAGTTAGAGGCCAGCCTCCGCCAACATCGTGAAACCCTGTCTCTACTAAAAATACAAAAATTAGCCGGGCTTGGGGCCCACACCCATAACACCAGTTACTTGGGAGGCTGAGGCAGGAGAATGACTTGAACCCAGGAGGCAAAGCTTGCCATGAGCTGAGATTGTGCCACTACACTTCATCCTGAGGGACAGAGTCAGACTCTGTCTCAAAAATAAAATAAAATAAAATAAAAATATAAAAAATTAAATTAAATTAAAATTAAAAATGCACCCATGTACAAGATTTTAGTTCCCAAGTGTCCGGAAGAAAGCTTATCCATCCCACTAACCAGGCCTTCCCTAGGAGCACATGGAACTCCAGTTTCTCAGATGGCCATGAGCCACAGGAAGGGCAGGGGGTGGGACCAAAGAAGATCCTCCTGAGGCCAAGGCGGGCGGATCACGAGGTCAGGAGATCGAGACCATCCCGGCTAAAACGGTGAAACCCCGTCTCTACTAAAAATACAAAAAATTAGCCGGGCGTAGTGGCGGGCGCCTGTAGTCCCAGCTACTTGGGAGGCTGAGGCAGGAGAATGGCGTGAACCCGGGAGGCGGAGCTTGCAGTGAGCCGAGATTGTGCCACTGCACTCCAGCCTGGGCGACAGAGCGAGACTCCGTCTCAAAAAAAAAAAAAAAAAAAAAAAAAAAGAAGATCCTCCTGTTCTGCCTGACTTCCCTGAGTGTACGCATCAGCTCAGCCGTAATTGGGGTGAGGATCTCCCAATTGGCATGACCCCTGTTGTCAAGACACTCCAGAGGGGCAGGATACATGTCCAGGCCTAACTTGCTCAGCCTGCCTGTGTGACGCAGCAGGTCTTTCAGAGCATTCGTGGAGGTCTCATTTCCATGAAAGTAGAAGGTGGTGAGCTGGGAACAGTGGCTCAGGGCAGGCAGGGGGACCCTGAGTTGGGGGGCCTGGATCCGACAGTCCTCTAAGACGAGGGTCTTGAGAGTAGCAGCAACTTTCTCCAGCAGAGCTCCAAGGGGCTCAAGATTGGTGGTCCACATTAGGATATGAATCAGACGCAGCTCCTTTAGCTGACTGAGGCTTGGGTACTGAGACAGACACTCCATGTCCCGATCAGCTAGGTAAGCATCACTGAATGTAAAGGCCCCCAAGGGGTTCTTGAGGTACCTGGGGAGAGCAAGAAGTTAGTTATGGGCAATGGTGCCAGTTAGAGGAGGGGGGTGGGAAATCATCTCAATGGTAAACTTGAAGTGGGCATTGAGTAATTCTGCACCTTACTACCACACAGGTGTTATAGTAACTGCAATAGGGAAGCCTGTTTCACCCAAACACAAGTTTGTTCCCATCACCAGATGATGGTCTGCGTGCAAGGTGCTGCCTGATGAAGACTCAGATCATTCAGGGGCAGCTCTATTTTAGGCTCAGTCCTTTCAGCCTCGCTTGTGTGATTGGTACCACTCTCACACCTACTCCCTCACCCTCCATCCCAGAAGCATGCACTTCCCGTATCAATTACCTTTCCTGGAGTTCAAAACAACCTTTCACAGACAAGGAATTACAGACAGGATCATTGGTGTTTATTAAGCTGCTGAGGACGGAGCTTCTACTGTGAAATGCACAGGTTTCATGCACTTTCCCTTCTTCTTTTTCTTTTCTTTTCTTTTTTTTTTTTTGACACAGAGTCTCACATTGTAACTTAGGCTGGATTACAGTGGCACAATCTCAGCTCACTGCAGCCTTCACTTCCCTTGCCTCAGCCTCCCAAGTAGCTGGGATTACAGGTGCCTGGCACCATGCTCAGCTAAATTTTGTATTTTTAATAGAGATAGGGATTCACTGTGTTGGTCAGGGTGGTCTGAAACTCCTGACCTCGTGATCTGCCTGCCTCAGCCTTCCAAAGTCCTGGGATTACAGGCATGAGACATCACACCAGACTGCACTTTCCCTTCTTTCATACCCTCTTCTTTATGAAGAATACGTTTTCATCATATTAACTTTATACACACTTCCTAAGGAGGAATTCACAAATGCCCCTTCACTAGATGTGAATCCCCAACTAACTAGCTCCCTATACATCTCTCTCTGTAGCATCTACCCCAGGCCATCCCTCTGCCCTTATTTGAGTGGTCTTGTGATACCAACTTCAGGATATAGAGCACTGAACAGCTTAATGAGTTGACATTCTAGCATCCCATTCCCTGTGACATCCTCAGTGGATGGCACACAGTAGATGCCCACTAACATTTACTGTGAAAAAGAACAAAAGTCTGTGTTATGGTCTGCACAGAAAGCCCACCATCGTTTCCTACCTGAGCAGGTGCTCCAGGTGCTCTTTGATATTACTGACCTTTCTTATATAATGCATCTGGGGGTAGTACAGGCACAGGAATGGCCAATCCAAGTCAGGAATGAACTGCCATTGGCCGCTCACGTATAATTCAGGCTCATAACCGAAGGCTAAAAAGTTTGCAAAGATTGCTCATCTGGCTCAGGTAAGGGGCAAACTTTCCCGTTTTATTGAGAGAGCACTTTTTCCAGACTTCCAACTCCTGGATACTATCTGGGTATATCCTTTCCAATAGATTTCTGAAACTTGAAGTGGGCATTGAGTAATTCTGCACCTTACTACAACACAGGTGCACTAGGCCTCTTCTGTAGTGGATCCACCTTCAGAGGTAGCTCAGGCATTCATGCAGTGTACTTTCCTTCAGGCAGAGGTCTATGAACACCTTCAAGGGCTGGCACTCTCCCATCCTTGGACAGTTCTCCACTGTCTGCCTCTTACTCATGGCCTCTGGGGAGCAGGGGAGGACCCTGACTCCAGACCATATGGTCCAGAAATTCTCATCAACATCCCTCAAATCCAGCACTTGAAGTTTCCACCTCCTGTGAGTAACATAAGGGAAAAGCTCAGAATGTAGGCAAGGACCGACCCTTGACCTGAACTTTCACTCCGCATCCAGGACATGAGTCAGCTGCTCCTGTCCCAGTGCTCCTCCTTCTGTCTTTTCTCCATCCTGTTCCCCCTTGGATTCTGCATGGTACCCACTTCTAGTACCTTTACCTTCCACTGGGAGGAAGCAGGTTCCTGTTTCCTCAGTGGACCCTGTATGGTAAGCAGTCCTTTTCCAGAGGATCTGGGCAATGGCCAAGGCTTCTCATGGGCACCATCAGAAGCCTCTGAGCCACCCTAGCTCCCACACACTGCCACTCCTCCTGAGCCAGCTGTCCCTTCCCTGGATGTCTGGACCCTTCCCACCAGGCCACCTGAGTCACCTCAACTGGGGCAAACCTTCTGGGACACTAGTGTATCAAGTCCCTTCAGCACAGCTTGCAAGGTCTCCAGATGAGTTGTCTTCATCAGGGATCCCAGAGGGAGGTGAAGGGAGGGCCAGGCCTGCACCATCAGCTTCAGGGCCTCACAACATCTCATGCTGAAGGCCTCCATGAACAGAGGGGAGACCTCCCTGGGCAGCTCATCCAGGGTGAAGATAGTCAAGAACTGGTTCCTCAGCAGGCTCTGCCCTGCCAGCTCCAGGAGTCTGGATGGGGTCTGGAGGCTCATTCTGACAAATCTACAAGGAAAAACTCTACAGCACAATCCAGCAAAAAGGCAAGTTCCTCAGACCAATCCCCTGCAACCCCCAATTCTCCCAGGGCCAAAGTCATTTCTCTAGCGTGTGTGAAAGAGCCCTTAGTTTACTCCAGTTCCTTTCTGCAATAAGTGGCCACAGAGACACAGTTCTACCCTTCTGGTACCATGAAGAATGTGTCCCAACTTCTAAAGAGCAGGCAAGATCCCTCGTAGTCCATGAATTATTAGCCACTGATCCACTAAACTCATAGCACTGGCAAATGTTACCGAGGATCTCTGAAGCTCAGATCTCGTACCCAGCTAATCTTTTATTTTTTGACTTTTTGTAAAGACAGTGGGTTTCACTATGTTGTCCAGGCTGGTCTTGAACTCCTAGACTCAAACAATCCACCCACTTTGGCCTCCCAAAGTGCTGGGATTGCAGGCATGAGCCTCTGCCTGGTCTCATTATTGAAAATTTCAGCGAGAAGCTTTGAAAGCTATGTGACAGTGTTATGCATCATTGGCAAGACACAGATGTTTCCAATACACACCTCTCACACATATTCAAAATGAACCACTTTGGCTGTGTGCAGTGACTCACACCTGTAATCCCAGCACTCTGGGAGGCAGAGGCAGGTGGATTATCCGAGGTCAGGAGTTTGAGACCAGCCTGGCCAACATGGTAAAACCCTACCTCTACCAAAATTAGAAAAATTAGCAAGGTGCAGTTGTCTGTGCCTATAATCCAAGCTACTAGGGAGGCTGATGCAGGAGGCTCGCTTGAACCCAGGAGGCAGAGGTCGCAGTGAGCTGACAATACTCCACTGCACTCCAGCCTGGGAAATAGGCTAGATTCAAAGAAAAAAAAAAAAAGAAAAGAGAGAGAACTACATTTGATTCGACTTCTTAAACTCTACCCAGTTAATCCTGATTGGATTTTTGGCTTTCTTCCAGATTAACTGATTGAATTAGATATTCATCCATCAGAGTGAAAGATTTAGGGATAGGGTGAAAGTCCAGGACTCATTCACTGATTCCCTCCACAAACATGGAGGTTTACTAATATGTGTCCTTCATAGTCCTGAGTGTGAGATAGGGAAGGGTTGAATCTCTTCCTGATATTAGATAGAAAGAAAGAAAACTTGAAAGTATCTTTGTTGAGGGATCCTTGGCCACATCAAATTTATCAAAATTTTTCAGAGTTAAAACAGTTTTCAAAGACGGAGTTGACAGTCCCCAAGAAAACACAATAGAAATCTTCATGTATCCAATGATCACCTGGGTGGTATAATCTCATTTTTTTTGGTGTGGGTGAAGCTGAATCTCACTTTGTCGCCCAGGCTGGAGTGCAGCGGCTCCATCTCAGCTCACTGTAACTTCCGCCTCTGAGATTCAAGCAATTCTCATGCTTCAACCTTCCACGTAGCTGGGATTACAGGCATGCACCCCCACACCCATGTCTCCATTCGGGAGGAAGAATTACAGTGAGGATGTGATTGGTTTAAAATTAAGGTCAAAGATTCTCTTTGGTTAAGGTTTTTTGTTTGTTTGTTTTTGTTTTGTTTTTGTTTTTAGCAGGGTCTTACTCTGTTGCCCAGGCTGGAGTACAGCAGTGGTGTGAGCATGGCTCACTGCAGCCTCAATCTTCTGGGCTCAAGTGATTCTCCCATGTCAGCAAACCAAATAGCTGGGAATACAGACGCATGCTACCATGCCTGGCAAATTAAAAGATATATATATTTTGTAGAGGCTGACCACCATTGGCTCAAGGCTGTCATTCCAGCACTTTGGGGGGCTGAGGCAGGAGGATCACTTGATGTCAGGAGTTTGAGACCAACCTGGCCAGCATGGTGAAACCCCACCACTACTAAAAATACAAAAATTAAGCAGGCATGGTGGCAGAGGGATGTAATACCAGCTACTCAGGAAGCTGAGGCATGAAAATTGTTTGAGCCTGGGAGGAAGAGGTTGCAGTGAGTTGAGCTCTTGCCACTGCACTCCAGCCTTGGCAACAGGGTGAGGCTCCATCCCTGCTTCAAAAAAAGAATGTTTTGTAGAGCTGCGTTTTTGCCATGTTGCCCAGGTTGGTCTCAAACCGCTGAGCTCAAATGATCCTCCCGCTTTGGCCTCCCAAGGTGTTGAGGTTATGGGCATGAGTCATTGCTCTCATCAAGAATTTTGAAATGACATAAACCAAAGCACAATCCAATTTTTTGAAATAAAGACAAAACTGCATATAGAGGAAAAAATTCAAATCTTCAAATTGTTCATATATATATATAAAAGACAGATATAGCTTGGTGCCATCATAGGCTGCACTGTCCCTGTCCCAGACCGACTGACTATAGGTCAGATGGGAGTGTCCTTCCAGAAATGAGTGACTTACTAGATCTGGACTGAGTTTGCAGCATGCTTAGACCTCAGGAAGAACCAAGCAGGAACTCCAGACTTGAAGACTTTGGGTCTCTCCTGTGGGTCTTCAGAAACTTTTATTGATCTTTCTAATCACAACTCCCACCCACACCCCTCCATGTATCCAGTGCTTGCTTCCAATCAAAAAGTGCTATCTGATTGCATTTCTGAAGCTCCACCCAGTTAATCTTGATTGGGTTTTTGGCTGTCCCCAGATTACTGGATTGAATCAGATATTCATTCATATCAGCTATCCATATTAAGTTCATGAATCAAGAAATTGACAGTGTTAGGAATAGGTTGGAAATCAAGAATTCACTCATTAAAGGCCGGGTGAGGTGGGTCACACCTGTAATCCCTGCACTTTGAGAGTCCAAGTTGGCTGGATCGCCTGAGGTCAGGCGATCAAGACCTGCAAGGCCAACATGGTGAAACCCCATTTCTACAAAAACACAAAAATTAGCCTGGCATGATGGCAGGTGCCTGTAATCCAGCTACTCAGGAGGCTGAGGTGGGAGAATCGCTTGAATCCCGGAGGCAATGGTTGCAGTGAGCCAAGATTGCACCATTGCACACCGTTCTGGGTGACAGAGGTAGACTTTGTCAAAAAAATAAAAATAAAAAGAATTCATTCATTCATAAACTCCACAAACACTGATGGAATTTTACTGATATATGACCTATATAGTCCTGAGTTTGAGGCAGGGAAGGGTTTGATCTGTTCCGGATAGTAGACAGAAAAATAAAACCTGAAAGTAGTGTTGGGAGATCTTTGGCCACATTAAAATTATAAAATTGTTTTATAGTTAAAACAGCTTTATAAAAACAGAGAAGTCATCCCTACAAAATCAGAAAAAAAATCTCCATGTATCGAATGGTCTTGTGGGTTCTATATCACCTAAGGTAGCAATTTATTTGCTCACGCTGGTGGAAGAGAGGTGCCACTGAGGGCTTGAGTGGTCTCAGGGCTTAGGTTAAGGCTTGTCTGGAAGAAATTGAAACCGTATCTCTAAACTTTATAAATTTAATCAGTGAAAAAGAGAGGGGGAGGAACAAAAACAAACCAAGCTTGCAGCGCATTCAGCATTCACCAGGAGGTCAGCTTGCCCTCTGACCTGCTTCCTCATGGTTCCTGGCAGCCTACTGTCCCAAAATCATGTAGAACTTAGACTACAATTCCCCTTAACTACGCTGCAGACAACAATTTAAGCATTGTGAAACATTCACTTTTTCATCTGAGATATTCTTTCAGGTTCTGCATGTCAGTGAAACTACTGATGCCAGCTGATCTGAAGGGCCCTGCAAGGCATCAACTCACCAAAGAATGCCGTTCTGACATCGTGATAACTTCATACCTCTTATTGCCATCAAACTACACCAACTTTCCAGCCCCTTGCTATCCAGGATCCACTGGAAACCCTCAGTACTCCTTGGGGAGATGAATTTGAGGATCTCCTCCCAGCTTCTCATTCAGCCACCCTGTGATCATTAAACTTTCTGCTGCAAACCCTGCTGTCTCAGAATATTGGTAAGCTACTGTGCAGCAGGCATAGGAACCTGATGGTCCTGTAACAAATTTATGTCAAAATTATAAAGGGAAGTGAAAATGGAGGCTGGTCAGGGTTGAGCTGGGTGTTTTAATGGAATCCTGGGAGTGAACGAAGACTTGGTAAATGTGTTGGGGGTTATTGAGAGGGTGGAGGAGGAATCTTTCCAACATTGCACTGAGGGTCCCTTGGTTTTCATACTTGTGACCAAGAATGAGTCTTTCAAAAAAATTTATGTAATTCTCCTCATTTTTCCTTTCAAAACCTTTGTCTTCCTTTACCTCCCCGAATAATCTCACATCTATTCCCATGGCTTTGCTCATTTCATAATAAAAATCCTTTTTTTTTTTTCCTGTGGAGTCTCTTTCTCTGTTAAGTAGACCATATATTTTGTTGCCACACAAGATGAGTAGCCTGGTTTTATGGAGAGAAAGGGACAAAAGAATCCCAATCCTCAACAGCTAGGGGTGATATGAAGGTCAGGATTATTCTTTGTCATATCTGCACCTGCATATTGCCAGTGAAAACCTGCAGGTCACATTAGGTAGACTTCCAAATTGATCATCTGTGGAAGGTCTTATGATTGGCTTACATCCTGTCCCTGAGTAAAGAATCTGATCTTGACTTCATGAGTGCCTGAGACTCTTCAAGTACTGATGAAGGCTTCACCCAGTGACAGTGAGAAGGACACTGATTTGATTCTGATCGTGAAGTTTTGCTGGTTGTCTTGCAAGGAAAATATTTTTGCCTGTCATGTTGTCATCTAAAGTCAATGATTGTAACCTCTGTATTGTCCCTTCCAATGGAAAAAACAAAAACAAAAAAGCTCAACTCTATTAGAGCCTTGCCAGGATAAAACAAAAGAAAATTAAAAAAAAAACAACTGATAGGAGGAGTCCCATCCCCTTCTTTCAACCTTTCTTATAAAAGCATTCCAACTTGCAACAAAAGACAAAATTGACAAATGGGATCTAATTAAACTAAAGAGCTTCTGCACAGCAAAAGAAACTACCATCAGAGTGAACAGGCAACCTACAAAATGGGAGAAAATTTTCACAACCTACTCATCTGACAAAGGGCTAATATCCAGAATCTACAATGAACTCAAACAAATTTACAAGAAAAAAACAAACAACCCCATCAAAAAGTGGGCAAAGGACATGAAC
This sequence comes from Homo sapiens, assembly GCF_000001405.40. Classification (NCBI taxonomy): domain Eukaryota; kingdom Metazoa; phylum Chordata; class Mammalia; order Primates; family Hominidae; genus Homo; species Homo sapiens. The sequence goes on from NW_012132914.1 coordinate 28,008, forward strand.
AGACACTTCTTAAAAGAAGACATTTATGCAGCCAAAAAACACATGAAAAAATGCTCATCATCACTGGCCATCAGAGAAATGCAAATCAAAACCACAATGAGATACCATCTCACACCAGTTAGAATGGCAATCATTAAAAAGTCAGGAAACAACAGGTGCTGAAGAGGATGTGGAGAAATAGGAACACTTTTACACTGTTGGTGGGACTGTAAACTAGTTCAACCATTGTGGAAGTCAGTGTGGCGATTCCTCAGGGATCTAGAACTGGAAATACCATTTGACCCAGCCATCCCATTACTGGGTATATACCCAAAGGACTATAAATCATGCTGCTATAAAGACACATGCACATGTATGTTTATTGCGGCATTATTGACAATAGGAAAGACTTGGAACCAACCCAAATGTCCAACAATGATAGACTGGATTAAGAAAATGTGGCACATATACACCATGGAATACTATGCAGCCATAAAAAATGATGAGTTCATGTCCTTTGTAGGGACATGGATGAAATTGGAAAACATCATTCTCAGTAAACTAAATAACAAATAAACAAAACTAAACTAAACTAACAAATAAATAAACTAAATAAACAAAATAAGAAATTATTTTGGAGACAGTTGATAAAAACCATACATCCTTTTTACTGTTAAGTCATAAAGAGGTGTCAAAATTAAAAGGAAAAATTACAGGGTAAGACTTAGGACAACTACTAGGGGTGTCAAGGGAAGTGAAAATGGGACTAGGCACAGGGCAATATGAATTAATGAACATGGGAAGGACAAAGATGGGGAGAACAGTAAGCATGTGCTGAAGATACTAAGGGAGAGGATCTGGTGAAAAATTTGTTGTTAGACAAGCTCCTAGGTAAAGAAACAATGGGATAAGATTTCTCAACCCCACTATGTGCTTAAGAGTCATCCTGGCCATTGGTGCTGTCTCTGTCATCCTCTCCTTCCTCAGCCTCTTTTTCATCATCCTTGATCAACTCCAGCTGGTCATCCCCCTGATCTTCATTAACATCATCATCCAGTGGGTCCCCCTCCTCAGCAGAGTCTTCTGCACCCCCCTCAGACTCCATCTTCACATGAGTCTCATCTTTCTTCATGGAGCTACTGCTCTGCTCCTCTTCTGACTTAGCATTTTTCACCTCTACCTCTTGTTTGCTCTGTTCCTTTTCAATTTTTTCCAGGTTTTCCAGGAGAGAATCCACTTTCTGTTTTATCTGGGTCAACTCCTGCTTAATGGCCTGAAGGTCATCACCTTTCAACTTTCCAGACTTGGAAGATCCCCGCTTTCCACTCTTAGAATTGAAGCCACTTTTGCCCCTTCGTGAGGTGTTTCCTGATAGACGTTGACGTTTCGAGGGCACTACAGCCAGAGCAATGGGAGGAGGAGGAGGTACACGTGCTGGGAAACTGTACATTCCATCATAATAATCCCGTTGAAAGCCATAGTCCAAGTCAAAAGAGGAGCCGTACATCTCCGCTGCTGATCGTTTCACACCTGCGTTTCCTCGGTTCACTTTTGGCTCCGCAGCCAGGTTAATATCTACAACCTGGCTAGCAATCATTCTGCCATCCTCTCCTGCTACAGCAGCCCGGGCATTTTTCTCCTTATCATATTGAACGAAGGCAAAGCCCTTATGAACAGAGCAGCCCGCAATTTTGCCATACTTGGAAAAGATCGCCTCCACATCCGATTTCTTGACAACAAGAGTGTTGAGATTCCCAATGAACACACGGGAGTTCATGGAGTGAGGATCCATCTTGTTGGTAACGTTGCTGGCCATTGTGTTGGATGATAAGGTTTCTCAAAAAGCCAAAAACAGGAGGCGGGAGGGAGAAGAGATTCGATTCTAAGTCTCCTACTGCCGGGTTCTACGGGGAGAAACTGACTGCGGCTCGAGGCCAGAAATGCAGCCAAAACAGCTCAGTCTTCGTCTCTTCACAAAATGGCTCCCAACAAGAATTCTGAAATGATGTAAAGAAAAGCACAACAACATTTTTGAAATAAAGACAAAATTGCATTTAGAAAAAAAATCAAAGCTTCAAAGTGTTCATATGAAAAAAAGAAAAAAAGACAGGATATAGTTCTGTGCCGTCGTAGGCTGCACTGTCACCGTTCTAGACCGGCTGACTGTAGGTCAGATGGGAGTGTCCTTCCAGAAATTAGTGACTTACCAGATCTGGTTGTAGTTTAGACCTCTGGTTGTAGTTGTAGCTCAGACCTCAGGAAGAGCCAAGCAGGAACTCCAGGCTTGAAGACTTTGAGTCTGTCCTGTGGGTCTTTAGAAGCTTTTATTGACCTTTCTAATCACAACTCCCACCCACGCCCCTCCACATATCCGCTGCTAGCTTCCAATCAAAAAGCGATATCTGATTGCATTTCTGAAGCTCCACTCAGTTAATCCTGATTGGGTTTTTGGCTGTCCGAAGACTAATGGATTGAACCAGGTATCCATTCATATCACATATGCATATTCATTTCATGAATTAAGAAATTGACAGCGTTAGGGATAGAGTGGAAGTCAAGAATTCATTCACTCAAGGCCAGATGAGGTGGCTCACACCTGTAATCCCAGCACTTTAGGAGGCCAAGGTAGGTGGATCACCTGATGTCAGGAGTTCAAGACCCGCCTGGCCCACATGGTGAAACCCTGTCTCTACAAAAATAGAAAAGTTAGCCAGGCACGATGGTGGCTGCCTGTAGTCCAGCTACTCATGTGGCTGAGGTGGGAGAATCCCTTGAACCCTGGAGGCTGAGTTTGCAGTGAGCCAAGATTACACCATTGCCCTCCTGACTGGGTGACGGAGGGAGATTTTGTCAAAAAAAAAATGCATTCATTCATGAAATCCACAAACACTGATGGAATTTTACTGCTATGTCGCCTTCAGGTCCTGAGTGTGAGGCAGGGAAGGGGTTGATCTGTTCCGGACATTAGACAGAAAAATAAAACCTGAAAGTAGTGTTGTGGGGAGATCTTTGGCCACATCAAAATTATAAAAATGCTTTCTAGTTAAAACAACTTTATAAAAACGGAGTCATCCCTACAAAATAAGAATAAAGATCTCCATGTATGGAATGGTCTTGTGGGTTTTATATCACCTAAGGTAGCAGTTTCTTCACTCGTGCTGGTGGAAGAGAGGTGCCACTCAGGGCGTGAGTGGTCTCAGTGCTTAGGTTAAGGCTTCTTTGGAAGAAATTGAAACGATACCTATAAACTTTATAAATTTAATCAGTGAAGAAGGGAGGGGGAGAAACAAAAATAAACCAAGCTTGCAGCGCATTCAGCATTCACCATGAGGTCAGCTTGCTCTCTGACCTTCTTCCTCATGGTTGCTGGCAGCCTACTGTCCCCAAATCATTTAGACCTTAGATTACAGTTCCCCTTAACTGCCCTGCAGACAACAATTTAAGCCTTGTAAAACATTAACTTTTTCATTTGAGATATTCTTACGTTCTGCATGTCAGTGAAAGTACTGATGCCAGCTGATCTGAAGGGCCCTACAAGGCACCAACGCACCAAAGAATGCAGTTTTGACATCCTGATGACTTCATCCCTCTTAACTCTATATCAACTTTCCAGCCCCTTGCTATCCAGGATCCACTGGAAACCCTCAGTGGATCTCCTCCTTGGGGAGATGAATTTGAGGATCTCCTCCTAGCTTCTCATTTAGCCACCCTGTGATCATTAAACTCTCTGCTGCAAACTCTGCTGTCTCAAAATATTGGTAAGCTACTGTGCAGCAGGCATAGGAATCTGATGGTCCTGTAATAAAATCATGTCAAAATTGCAAAAGGAAGTGAGGGTAGAGGATGGGCTTGGTTGAGCTTGGTGTTTTAATGGGATCCTGGGAGTGAACCAAGACTTGGTAAACATGTTGGGGGTTACTGAGGGGGTGGAGGAGGAATCTATCCAATATTTCACTGATGCCCCTTTGGTTTTGATTATTAGGACCAAGGATGAGCCTTTCAAAACAATTTATATAATCCTCCTTATTTTTCCTTTCAAAACCTTCATCTTCTATTTTTCTCCCAAAATAATCTCACATCCATTCCCAATGCTTTGCTCATTTCAGGATAAACATCTTTTTTCTTTTTTTCTTACACAGTCTCCTTCTCTGTTAAGTAGACCATATATTTTGTTGCCACAAAATGTCATTTGGACTGCTTCAAACACAGGAATTTTCTGAATTTCATGTGAAACCCCTCCTCAGAAATATTTTCCTTACTCCAGGAGATTTGCTGATATATCAGGTTGGGGTGTAAACTGGATATGGCAGCCCTGGTACCACCAACTCTGTACCAAAGTCTACATTGATCTGGATCTCAGCTTCTCCATTTTTTATTTAAGGGTATTATAGAAAATAATTTACCAGAGAGTTATTTGAAGTTCCATCAATATGGAGCCATCAGAAATGTTCTCTATCCAGGTTCGGTGGCTCGTGCCTGTAATCCTATCACTTTGGGAGGCCAAGGCCGGAGGATAACCTGAGGTTGGGTGTTGGAGACCAGCCTGACCAACACAGAGAAACCATGTCTCTACTAAAAATACAAAATTAGCTGGCTGTAGTGGCACATGCCTGTAATCCCTGCTACTTGGGAGGCTGAGACAGTAGAATCACTTGAACCCGGGAGGTGGAGGTTGCAGTGGGCTGAGATTGTGCCATTGCACTCCAGCCTGAGCCACAAGAGTCTGGGACACCACCTAGATTAGACCCAGTTACACTAATGTTTCCTATGCATAGAGATAAGTTACCAGTAATGAAATCAATAATAGTCATAGGCCACCCATTTGCATCTATAGCTTCTTCTCAGTGCCGAGTCATTTAATCATAAATATTACCCAACCGTGTGTGAGAGCAGGTTCTACTATTAGTTGTGATCCTTCCTATTCATCTAAATGACTCCATAGGCAGCAATTGCTTTGGTTAGTGATAGTGGCTAAATTTTGAAGAGGAGACCTTAGAAAGTGTTTGCTTTGACTGGTGAAAGTACGTAACAAAATAAAATGTAGGCTTGATCATTTTGTGTTAGTACAAAACAAAACCAAGTCTCAGTCAATGGAAGGAGATCGAATGGAGTTTTGTTCCATTTTCTTAAAACAGCTGTCTACCATGTGATGATGTCTGCTTGTAAGAAAGGCTTTTTTCCTTGGTTATCCTTAATTTTAAGTCACCTGGTATGGTCTCATCCAATGCTGCTCATGGGCAGATTTCCCTTAGGGCCATTTTAAAAGACACAATCTCCAAATGGTAGGGCATGAAGGTCCAATCATCATTAAAAGCCTCCTTCACCTACTGGAAATAGTCTTTGAAAGGTCTCGTGGTACTGAGTCATATTGTTACTGAATGATGAGCTCACTCTCCTAAGTGCATAGAACCCAATACTACACCACCATGGTTTGAGAAAAGCAAAAAAGGCTGGGCACGGTGGCTCATGCCTATAATACCAGCACTTTAGGAGGCCGAGGGAGTCAGATCACAAGGTCAGGGGTTTGAGACCGCCTGGACAACATGGGAAAACCCTGTCTCTACTAAAAATACACAAATTAGCTGGGTGTGGTGATCCATGCCTGTAATCCCAGCTACTCTGGAGGCTGAGTCAGAAGAATGGCATGATCCTGGGAGGCAGAGGTTGCAGTGAGCTGAGATTGCACCTCTGCAGTCCAGCCTGGGTGACAGGGCAAGACTCCATTTTGGGAAAAAATAAAAAATTATTAGGAGTTAACTGGACCGGGCACAATGGCTCATGCCTGTAATCCCAGCACTTTAGGAGGCCGAGGCGGGCAGATCACAAGGTCAGGAGTTCCAGACCAGGATGACCAATATGGTGAAACTCCCTCTCTACTAAAAATACAAAAATTAGTCAGGCATCGTGGTGCACGCCTGTAATCCCATCTACTGTGGAGGCTGAGGCAGGAATCACTTGAACCCGGAAGGCCAAGTTTGCAGTGAGCTGAGATCACGCAACTGCACTCCAGCCTGGGCAACAGAGCAAGACTCTGTCTCAAAGAAAAAAATAAAAATAAAAATAAAAATAAAAAATAGTTAACTGACAGGGAGACAGGAGACAAGTTCCAAGCCTGTCTCCCCAATCTGGGGATAGTGGAGCAAGCTCACATGGCCTTTCCAACTGGTTTCAGGTGATGCCAATTCAAACAGTCAGCCAGGCTGTGTTAACAGTTAAGAGGTTAAACCTTTTTCCCATCGGACATGCCTGAGCAATTTAGGCTTTGCAACTTAAGCAATGGTTAATCTGTTGGAGTTGAACCCCTGGTTACACAGTCAGAGCTAAAATGTGCAGGGGATACATGAGGTTCTATTATCAAAGGCATAGGTTCTCCAGTAAATACTTTATGATCGGTGCTTCTGATTGTAGTTGGTGAAAAAAAATACCTTATGATGGGTCTGGCTGTATTTTCCCATAGGGGTGGTAAAAATTATATTAAAGTAAGCCAGTCTTACTGGGCGTGGTGGCTCACACCTGTAATCTCAGCACTTTGGGAGGCTGAGGCTGGCGGAACACTTGAAGCCAGGAGTTGACCAGCCTGGGCAACATGGTGAAACCCCATTATCTACTAAAAATACAAAAATTAGCTGGGTGTGGTGGCATGCCTGTAATCCCAGCTACTTGGGAGGCTGAGGCATGAGAATTACTTGAACCCAGGAGGCAGAGGTTGCAGTGAGCCGAGATAGCACCACTGTACTCCAGCTTGGGCATCAGAGACTCTGTGTCAAGTTTCTCCAGAGGTGCACCAGAAAGGAAACACATTTTATAATCATTTATTCACTATGACTATGGCATCAGCCTTTCTAAAAAGGTAAGCTACAACCCATCCTGAAAATGGACACACAATCACAAAAATTGTAGCCTTTTTACATGGCTCACTGTCATCATTGGTCCATGACATTCCCTTTTCTTGCCGCTATATGTGTGTATGTCTACATATTCATATCTATATCTACACCTATTTTTTATTACCATGATTCACTTCCACTCCCCTTTCCATAGATAGCCACTCTACTCTTTGACATAGCCTTGAATTTGCATGTGACCTCTTAGAAAATAAGTATATAGAAAGTATATGGAATATATACTTGAAATTTGTATGTGTATTTATATTAATCCACATATATGCTATAGTGTAGGGTGCTACAGAAGAGGGCCTGACAATTAATTGTCCAGTCCTAGACACTTTGGAGAGTGAATGGACATGCTGTTATAATTAATTATTTTTTTTTGGAGATGGAGTCTCACTCCGTCGCCAGGCTGGAGAGCAATAGTTCCATCTTGGTTCACTGCAAACTCTGCCTCCTGGATTCAAGTGATTCTCCTGCCTCAGCCTACCGAGTACCTGGGATTACAGGTGTCCACCACCATGCCCAGCTATTTTTTGTATTTTAATAGAGAGATAGTTTTGCCACTTTGGTGAGGCTGGTCTCGAACTCCTGACCTCAGGTGATCCGCCCACCTCACCTCAGGTGATCCGCCCACCTCAGCCTCCCAAAGTGCTGGGATTACAGACGTGAGCCACTCCACCGGGCCTTGTTATAATTAAGATTTTCAGAACAACAGGGGTGTATGAAGGCTTATAATCACCTTTACCATAGACCTTGGTCTCTCACCTAAGTTTGTAACTAATATATTTTTCAAATATAATAACAATAAAAATATCCTTGCTTGCCCTATGTCAAATCCAGCTCGAAGTACTTAAATAGATTAACTTATAACACTCTGTGAAGTCAATATTGCTATTATCCCATTTTATATGTGAATGAGCTAAGGCACAGAGAGGTTAAGTAAGTTGGGTAAGACCACACAGCCATTGGCCACTGAGCCAGTTTTTTTTTTCTGGGATGGAGTCTCGTGCTGTCGCCCAGGCTGGAGTGCAGTGGCGCGATCTCGGCTCACTGCAAGCTCTGCCTCCCGGGTTCACTCCATTCTCCTGCCTCAGCCTCCCGAGTAGCTGGGACTACAGGTGCCTGCCACCATGTCTGGCTAATTTTTGTATTTTTAGTAGAGATGGGGATTCACCGTGTTAGCCAGGATGGTACTGAGCCAGTTTTGAACCTAAATTAAACAGTCTGGATCTGCTGGATCTGGAGTCTTTACTACTAACCAAAATACCTACGTGCCTTCAAATCCTAAGTTGCTGAGGGTCTTACCTTGTTTCATATCTCACTAGGAAGGGAGCTAATGTTTATCCATTACATCTGATGTTTAATGCAAGTTTTCAACATACAACATCTCATTTTCCAAAATATGCTATGATAAATTTAATTTGATTTTTCTTCAATTCCTTTCTGCATTTTGTAGGAACCTTGCTTTTCCCCCTTTAGTTTGTCAGTATGCTGAATTACACTTAGATTTTTCTGTGATTGGCTGGCATTCCTGGAATGGCCATTATATATTACTATATTGTTTTCTTTCTTTCTTTTTTTTTTTTTTTGAGCTGGAGTTTCACTCTTGTTGCCCAAGCCGAAGTGCAATGGCACGATCTCGACTCACTGCAACCTCCACCTTCTTGGTTCAAGCGAATCTCCAGCCTCAGCCTCCTGAGTTGCTGGGATTACAGGCATGCGCCACCACACCTGGCTAATTTTGTATTTTTAGTAGGGATGGGGTTTCTCCATGTTGGTCAGGCTGGTCTCGAACTCCAGACCTGAGGTGATCCACCTGCCTCAGCCTCTCAAAGTGCTGGGATTGCAGGCATGAGCCACGGAGCCTGGCCTGTCTATCACTTTCTGATGCAGTGTTGCATTTAGTTAGCTGGTAATTTATTAAGTACTTTTTTCTGGCTGACCGTGGTGGCTCATGCCTGTTTGCCAATCATTTGCTGCCAGAACATGGGCAGATTTTTCTCTGGCCAAGTCTCAGGTTTATCAGGTTAGAAATGGGGAAAATAGCAACGTGCCTTAGATTCTCCATGAGGAAGAGCTGAGGTCCGGGATGATCGGTACCAGCCATCTGTTGTGCCTCGTGGATGCTCAGTGAACACAGATTCTCACAACCATTATTGGTGCTGAGCTCACCCTCAGCCTCAGGTTTACAAAGTGGGGCGTGGGAAGTAGAAGCCTCACTGGGCTCAGGTGATCCTCCCACCTCAACTTCTTGGGCAGCTTGGCCTACAGGTGCACACTGCCTCCCCCTGGCTAATATCTTGTATTTGTATTAGAGACAGGGTTTCATCACATTGCCCATACTCCTCACAAATTCCTGAGCTCTAGCACTCTGCCTTTCTTGGCTTCCCAAAGGGCTGGGATTGGAGGCCTGAGCTTGCTTGCTTTCCCTTCCCAAGTGTGGCCCCGATCTTCTCTCTGGCCTCTGCTCCAGCTCACATTCTCAGATTCCATCTTTGCAAGCTGGTTTTCTGAGAGGAGCCCATCATTTTTGTGGGTAAACACCCTTTACCTTCTAGTAGGGCCAAGACTATACCTGCCCCCTGTGTTCTCAAAGCCAATGTTATGGTTAAGAGTCTGACCTATCTCTTTTGATGATTCTCCTTTGAATTTCTGAACTCAATCTAGGGTGTGTGAGATGGCTGATGCCTGTAATCCTAGCACTTTGGGAGGCTGAGGTGGGGAGATCACTTGAGGTCAAGAGTTCGAGACCAGCCGGGCCAACATGGTGAAACCCCATCTCAACTAAAAATACAAAAATTAGTGGGGCATGTTGGAGCGCACCCATAATTCCCAGCTACTCGGGAGGCAAGGTGAGAAAATCGCTTGAACCCAGAAAGTTGAGGTTGCAGTGAGCTGAAATCATGCCACTGCACTCCAGCCTGGGTGACAGATGGTGGCCCAGTCTGAAAATCAAAGAATCAATAAATAAACTCAATCTTGACAAAGGACTTTCAGTCCTGACATCTAGATGCCCACAAGATAACCACCATGTTTTACATTGTCTTGTTTCCTTTGCAGGTTCCCATTAGAAAACCTAGTCTCATTCCACTCAGTCCGCACCTCACTTGGTCATTTTGTCCTGATTTCCTTCAGTGAAGCCTTGACTTAGTCTTGAGATAGATCACACCCTCAGTGGTTCCTTTCTTCTACCTGAATGTGCATATGATCTGCTATGTTAGATAGCATAAAACACAGGTAACCATTCGATATACACAGCTTTTTATTCTGTTTTCTTGGGAATGACATCACTATCTTCTTCAGGCTGTTGTAGCTCTGAAACATTTTGACAATTTTGATGTGGCCAAACATCCTCCAATAAGGACACCTTAAGGTTTTTTTTTTTTTTTTGTCTGATATCAGGAACAGATTAATCCCTTCCCTGTATCACTATGAAAGTCATCTATTAGCCAAACTTCATCAGTATTTGGGGAATAAATGAATGAATGAGTTTTGGACTTTCACCCTATTATTTATTCTTTTACTTCCATAAATGTGTATCTAATTCGATCAATTAGTCAGAAGAAAGCTGAAAACTCAATCAGGATTAACTGGGTGTGACTGCAAGATCTAATCAGGTATCACTTTCTGATTGGAAGCTGGTGATTGAGAAGGGAAGGGTGGGGTTAGAAAGGTCTATAAAAGCTCCTGAGGGTACCCAGAAGAGACCCACAGCACTCACACCTGAAGCTACTGGTTGGTTCCCTGAGAGGTCCCAGAACTCTGCAAAGTGAGTCCAGCGCTGGTAAGTCACCACCTTCTTAGGGTCATGCCCATCTGATCAGCAGCCAGCCAGTCAGGGACGGTGACACACATCCCAAAGTGGCACACAATATTTTTCTGTCTGTTTTGTGAGATGAACAGATTTAGGCTTTCATTTTTCCTCTAAATGTAGTTTTGTCTTCATCCATCAGATTGTGATTTGTGCTTGGTTTTTGTCATTTTAAAATTCTTATGGAAGCAGGTTTTTTAAAAATATATTAAAACTTTACAGTGACATGAATTTTTATTTCTTGACATTTGAAGTTATTTGTTTTTGTGCCTTTCAATTACAGTTCATAGACTTGGTGTTATTGTGATCCTCCAAGTATGCTTTCATTTTCATAAAATCCTTAAAGGTATCCCACACACCAATCTCAAGAGTGCAGTTTTGCTCAGATTGTGGGATTTATTTTTGACCCTAGGATCGATCCATCAAAAAGTGGGTAATTGTGAGTATGTGGAAGTGATGTCTATAGGAACCTTCATCTTAGAGTTACAGTGCTCTAGAATAGCATGGTAGCACTTTTACAGTTTCTGGTTGATTTTTTTTTTGAGATGGAGTTTCCCTATTGTTGCCCAGGCTGGAGTGCCATGGTGTGGTTTGGCTCACTGAAATTTCTGCCTCCTAGTTACATGTGATTCTCCTGCTTCAGCCTCCTGAGTAGCTTGGATTACAGGCACTCACCACCATGCCCAGCTAATTTTTGTATTTTTAGTAGACACAGGGTTTTGCCATGTTGGCCATGCTGGCCTCAAACTCCTGACCTCAGGAGATCTGCCCCCCTCAGACTCCCAAAGTGCTGGGATTACAGGAGTAAGCCAGCATGCCCAGCTACAGTTAGCATTTCTATACATACCTTCCAAATGCTGTGGAATACCATCACACCACTTTTACAGTTCCAGTGAATTATTTTGTTTTTTTCTGCGATGTACTCTGAGTGCGTCACCCAGACTGGAGTGCAGGGCCCTGAGCTGGGCTCCCTGGAAACTCTGCCTCTGGGCTTCAAGTGATTCTCCTTCCTCTGCCTCCAGAGTAGCTAGGATTACAGTCATGCATGACCACACCTGGCTAATATTTAAATTAATTAATTTATCAATTTGTTTATTTTTGAGTCAGAGTCCAACGCTGTCACCCAGGCTGGAGTGCAGTGGTGTGATGTCGGCTCACTGAAACCTCTGCCTTCTGGAGTCAAATGATTCTTAACTTTTGTATATTTAGTAGAGACATGGTTTCATTATGTAGGCCCAGGCTGTTCTCGAACTCCTGACCTCAAGTGATCTGCCTGCCTTGGTGTCCAGCAGTGTTGGGATTACAGACATGAGCCACAGCACCTGGTCCATTTCTGGTAGAAAATTTTCAAAATAAAAAATAATGGCATCGATTTTAGGGAGTCCCTTTAGTGTTCCCCCAGCATGTTCATGGTGTGAACTGAGAATGGAGGCTGTCTGGGCCCACGGGACACTCTCATTCTCAATGCTTTAGGGTGGTAAGTGACAAGAAATTTTTCCTCAAAGAGGTAGAGCTTGGCTTTCAGGATCCTCAGTGGCACTGTCCAGTGGTTCTGGGATTCAGTGGAGCGAAGGATGAAAATTAATGGGTCAATGGTCTCTTTGACCCCTCCCTCCTTGGTGTTTGGAAGATATTCTTCCTGGTACCAGCAGAAGCAGAAGTATAGATTTGAGGCCAACAAGCACAGTGGAATTGGGGTAAAGTGGTAATTTTTCTACCTCTACCAGAGCAATGATATTGGTCCTAGGAGAAGATGAGGTGATTGTGTTTGCCCTGAGAGTGATACATTCTCCCTGGATTTGTCTTCTAGAGATTTTTCTTGCAGATCCATCAGGATGAGCATCCAGGCCCCACCGAGACTACTGGAGCTGGCGGGGCAGAGCCTGCTGAGAGACCAGGCCTTGTCCATCTCTGCCATGGAGGAGCTGCCCAGGGTGCTCTATCTCCCACTCTTCAGGGAGGCCTTCAGCAGGAGACACTTCCAGACTCTGACGGTGATGGTGCAGGCCTGGCCTTTCACCTGCCTCCCTCTGGTATCGCTGATGAAGACGCTTCATCTGGAGCCATTGAAAGCATTGCTGGAAGGGCTTCATATGCTGCTTACACAGAAGGATCGCCCCAGGTGAGGTGACCCAGGAGGGCTAGTAGATAGGGCTCAGGTGTCCAGGGAAAGAACAGCAGGGTCAGGCAGAGAAGTAACCCAAGTGCGGCCCAGAGTCTTCTGATGGTGTTGGCGAGGAAGCTCAGGGAGGCTTTGGCCATTGTCCAGATCCTCAGAGAAAGGACTGCTCACCATACAGGGTCCACTGTGGGAACAGAAGCCGGCCTTTACTCAGTGGAAGGTAAAGGGAATAGAAGTGGGGACCACTCAGAATCCAAAGGGAAAAGGGATTGAGAAAAGACAAAGAGAACAGGGAGCACTGAGGACAGGAGCAGCTGATTTATGGGATGAGAATGAAAGCAAAGGTCAGGGATGAGTCCCTCTAAATTCTGAGCCTCTCCCTTACTTTACCCACAGGAGGTGGAAACTTCAAGTGCTGGATTTGCGGGATGTTGATGAGAATTTCTGGGCCAGATGGCCTGGAGCCTGGGCCCTGTCCTGCTTCCCAGAGGCCATGAGTAAGAGGCAGACAGCAGAGGACTGTCCAAGGACGGGAGAGCACCAGCCCTTAAAGGTGTTCATAGACATCTGCCTCAAGGAAATACCCCAGGATGAATGCCTGAGATACCTCTTCCAGTGGGTTTACCAAAGGAGAGGTTTAGTACACCTGTGCTGTAGTAAGCTGGTCAATTATCTAACGCCAATTAAATATCTCAGAAAGTCATTGAAAATAATATACATTAATAGTATTGGGGAGCTGGAAATTCACAACACGTGCTGGCCACATCTGATAAGAAAGCTTTATTGTTACCTGAAGGAGATGAAGACTCTTTGCAAACTCGTTTTCTCCAGGTGCCATCATTACACGTCAGATAATGAACTCGAGGGATGGTTAGTCACCAGATTCACCTCTGTGTTCCTCAGGCTGGAACACCTCCAGTTGCTTAAAATAAAATTGATCACCTTCTTCAGTGGGCACCTGGAACAGCTGATCAGGTGAGAAAGGATTGTGCACTTTGTATGCAGACCACAGCACAGACTTGTTCTGTTACAGCAAACATTAGAAGGCGTGTACTGTGTGCCAGCCAGTGGCAACGTCACAGTGAAGGGAACACCAGAATGTCAACACATTGTCCCATTCAGTGTTCCATGTCCTGGAGTGGCTATCACAGGATCGCTCCAATAAGGGCAGAGGGGTCACCTGGGGTAGAAGCTAGAGAGGGACATCATGTACAAGCTAGTCAGTGGGGGTTTCAGCTCTATTGGGGGTGCACGTGTGAATTTCCTGTTACAAAGTGTGTTTCAAGTTGATATGATGTCAAAGAGATAATAGAGGAGGGTATGAAAGGAGGGAAAGCGCATCAAACCTGTCCATTTCACAATAGAACGTCTGTCCTCACCGGCTTAGTGATCACGAATGATCCTGTCTTTAATTCCCTGTCTGCAAAACGTTGTTTTGAACTCCAGGAAAGGTAATTGACATGGGAAATGCGTGCTTCCGGGATGGAGGTGAGGGAGTAGGCGTGAGAGTGGTAAAAAGTGACAGTTGGTTTGCAGATGCAGGCATGTCAGGGAGCCCCTGCCGACATGTAGCCCTAGCTGATGTCCCTAGACCTTGCTGAGTTGAGTTCTTTGTTCACATCTCCCACGGGGTACCTGTAGCCCAGAGATGAAGTTTTCTGCTAAAAGATGAAAAACAAAAAGGCTTTAGAGATTTTATGGCCTTGACCCAATCACACAAGCAATGGTGAAAGGGCTGAGGCTAAAATGGGACAGCCCCTGAACGATCAGGGTCCTCATCATGCAGCAACTTCCATGAGGACCATCATCAGATGGTGGGAACAAACTTGTGTTTGGTTGAAGCAGGTATTTTCCTTGAGGTTATTCCCCACTACCTTCATCTAACTGGTACCATTGCCCAGAACTAACTTCTTGATCTCCACAGGTGCCTCCAGAACCCCTTGGAGAACTTGGAATTAACTTGTGGCAACCTATTAGAAGAGGACTTGAAGTGTCTCTCCCAGTTCCCAAGCCTCGGTTACCTAAAGCATCTGAATCTCAGCTACGTGCTGCTGTTCCGCATCAGTCTTGAACCCCTAGGAGCTCTGCTAGAGAAAATTGCTGCCTCTCTCGAGACCCTCGTGTTAGAGGGCTGTCAGATCCACTACTCCCAACTCAGTGCCATCCTGCCTGGCCTGAGCTGCTGCTCCCAGCTCACCACCTTCTACTTTGGCAGCAATTGCATGTCTATTGACGCCCTGAAGGACCTGCTGCGCCACACCAGTGGGCTGAGCAAGTTAAGCCTGGAGACGTATCCTGCCCCTGAGGAGAGTTTGAATTCCTTGGTTCGTGTCAATTGGGAGATCTTCACCCCACTTCGGGCTGAGCTGATGTGTACACTGAGGGAATTCAGGCAGCCCAAGAGGATCTTCATTGGCCCCACCCCCTGCCCTTCCTGTGGCTCATCACCGTCTGAGGAACTGGAGCTCCATCTTTGCTGCTAGGGAAGGCGTGCCCAGTGGGGTAGAGAAATCCAAAGTTCTCTTCCAGGCACTTGGACACTAAAATCTACTATGTAGGTGCAAACTATTTTTCTCTTTTCTTATTTATTTCATTTTTTAATAATTCCAAAATTTTTATTAAAGACAATTTGAGACAGGGTTTCTCTGTGTTGCTCTGGGATCCTCCTGCCTCAGCTTCCTAAAGTGCTGGGATTACTGGCATGAGTGACTGTGTCCAGGCCACATGCAACTTAAAGGAAGCACAGGCAAGTGCTCAGTGTGAGAGAGAAAACATAACAGCAGGGGGCAAGGCTGGAGGAAAATGTTGAGGTGACATCAATGAGAACTTCAGGGACCCGTGTCCTACAGAGTCGGAAAGAGAAGCTAAAGTTCTACAGTGATGAGAATGTTATCCCTGCAAGGATGGTTACCAAGGAATATCAGAAATAAAGAGCACCTGAATGAAAACTTTTAACGTGTTGTAGCAATTTATCCACCAGAAATATCTAGTTATTGAGTTACTGATGGAAAAATAATGAAATACTACTTTGTCTGTGATTGAGTTTCAGCTGTAGAACATCAAAGCAACCAAATAAAATTTGATCATTTTAAGTATTTCCCACCCATTCTTGTTCTTTGTTTTGTTTTGGAGACAAAATCTCAGTTTGTCATTTAGGCTGGAGTGCAGTGGTGCAATCTGGGCTCATTGCAATCCTTTCCTTCAGGGCTCAAGTGATTCTTGTGCCTCAACCACTCAATTAGCTGGGACGGCAGGCACGTTTCACCAAGACTGGCTGATTTTTGTATTTTTAATGGAGATGAGGTTTTTCCATGTTGATCAGCCTGGTCTCAAGATCCTGGCTTTGAGTGATCCACTGACCTTGGCCTCCCAAAGCGCTGGGAAAACAGGCATACAGATGATTTCCACCCATTCTTTACTTCTCTTCAGTCATCAGTTTTTTTCTTACTTTTTTGCCCAAGGGGAGCAGCTCGGTCAGGCGCGAAGGGACGGGCAGAGAGGGGCCCCAAGGAGAAGATAGGAATGGGGTGGTGCCACGTTCGCACAAGATGTGCGGATGCCAGGCCCAGAAGGCATAGCTGGGGCCATCCATCAGGGGGCCAGGGTGAGAAGCAGAAATGGCACCTGTTTCAAGGACCTGGCCAGCTATCTGGCCACTGTGCCCATCCTGCTAACAGTGTCAAGCTCCCAGGTCTTGAAGGGAGGGTCTATGCGGATCCACCCCATGCTGTGTTTCCGAGATCCGCCCCCCATAGGAGTGACCAGCCCGATTGCTGGGCCTGGGAACTATGAACCACTCCTGGAGGCACCCCCCTTGACAGGGTCATGAGCCAGGCCTGTGCTCCATTTCCCTGAGGCAGCCAACTGTGCCACCCACACCCTCTCATTGCAAAATGGAACCTTGTCCCAGGTCTGGAGTCTCCACCACAGCCTCTACTTCACTGCTCACTGCCTGCCGTTAGCCTGCAAGCTCCTGGATGATAGTGCAGTTGGGGCTGGTTAAACCACACCCAGGAGCATTGGGTTTGTTTGTGTGGGGTTGGCCAGAGCTGCTGTGTACCTGCTTCTCAACTGTCACTTCTGCAGGGAAACACAGAGAGAGGGCACAGCCAAGGCTGCGTACACTTCAGAGCTGATGGGAGCCTGGGACAAGAGGGAGTCCTGGTCCTCCTGAGTTGGCAGGGCAGTAGCTCCAAAGACGCAACTGAAGTTGTCCAGGTCACAGTTACCAAATGAGGTCCCCCAGTACTCTCGAGGGTCCAGGAGATCCCCCCTTCTCCTGCAGCTTGGGGGTGTCCGCTCTCACTGCCTCATCTCTCATGGCACCTGCTCTAATTTTGGAGTGTGGTTGTGGTCAAGCCCAGATGCTGTCACAGCCCAGGTGGGTCTGTGCACACTCGGGTCAGTGCTGATGCACCATCCCACTGCTGTCTTGAACCCTCTGGACTTTGGGCCTTGATGAGTGTAGGAGGGAGGCTGAGGGGTGTTGCGGACTGATCAGCACTGGTCTTTGGATGCTCCTTGGTACAAGTGACCTGGGCTCCATGGTTGGTGGTGGGAAGCAGACAGAATCCTGGACAGGAAGGTGAGGGTCACTGGTGAAGCTCCACCTTCTGATCAAGGAGGGTCTGAAGCCCGTGGGCTGGGCCACCAGTCCTATGGACCAGAGTGGGAACATGTGTTGCCTTTTCTGTGCCTGCTCATGGCCACCTATGACCCAATGAGTGCATACTTTCTCCTGTCTGATGTCAAAAAAACCCCAGACTCAGGGAGAACATTAGGAAGACCAGTGGCAGAGAGGAACTACCCACTGTTGGGATGATTTTCCTGTAGAGACAAGCAACCCCCTCCGGGTCCTTTTCTCTGCTGAGAGCTGTAGAGATGATGAGATGACTTTCCTGCAGAGAGCAGCAACCCACTCCAGGGCCTTCTCTCTACTGAGAGCAGTGGTGATGATGGAATAACCTGCCAGGAGGGAGGGGTCACCCACCCCAGGGCCTCCTCTCTGCTCAGAGCTAAACACTCATCAGGACGCCCTGGCTGCAGAAAGAAGTTACCCACTGTGGGTCTCTAAGCTGTTCTATTGCTCAATAAAGCTCTTCTTTATCTCACTCACCCTCCACTTGTCTGCATATTTCACTCTTCCTGGTCACAGGACAAAAACTTGAGACCCGCCTAATGGTGGGGTAAAAGAGCAATAACACAAATAAAGCTGAAACATGCCCCTTGCTCACCAAATTGTAGGTGAAGAGAAAAAGAGAAGAGCAACTACTCTTCCAGGAGCCCAGATGTGGGAGCTTCCTGAGCCAGGGCTGTGACTCCCTTTTGGGGGTTCTGCAGTTCCTGGCATTTCCAAGCTTTCAGTGTTGGTGTCACTGTGTATTCCAGTGACAACCATGGAAGCTGTTTGTGCTGTGCCTGATTCATTTGCAGCCTTGCAGAAATCTGGCACACATGCTGGCATCTGGAGCTGCCCATCCCACTGCTGCAGCAGCAGCAGCCGGTGACCGTCCAAAGTGGCCAGACCCCCTGCTCACTCACACACCCCTCACCACTCCAGCCCTGACCCGCCCTTAATAGGCATGTGCTCCAGGCCTGAAACATGAGCCAAGCATAGTCTACCAGGCTGCATGGGCAGAACGAACCCAGTGAACCCCATCAAAACTCTGGCAAAGGTGCCCCCAGCCACAGAGGTTTCTGGCCGGAAGAGTCACATTCCAAGTATTCCAGAAGAGAAAATTACTTAAACACAAAGAAAGACAATAAGAAAAGGATGGAAGAGAGAAGTCTCTAAACAACCAAAAAACAAGGAATGAAATGGGAGCACTAAGCTTTTATCAATAAAAACAATGAATATAATTTATCTGAATTCTGCAAGTGAAAGGCAAAGGGTCTTTGAATGAGTAAAAAAATACGACCCTACTATATGCTGTTTTCCAGAAACTCAATTCACCTATAAGCATACATGTAGATGGAAAGTGATGGGGTAGAATAAGATATTCCATGCAACTGGAAACCAAAAACAGCAAGAGTAGCTGTACTTATATCAGGTAAAATAGATGCCAAATCTCACAATGCACTCAGGTAAAACAGAATACAAATCTGAGCTTGTAAAATAATAGACTACGCTTACACAAACTATGCCTAGAAAGAACATACATCAAAATAATAGAAGCCAAAAATAAATCCACATGCAACATCATATTGAATGAAGAAACGTTGAAAGTATTCCTGCTAGGAACTACAAGCAGACAAAAATGCTCACTTTATCCACTTGCAATCAACATAGGACTGAAAATGTTTGTCAGAGCAATCTGGTAAGCAAAAGGAATAAAGTATAATTAAATTGGAAAGAAGGAAGTGAAACTACCTGTGTTTGCCAATGATGTGATCATATGTGCTTAGAAAACCGGAAAGATTCCACCAAGACTCGTAGATGTGATAAGTGAATTCACTTAAATCTCAGGTACAAAATTAATATGTACAAATCAGTACCACTGTTTGATATCAACAACAAGCAAGCTGAGAATCAATTCAAGAACTCCATCCCTTCACAATAGTTGCAAAACAACAACAAAAACAGTGACAATAACAAAAACAACCTAGGAATACACTTAACCATTAGGTAAAGGATCTCTATGAGATGAACTACAAGACACTGCTGAAAAAAATCATAGACAACAAAAAAGTAGAAAAATATCCCATGCTCATGGATTGACAGACACAATGTTGTGAAAATCACCACACTGCCCAAAGCAATCTAAAACCTGCAAACATCAAACATCAATCTAAAAACGTCAGTCTAAAAATTTCATACACCAAAATACAAACACCATTTTCACAAGATTAAAAAAAGAATCCTAAGATTCATATGGAGATGAAAAAGAGGCTGAAGAGCCAAAGCAATCCGAAGCAAAATGAACAAATATGGAGGCATCACATTACCTGACTTCAATTTATACAGTAAGGCAATAGTAAGCAAAACTGCGTGGTACCAGTATGAAGGTCGAGACATAGACCAATGGAATGGAATAGAGAACCCCGGAATAAAGCCACATACTTACAACCCAGCGGTAGGACTGCTGCTTCTCAGTTTGTGCTGAGTGATGCCCCTTGGGGATATGGGGCCAAAGTTACTGGATTTTTCCCCCAAGAAAACCAGAGAGTGAATTGTGATATCCTGTGTGATTTTTAGACTGACTATTGCCATAGTGCTTAGGTCGTCTCCAGGTGCCCAGAGACTCAATCACCAACCAGTGTCCACATTCTTGTCACCGCTGCAAGAAAGAGTTTAGGAAGTAGGCAGAATGAAGCAAAAGGCAAGAAGTGTCTATTGCAAAGCAAAGGAACACACTCAAGAGAGGGCTTATTCAGGAGAGCGAGTCAGGTACAAGAGAGTTTGGGTTTCTAATTTTATAGGATCTGTAAGGAGAGGTTGAAATAATCATTAGGATTTTAAGAAAAAATGGTGAAGTTTTCTTAGAACTGAGGTGTCATTTATTTATTTATTTATTTATTTATTTATTTATTTATTTATGTTTTGAGATGGAGTTTCGCTCTTGTTGCCCAGGCTGGAGTGCAATGGCGCGATCTTGGCTCACTGCAATCTCCGCCTCCCGTGTTCAAGCAATACTCCTGCCTCAGCCTCTGGAGTAGCTGGGGTTACAGACATGCACCACCACACTCGGCTAATTTTGTATTTTTAGGAGAGACGAGATTTCTCCATGTTGGTCAGGGTGGTCTCAATCTCCCGACACCAGGTTATCCGCCTGCCTCAGTTTCCCAAAATGTTGGGATTACAGGCATGAGCCACTGCACGTGGCTAGGTGTTAACTATTTTTATACTAAATATGGGCATTCTCAGAACCGTCCTGGCGCTGGTGTGTGACTTACTGTCATAATAGGTGTATAATTAGGCCTGGGGTAGGGCAAGGGTCAAACCCAGTGCCATGTCTGACCAATTCAGTGTTAGCCAGCTTAGCCCCTTCCAGCTTGTTTGGATCTTATGGGTCAAGGCTTATTCTTATTCTTGCAGCTAATTTTACAGGCTCTTTTCTTGCTGCTATATGAAATCACTGCTTGATATTTTCATGCTTCTCCTGTGACCAGCCAGCTTTCCTATTTTATGGGTATTTCTTTTCTTCTCCCTTCCCTTCCCTTCCCTTCCCTTCACCTCCTCTCCCCTCCCCTCCCCTCCACTGTCTTGTCTTGTCTTTCTTTTTCTTTCTTTCTTTCTTTCTTTCTTTCTTTCTTTCTTTCTTTCTTTCTTTCTTTCTTTCTTTCTTTCTTTCTTTTTTCTTTCTTTCTTTCTTACTTTCTCTTTCTTTCTTTCCTTCCTTCCTTCCTTCCATCTTTCTTTCTTTCTCTCTTTCTTTCTTCTTTCTTTCTTTCTTTCTTTCTTTCTTTCTTTCTTTCTTTCTTTCTTTCTTACTTTCTCTTTCTTTCTTTCCTTCCTTCCTTCCTTCCTTCCATCTTTCTTTCTTTCTCTCTTTCTTTCTTTCTTTCTTTCTTTCTTTCTTTCTTTCTTTCTTTCTTTCTTTCTTTCTTTCTTTCTTTCTTTCTTTCTTTCTTTCTTTCTTTCCACTTTAAGTTCTGGGATACATGTGCAGAACGTGCAGTTTTGTTACATACGTATACACATGCCATGGTGGTTTGCTGCACCCATCAACCCGTCATCTACATTAGGTATTTCCCCTAATGCTACCCCTCTCCTAGCCCTCCACACCCCGAGAGGCCCTGATGTGTAATGTTCCCCTACCTGTGACCATGAGTTCTCATTGTTCAACTCCCACTTATGTGGTGTTTTGGTTTACTGTTCCTGTGTTAGTTTGCTGAGAATGATGGTTTCTAGCTTCATCCATGTCCCTGCAAAGGAAATGAACTTATTTTTTATGACTGCATAGTATTCCATGATGTATATGTGCCACATTTGCTTTATCCAGTCTATCATTGATGGGCATTTGGGTTGGTTCCAAGTCTTTGCTGTTGTGAATAGTGCTGCAATAAACATACTTGTGCATGTGTCTTTATAGTAGAAGGATTTATAATCCTTTGGATATATACCCAGTAATGGGATTGCTGGATCAAATGGTATTTCTGGTTCTAGATCCTTGAGGAATTGCCACACTGTCTTCCACAATGGTTGAACTAATTTACACTCCCACCAACAGTGTCAAAGCATTCCTATTTCTCCACATCCTTTCCAGCATCTGTTGTTTCCTGACTTTTTAATGATCACCATTCTAACTGGCATGAGATGGTATCTCACTGTGGTTTTGATTTGCATTAGAGAAATGCAAATCAAATGACCAGTGGTGATGAACATTTTTTCATATGTTTGTTGGCTGGATAAATGGTTTTTTTGGAGAGTTGTCTGTTAGTATCCTTCACCCACTTTTTGACAGGGTTGTTTGTTTTTTTCTTGTAAATTTGCTTAAGTTCCTTGTAGATTCTGGATATTAGCCATTTGTCTGATGGATAGATTGCAAAAAATTTTCCCATTCTATAGGTTGCCTGTTGACTCTGATGATAGTTTCTTTTGCTGTGCAAAAGCTCTTTATTTTAATTAGATCCCATTTGTCAATTTTGGCTTTTGTTGCCATTGGTTTTAGTGTTTTAGCCATGAAGTCTTTGCCCATGCCTATGTCCTGAATGGTATCACCTAGGTATTCTTCTAGGATTTTTAATGGCTTTAGGCCTTACATTTAAGTCTTTAATCCATCTTGAGTTAATTTTTGTATAAGGTGAAAGGAAGGGGTTCAGTTTCAGTTTTCTGCATATGGCTAGCCAGTTTTCCCAACACCGTTTATTAAATAGGGAATCCTTTCCCCATTGGCTGTTTTTGTCAGGTTTGTCAAGGATCAGATGGTTGTAGATGTGTGGCATTATTTCTGAGTCCTCTTTTCTGTTCCATTGGTCTACATATCTGTTTTGATAACTGTACCATGTTGTTCTGGTTACTGTAGCCTTGTCGTATAGTTTGAAGTCAGGTAGCGTGATGCCTCCAGCTTTGTTCTTTTTGCTTAGGATTGTGTTGTGTATACAGGTTCTTTTTTGCTTCCATATGAAGTTTTAAGTAGTTTTTTCTAATTCTGTGAAGAAACTCCATTACAGCTTGATGGGGATAGCATTGGATCTATAAATCACTTTGGGCAGTATGGCCATTTTCATGATATTGATTCTTCAGACCCATGAGCATGGAATGTTTTTCCATGTGTTAGTGTCCTCTCTTATTTCCTTAAGCAGTGGTTTGTAGTTCTCCTTGAAGAGGTCCTTCACACCCCTTGTAAGTTGTATTCCTATGTATTTTATTTTCTTTTAGCAATTGTGAATGGGAGTTCACTCATGATTGGCTCTCCGTTTGTCTATTGTTGATGTATAGGAATGATTTTGATTTTTGCACATTGATTTTGTATCCTGAGACTTTGTTGAAGTTGCTTATCAGCTTTAGGAGATTTTGGGCTGAGACGATGGGGTTTTCTAAATATACAATCATATCATCTGCAAACAGAGACAATTTGACTTCCTCTCTTCCTATTTGAATACTCTTTATTTCTTTCTCTTGCCTGATTGCCCTGGCCAGAACTTCCAATACTATGTTGAATAGGAGTGGTGAGAGAGGGCATCCATGCATTGTGCTGGTTTTGAAAGGGAATGCTTCTAGCTTTTGCCCATTCAGTATGATATTGGTTGTGGTTTTGTCATAAATGGCTCTTATTATTTTTACATACGTTCCATCAATACCTAGTTTATCTAGAGTTTTTAGCCTGAAAGGGTGTTGAATTTTATCAAAGGCCTTTTCTGCACATATTGAAATAATCATGTGGTTTTTGTCATTGGTTCTGTTTATGTGATGGATTACGTTTATTGATTTGCGTAAGTGGAACCAGCCTTGCGGATCAGGGATGAAGCCGACTTGATATTGGAGGATAAACTTTTTGATGTGCTGCTGGATTCGGTTTGCCAGTATTTTATTGAGGATTTTTGCATTGATGTTAATCAGGGATATTGGTCTCAAATTCTCTTTTTTTGTTGCGTCTCTGCGAGGCTTTGGTGTCAGGATGATGCTGGCCTCATAAAATGAGTTAGGGAGGATTCCCTCTTTTTCTATTAAGTGGAATAGTTTCAGAAGGAATGGTACCAGCTCCTCCTTGTACCTCTGATAGAATTCGACTGTGAATCCATCTGGTCCTGGACTTTTTTTGGTTGGTAAGCTATTAATTATTGCCTCAATTTCAGAGCCTGTTATTGGTCTATTCAGAGATTCACCTTCTTCCTGGTTTATTCTGGGGAGGGTGTATGTGTTGAGGAATTTATCCATTTCTTCTAGATTTTCTAGTTTATTTGCATAGAGTTGTTTATAGTATTCTCTGATGGTAGTTTGTCTTTCTGTGGGATCCGTGGTGATATGCCCTTTATCATTTTTTATTGCATCTATTTGATTCTTCTATCTTTTCTTCTTTATTAGTCTTGCTAGCAGTCTATCAATTTTGTTGATCTTTTCAAAAAACCAGCTACCGGATTCATTGATTTTTTGAAGGGGTTTTTGTGTCTCTATTTCCTTTGGGTCTGCTCTGATCTTAGCTATTTCTTGCTTTCTGCTGGCTTTTGAATGTGTTTGCTCTTGCTTCTCTAGTTCTTTTAATTGTGATGTTCGGTTGTCAATTTTAGATCTTTCCTGCTTTCTCTTGTGGGCATTTAGTGCTATAAATTTCCCTCTACACACTGCTTTGAATGTGTCCCAGAGATTCTGGTATGTTGTGTCTTTTTTCTCATTGGTTTCAAAGAATGTCTTTATTTCTGTCTTCATTTCGTTATGTACCCAGTAGTCATTCAGGAGCAGGTTGTTCAATTTCCATGTAGTTGAGCGGTTTTGAGTGAGTTTCTTTTATTATTATTATTATGCTTTAAGTTTTAGGGTACATGTGAACAACGTGCAGGTTTGTTACATATGTATACGTGTGCCATGTTGGTGTGCTGCACACATTAACTCGTCATTTAGCCTTAGGTATACCTCCTAATGGTATCCTATGCAGCCATAAAAAATGATGAGTTCATGTCCTTTGTAGGGACATAGATGAAGCTGGGAACCATCATTCTCAGCAAACTATCACAAGCACAAAAAACCAAACACTGCATGTTCTCGCTCATAGGTGGGAATTGAACAATGAGAACACATGGACACAGGAAAGGGAACATCACACACTGAGTGAGTTTCTTAATCCTGAGTTCTAGTTTGATTGCACTGTGGTCTGAGAGACAGTTTGTTATAATTTCTGTTCTCTTACATTTGCTGAGGTGTGCTTTACTTCCAACTATGTGGTCAATTTTTGGAATAAGTGCAGTGTGGTGCTGAGAAGAATGTATATTCTGTTGATTTTGGATTGTGAGTTCTGTAGATGTCTATTAGGTCCGCTTGGCACAGAGCTGAGTTCAATTCCTGTATATCCTTGTTAACTTTCTGTCTCATTGATGTGTCTAATGTTGACAGTGGGGTGTTGAAGTCTCCCATTATTATTGTGTGGGAGTCTAAGTCTCTTTGTAGGTCTCTAAGGACTTGCTTTATGAATCTGGGTGCTCCTGTATTGGGTGCATCTATATTTAGGATAGTTAGCTCTTCTTGTTGAATGGATCCCTTTACCATGATGTAATGGCCTTCTTTGTCTCTTTTGATCTTTGTTGGTTTAAAGTCTGTTTTATCCGAGACTAGGATGGCAACTCCTGCCTTTTTGTGTTTTCCATTTGCTTGGAAGATCTTCCTCCATCCCTTTATTTTGAGCCTATGTGTGTCTCTGCATGTGAGATGGGTTTCCTGAATACAGCACACTGATGGGTCTTGACTCTTTATGAAATTTGCCAGTCTGTGTTTTTTAATTGGAGCATTTAGCCCATTTACATTTAAGGTTAATATTGTTATGTGTGAATTTGATCCTGTCATTATGATGTTAGCTGGTTATTTTGCTCTTTAGTTGATGCAGTTTCTTCCTAGTATCGATGGTCCTTCCAATTTGGCATGTTTTTGAAGTGGCTGGTACCAGTTGTTCCTTTCCATGTTTAGTGCTTCCTTCAGGAGCTCTTTTAGGGCAGGCCTGGTGGTGACAAAATCTCTCAGCATTTGCTTGTCTGTAAAGGAATTTATTTCTCCTTCACTTATGAAGCTTAGTTTGGTTGCATATGAAATTCTGGGTCGAAAATTCTTTTCTTAAGAATGTTGAATATAGGCCCCCACTCTCTTCTAGCTTGTAGAGTTTCTGCCGAGAGCTCCGCTGTCAGTCTGATGGGCTTCCCTTTGTGGGTAACCCGACCTTTCTCTCTGGTTGCCCTTAACATTTTTTCCTTCATTTCAACTTTGGTGAATCTGACAATTATGTGTCTTGGAGTCGCTCTTCTCAAGGAGTATCTTTGTGGCATTCTGTGTATTTCCTGAATTTGAATGTTTGCCTGCCTTGCTAGATTGGGGAAGTTCTGCTGGATAATATCCTGAAGAGTGTTTTCCAGCTTGGTTCCATTCTCCCCATCACTTTCAGGTACACCTGTCAGACATAGACTTGGTCTTTTCACATAGTCCCATATTTCTTGGAGGCTTTGTTCATTTCCTCTTATTCTTTTATCTCTGAACTTCTCTTCTCGCTTCATTTCATTCGTTTGATCTTCCTTCACTGATACCCTTTCTTCCAGTTGATGGAATCAGCTACTGAGGCTTGTACATTTG
Source organism: Homo sapiens (assembly GCF_000001405.40). Classification (NCBI taxonomy): domain Eukaryota; kingdom Metazoa; phylum Chordata; class Mammalia; order Primates; family Hominidae; genus Homo; species Homo sapiens. The sequence continues at coordinate 54,521 of NW_012132914.1, forward strand.
TCACGTGGTTCTTGTGCCATGGTTTTCAGCTCCATCAGGTCCTTCAAGGACTTCTCTGCATTGGTTATTTTAGTTAGCCATTCATCTAATTTTTTTTCAATGTTTTTGACTTCTTTGCCATGGGTTCGAACTTCCTCTTTTAGCTCAGAGTAGTTTGATCATCTGAAGCCTTCATCTCTCAACTCATCAAAGTCCTTCTCCCTCTAGCTTTGTTCCATTGCTGGTGAGGAGCTGCGTTCCTTTGGAGGAGGAGAGGAACTCTGATTTTTAGAGTTTCCCATTTTTCTGCTCTGCTTTTTCCCCATCTTTGTGGTTTTATCTACCTTTGGTCTTTGATGATGCTGATGTACAGACTGGGTTTTGGTGTGGATGTCCTTTCTGTTTGTTAGTTTTCCTTCTAACAGTCAGGACCCTCAGCTGCAGGTCTGTTGGAGTTTGCTGGAGGTCCACTCCAGAAGCTGTTTGCCTGGGTATCAGCAGCAGAGGCTGCAGAACAGTGGATATTGGTGAACAACAAATGTTGCTGCCCGATCATTCCTGTGGAAGTTTTGTCTCAGAGGAGTACCTGGCCATGTGAGGTGTCAGTCTGCCCCTGCTGGTGGGTGCCTCCCAGTTAGGCTACTTAGGGGTCACAGACCCACTTGAGGAGTCAGTCTGTCCATTCTCAGATCTCCAGCTGCGTGCTGGGAGAACCACTACTCTCTTCAAAGCTGTCAGACAGGGACATTTAAGTCTACAGAGGATTCTGCTGCCTTTTGTTTGGCAATGCCCTGCCCCCAGAAATGGAGTCTGCAGAGGCAGGCAGGCCTCCTTGAGCTGCAGTGGGCTCCACCCAGTTCCAGCTTCCTGGCTGCTTTGTTTACCTACTCAAGCCTCAACAATGGCAGGCGCCCCTCCCCCAGCCTTGCTGCCGCCTTGCAGTTTGATCTCAGACTGCTGTGCTAGCAATGAGTGAGGCTCCGTGGGCATAGGACCTTTTGAGCCAGACACGAGATATAATCTCCTGGTGTGCCATTTGCTAAGACTGTTGGAAAAGTGCAGTATTAGGGTGGGAGTGACCGGATTTTACAGGTGCCATCTGTCACCCCTTTCTTTGACTAGGAAAGGGAATTCCCTGACTCCTTGCACTTCCCAGGAGAGGCAATGCCTCACGCTGCTTTGGCTCATGCTCGGTGCACTGCACCCACTGTCTTACACCCACTTTCTGACACTCCCCAGTGAGAAGAACCTGGTACCTCAGTTGGAAATGCAGAAATCACCCGTCTTCTGCACCGCTCAGGCTGGGAGCTGTAGACTGGAGCTGTTCCTATTCGGCCATCTTGGCTCAACCCCCTAGTTAATTTTTGTGTCTTTAATAGAGACAGGGTTTCATCATATTGGCCAGAGTCGTCTTGAACTCCTGACTGAAGTGATCCACCCACCTCAGTCTCTGCAAGTGCTGGGATTACAGATGTGAGCCACTGTGCCTGGTCAATTGCTGGACGTTCATGATACACCTGGAGTATCCACAGTATCACAAGGGCCATTTTTTTCCATAATCCAATTTATTTATATTATTGGTAGTGAGCTAATGTTGATGTCCCCAAGGTAGCAATTTAGTGACTATACCCATGATAAACGTTTCCATGCATCACGTGGTCAACAGCATTTGCTACCAAGTGCCACGTTCCATGCTCAGCAGTGGGAACACAGGATGATGGAGACAAAGTTCCTGACCTTTAGCAGCAATATCGAACAAGTGAGATTGTCAAGAAAGAAGAAATCATTGTAAAACATACCATACCCCTACAATTCCGTAATCATGCTCCTGGATATTTAATGAAGTGAGTAAACCCACACCTGGATGTTTACAGCAACTTACTCATAATCGCCAAAACTTGGAAGCTAGCAAGTTGCCCTTCGGTCAGTGACTGGATAAGCAAACTGATCCATCCAGTCAGTGAACTATTATAAAGCTGTAAAAAGACATGAAAAATTCCTAAATGCACGTTATTGTACAAGTGAAAGAAGGCAATCTGAAAAGACTCATCCTGTTAGACATTCCAGAAAAAGCTTTTGCATTTTTCTAAGGAGACAGTAGAAAGCCCAGTGGATGCAAGGGGTTGGGAGCACAATGGGATGAATGGGAAGAGGACAGAGGAATTTTAGGGAAAGAAAACTACTCTCCATGATGCTCTAATGGTGGATACATGTCATTATCCCTTTGTTAAAATCCATAGAATGTACAAAACCAGCAATGATCCCTCATGTGAACTATGGACATTGGGTGATAATGATGTGTCCCTGTGGCTCATTGGTTGTGATGAATGCTCTGTGCTGGTGTGGGTGCTGATCCTGTGGGGGTGCTGTGTATTGAAGGGGGAAGAAGGTAGATGAGAACTCTGCAGTTTCTGCTTAGTTTTTCTGTGAATCTAAAACTGCTGTAAAGGAAAAAATAGGCTGGGTGTGGTGGCTCACGTCTATAGTCATAGCATTTTGGGAAGCCGAGGCAGGTGGATCACCTGAGATCAGGGGTTCCAGACCAGCCTAGCTAAAATGACAAAACCCTGTCTCTACTAAAAACTGATAATAATAATAATACAAAAATTAATCAGGTGTGGTGTTGCATGCCTGTAATCCCAGCTACTCTGGAGGCTGAGACAGGAGCATTGCTGGAATCCTGGAGGCAGAAGTTGCAGTGAACAGAGATCGTACCTCTGCACTCCAGCACGGATGACAGAAGGAGACTCCATCTCCAAAATAAATAAATAAATAAACTCAAGGCTGGGTGCGGTGGCTCATGCCTATAGGAACTCACTCCCAGCAATTTAGGAGGCCGAGGCAGGTGGATCGCTTGAGCCCAGAATTTCAAGACCAGTCTGGGCAACATGGTGAAGCCTGGTCTTCACTAAGAATACAAAAATAAGTCAGGCATGATGGTGCATGCCTGTTGTTCCAGCTACTAGGGGGACTGAGGCAGGGAGATCACCTGAGCCTAGGAGGTCAAGGCTGCAGTAAGCCGTGATCATGCCACTGCACTCCAATCTGGACAACAGAGTGAGACTTTGTCTCCAAATAAAATAAAATAAAATAAAATAAAATAAACTCAATATTTTTTAAAACTGTAATGTTTCCTTTCAAAGCTAAAATTGTATTATTCTAAATATATTTTAAAGAAGAAATGATTATTGTTCAGTGTCTTTAAAATTAGTTTTTAAAATCTCATTTGTTTTGACATTTCAAACCAAGTTAAGTATTCTTTTTCTCACCCTCCTTGAGACGGAGTCTTCCTCTTTCACCCAGGCTGGAGTGCAGTGGTGCATTCTTGGCTCACTGCAACCTTTGCCTCGCAGGTTCAAGCGATTCTCTTGCCTCAGCCTCCTGACTATCTGGGATTACAGGCACCTGTCACCACGCCAGGCTAATTTTTTGTATTTTTCGTAGAGACGGGGTTTCATCATGTTGGCCAGGCTGGTCTGGAACTCCTGACCTCGTGATCTGCCCACCTCGGCCTCCCAAAGTGCCAGGAATACAGGCATGAACCACCACACCTGGCCATTAACCATTCTTGAAATATCACGTTGCATTCTTTAAAAGTTCTAATCTTTCATATACATAAATTACAACACAAATATTTATACTCTAATAGTATTCACATTATAGTAAATTTTTTTTCATGCTCTGTCGCCCAGGCTGGAGTGAAGTGGTGCCATCTCGTCTCATTGCAACCCTCACCTCCCGGGTTCAAGTGATTGTCCTGCCTCAGCCTCCTGAATACCTGGGATTACAGGCGAATGCCACCACTCCCAGCAAATTTTGTGTATTTTTAGTAGAGATGGGGTTTCACCATGTTGGCCAGGCTGGTCTCAAAATCCTGAGGCTGCCTTGGCCTCCCAAAGTGCTGGGATTAGAGGTGTGAGACACCATGCCCGGCCATAATAATAAATCTTATTTTATCTTTTTTTTTGAGACGGAGTTTTGCTAGGGTTGCCCAGGCTGGAGTGCAATGGCTCAGTCTGAGCTCACCGCAACCTCCACCTCCAGGTTCAAATGATTCTCCCGCCTCAGCCTATCGAGTAGCTGCAATTACAGACGTGCGCCACCACGCCTGGCTAATTTTTTGTATTTTAAGTAGAGAAGGGTTTTCTTCATGTTGCTCAGGCTGGTCTCAAACTCCCAACCTCAGGTGATCCACCTGCCTCAGCCTCCCAAAGTGCTGGAATTACAGGTATGACTCACTGCACCTGGCTCATAATAGTACATTTTTAAAAACACCATAAAATATAATCCTTGCAACACTCAATTATACCATCTGGTCGGATCTATCAGCAGATGGCACCCGAGACATACGGATTGGAAATTTTGATCTTATTATGAATGAATCCAGTCCAGAAATGCCCACCCTGCCCCCTGCTGGCTCCTGGGGCTCTGCTCTTTGGGGCAATCATGATGAAATTGTGGCAGAGAGTAGAAGTTGAGCCCCATTGCATGCCCTGAGTTCTTGTTGCCTCTCTATTATCAGGAAAAGGAGGTGAGATTGAAAGATGAAAAGTGCTGGGACTTCTGCTGAGAAGAGAAAAAAGAACAAGATGTATTGATCTTACTGTATGCCAGACCCCATGCCAAGCCCTAAACATGAACCATCTCATTGGATCCTACCAAGGTCCCATAAGCTGTTGGACATCATCATCCTCATTTTACAGGAAGCTGAGGCTCTAGGCTAACATCCCTGACAGCAACACCAGCCCCTGAGTACACAGCAGGATCCTTCACTTGGGTGCCCATTATGCAGAATTCCTCAGCACAGGGAAGGTCACTCATCACCCACAGGCCCTTGATCGTTATCCACCCTTTGATGCTGTCAGATTCCAGAACACGCTGCACTAGTCTCTTCCTTCATAGGGAGAGAGGGGAGGTGTTATGAGAAAATCTCTCATCAATCTGACCTAGCTCCCCCAAAAGATGTAACTTTTAAAATGTCAGATGGAAATATTTAAAAAGTGTTATATGCCTGTATAGTTTTAGTATTTTACTTAAAGGGAATGTGGCTGTCTTTACTGGCTACAACCAGTTTAATTCAAGAAGGGCTGCTGGTCATCAGGAGAACAAGCAAGGGTTGATGCTGCCCAGAGTCTCCAGCTAATACACAATATGGACATCCCCTTCCAGGGCAGCGGGAAGAGAGTGGCTCCTTGTGCAGTGAAGCTGACATCCACCAACTAAGGCTTCTGGAAGCATGTGGAGACTCACAGGGAGTGGGCAGGGTCTCAGCATCTGGATAGCGGTGAAAGACCCTGAGAAGAAGGTGCTTTCCGTGTGGATTGGCTCACTGTTCTTGCCCAGCAATGTTCCAGGCCTTTGGTGTCCACCTAGTGTGTATTAACCCACTGAACAGCCACAGAAACTAACAAGGAGTTAACAGACATCTAAAGAAGTGAAGAACTGGAGGAGGCCAAGCCAAGCGTGGTGGTCCACGCCTATACTCCCTGCATTTTGGGAGGCCAAGGCAGGAGAATCACAAGCTCAGGAGTTCCAGATCAGCCTGGGGAAGACAGCGAGGCCTTGTCTCTACTAAAAAGAAGTATCCAGGTGTGGTGGCTCACACAGCTGTAGTCATAGCTACTCAGGAGGCTGAGGTGGGTGGATCGCTTGAACCCCGGAAATTGAGGTTGCAGTGAGGTATGATTGTGCCACTGCACTGTAGCCTGAGTGACAGGAGACCTTTAAAAAACAAACAAACAAAAAAGCCTGACACAGTGGCTCACACCTGTAACCCCAGCACTTTGGTAGGCCTACTTGCATGAATCACCCAAAGTCAGGAGTTTGAGACCAGCCTGACCAACATAGTGAGGAAACCCTGTCTCTACTAAACATACACAAATTAGCTGGGCATGGTGGTGCATGCTTGTAATCCCAGCTACTTGGGAGGCTGAGGCAGAAGAATCATTTAAACCCCAGGTGGAGGTTGCAGTCAGCTCAGATGGCACCATTGCACTCTAAACTCCAGCCTGGGCAACAAGAGTGAAACTCTGTCTCCAATAAAAGAATGGGAGGAAACTGATTACAATAACCAAATTTCATTTAAATGCCTTGATTTTCTTGGGCTGCATCTTATTGATTGGACAACTCAGTCAGTGCCTTTTGTTTTTTCCATCAATAACTGAAGATTCCTGAGGCTTAAACTGGAAAACAGGTTACTTAATAATAGAGGGCACCAGACAGATTCTGCTCAGTTTTCCTTTATTTCTGATTGTTTCTTTACAACCATCCATGCAAGAGTAACTCCCTCATGTATTCTCAAGCCTGAATTCCACTCTAGACATTCAGATTCCCATTTTCGACTCTACAGGACACAGGTCCCCAAAGTCCCATCGAATCCATGGCAACATTTCCCCCAAGTCCGGCCCCTGCTTGATCAGCTTTCCTTTCCCACTTTCAGAGCCTATGTGTGAAATGATGGGTTCTGTGCTCCCTTTAGGATGTACCTAAGACCTAGGTTTTAGTTTCCAAGTGTCCAGAAGAAAGCGTTTGACATACCCATCCAAATAGGCAGGCATTCAACAGCAGTATTGATCTGCCTCCAGGTCATAAAATGACCTGTTGCCACAGTCAGGGCAGTAGTCAGTACAGAACAAGATCCTCTTGGGGTGCCTTAAGTCCCTCACTCTGTTCATCAGCTCAGCCCTAATTTGAGCAAATCTGCTCCAGCAGAGAGTACCATCAGCACCATAACTCTCCCGGGGGGCAGGATACAGCTCCACGCATAAGTTTTTGAGTATGATTGTGTGGCTCAGCAGGTTCTCCAGGGTGGCCATGCAGATGGGATTTCCACAGAAGCTGAAGGTGTTGAGCTCAAAGCAGCGGCTCAGGGCAGGCAAGATGGCGTTGACTTGGGAGTCTATGATGCCACAGTCATCTAAATCCAGGTACTCAAGGGTGGCTGCAACTTTTTCTAGGAGAATTTGGAGAGGCACAAGACTGTAATTGGTCAGTCTGATGCCACTCAGGTCCAGGGTCTTTAGTTGACTGATACTCGGGCACTGGGATAGATGCTTCAAGTCTGATTCCAAAAGCACACAGTTAGTTATTGTGAGGAACTTTAACGAGGTCTTCAGACAGCTGGGGAGAGAGAGCAAGAAGTTAATTCTGGGGAATCATAGGGGTGAGTGGAGGGTGGTGGGGAATGGCTTCAAGGTAATGGATGGAGACCTTTTTGCCCAAGTCCAGGGTCATTCTGATGGCCTGATGGTCAACACTTAGGATGATGTGTGATGAAGAGCTTTGCCACCGAGGTCAATTCCACTTTAGACCCGGCCCAGTAACTCACACCTGTAATCCCAGCACTTTGGGAGGCTGAGACTGGTGGATTCCTTGAGATCAGGAGTTTGAGACCAGCCTGCTGAACATGGCAAAACCTCCTCTCTACTAAAAATCCAAAAATTAGCCAGGTGTGGTGGGGGGAGCCTGCAATTCCAGCTACTTGGGAAGCTGAGGCAGAAGAATCGCTTGAACCCAGGAGGTGTAGGTTGCAGTGAGCAGAGATCATGCCACTACACTCCAGCCTGGGTGACAGAGAGAGACTCTGTATTAAAAAAAAAAAAGGAGAAAAAATAATTCCATTTGAGGCTGAGTCACTTCACCATCATTTATAGGAATGGATCAAGTTCACAGAATCCCTAAAGCTCCCTTTCCTCATCTGTCAGGCAGAAAACCACATCCCTGGGCCACAGGAGCCCAGTGGAGATTCAGGCATAAAGGACAAACCCAGACAGGATCCTGCAACATCAGCTACGGTGGGCGGGCTGCAGGCGTCCCTGACATGCCTGTATCATCAGCAAACCATCTATCACTTTCACCATTCTTTGTGCCTGCACCCTGACCCTCTGTTTCAGAATCATGCATTGCCTAGATAATTAATTTACCTGGAGCTCAAAAGAAACTTTTACAACAGGGAATTAGAGATGGGATCATTCATGTTCACCAAACTGTGGGGCACAAAGCTGATTTTCTGACAAGTGCAGGTTTGCTGAACATTCCCCTCTTCAGTGCCCACTTCACTTCCCTACTTCACATCATCTTCTTAAAAATTATCTTGTTGGCTGGGCGTGGTAGCTCTCGCCTATAATCCCAGCACTTTGGGAGTCCATGGTGGGTGGATCACCTGAAGTCAGGAGTTGGAGAATAACCTGGCCAACATGGTGAAACCCTGTCTCTACTTAAAATATAAAAATTAGCCAGGTGTGGTGGCTCACGCCTGTAATCCCAGGCACTCAGGAGGCTGAGGCAGGAGAATCGCATGAACCTGGGAGGCAGAAGTTGCTGCGAGCTGAGATGTCACAACTGCACTGTAGCCTAGACGATCAAAGAGAAACTCCATCTCAGAAAAAAAAAGTTATCTTGTTTGTTTTTACTTTTGTTTATTCATTTCTGACAGGGGTCTTGGTATGTTAGCCAGACTGGTCTTAAACTCCTAGGCTCAAGCTATCCTCTTGCCTCAGACTCCCAAAGTGATAGGATTACAGGCATGAGCCACCGCCCCTGGCGTATTTTTCATCATCTTAACTTAGACACACGTCCTCAGGAAGAATTCAGAAAGGCACCCTCACTAGATCTGAACCCCCCAGTAGCTGACTTCCTAGCATGGCAGCCTCTCCATAGCATCTCCCCTAGCTGATCCCTCTGCCTCTATTGGGAGGGTTGCATGATACCCATTTCAGGACAGGGCCGCCCACAGGACAATGCATGGACATTCTAGTGTCCCCTTCACTGTTTCATCCTCATAGGCTGGCTCACAGTAGATGCCCACTAGTGTTTACTGTAACAGGCTCTGCTGTGGTCTGCAGAGAAAGCTCACCACCCTCCCTCACCTGAGCAGCTGGTCCAGGTGGCCTTCGAGGAAAGAAACAGAGTTCATATAAAGCTTTTGGAGGCAGCGCAGCTTGAGGAACTGAGTGGTGAACTGGGTAACAATCTCCTTCTTCTGCTCTGGGGAAACGTAGCGAGAGACATCCATGTGGGAGAGAATGAGTTTCTGAAGATTCCTCATGTGGCCCAGGTATGGGGTAAACTGTGTCAGGATGGGCAGTACCCACTTGCAATTCACTTCCACCTCCTGGATACAGTCTAGGTTCACCATTTTCAGGATGCTTCTGATATTGCGGAAGGGCATTCCCAAAATTTTCAGCTTCTTACAGCACAGGTGTAGTAAATCTTTCCTCTGCTTGACCCATAGAAGGAGGCAGGTGAGGTATTCATCCAGAGTCCTGTTCTTGAGCCAAAGTTCTACGAACACAGTCAAGGGCTGCCGTCCTTTCATCCTTGGACAGTCCTCCACTGGTTTTTTGTTCCTCTTGGCATTGAGGAAGCACCCATGGGCCATAGCTTCAGACCAAACCATCCAGAAGTTCTCACAGACATCCTGTAAATCCAGCACTTGAAGTTTCCACCTCCTGTGGGAAAATAGAGGTGAGACTGAGAATTTCAGAACTCATTTCTGAACTTAAACTCCACATCCTGGATAGCAGCTCCTCCCCTCCCTGCTTCTTGTCCCTCTCTCTGACTTTTCTTCACTCTGTTTTCCCCTTGGATCCTGCCCACTTCCACATTGTTTTGTTTTTTTTTTGAGACCAAGTCTCCCTGTGTCGCCCAGGCTAGAGTGCAGTGGTGTGATGTCACCTCACTGCAACCTCTGCTTCCCAGATTCAAATGATTCTCCTGCCTCAACCTCACAAGTAGCTGGGATTACAGGAGCCCACCACCATGCCCAGCTAATTTTAGTATTTTTAGTAGAGTTGGGGTTTACCATGTTGGACAGGCTGGCCTCCAACTCTTGACCTCAGCCTCCCAATGTGCTGGGAATACATTGTGAGCCACCGTGCCCGGCCCAGTTCTCACTTTTCATGGTGCCTTTCAGTGCCATTAGAGGAGAGGTTCCTGTTACCTCCATGGACCTTGCGTGGTGAGCAGTGCTTTCCCTGAGGAGCTGGTGAATGGCCAAGTCCTCTCGGCTTCCTCACCACCACCATCCCCCTTGGGCCTCCTCACTTCTCACGACCCAGCTGTTCCTTCAGTTGGACACCTGGGCCCTCCCCACCAGCCCACCTGGGCCACCTCACCTGGGACGAACCCCTAGGTTAAGCAGTGCATCCAGCCCATCGAGCACAGCTTGGAAGGCCTCCAGACAAGGCATCTTTATCAGAGGCCTCAGAGGGAGGCGGCGGAAGGGCCAGGACTGCACCATCAGCTTCAGGGCCTCACAGCGTCTCCTGCTGAAGGCCTCCATGAACAGTGGGGGGAAAAGTTCTGTGGGCAGCTCCTCCAGGGTGGACATGGCCAAAGCTTGGTCCCTTAGCAGGCTCCGCCCTGCAAGCTCCAGGAGTCTGGGTGGAGTCCAGATGCTCATCTTCATGAATCTGCAGGGAAAACTTCCAGAGGACAAACCCAGAGAAAAGGCATCTCTCTCGGGCCAAGCCCATGCAATCTCATCCTCTCCTATGGCCAAACTCACTGCTCTGGCAATGGTGAAAGAGTCCTCAGTTTACTCCAATTCTACTCTGTACTCAGTGGCCATTAAGCCAGCATTCTGCCTCTGCTGCATCAGCATGAGCGTCTCCGAAGCAGTGAGGAAGCAGGGCCACCACGAGCCCTTCCTTTCTATCCAGTGCTCCATCCAGTGACTAGTGAGTGTGGAGGAACCTGAAAGTGAACCCCTCCTACCATTGGGGGAAACTACTAATTACTCAAGGTTCTAAAACAATGGGAATGGGAATGTCACAAGCCTACATGCCCACATTTTCAGTTCCTACAAATAAGCTTGTTGGGAACATTCATGGGGCATCCCTAGAACAGGTTCTATTTGTTTTCTTTTCATTATTTAAGCTTGCTTTCTCTTTCTCTCTCTTTCTTCTTTCCTTCTTTCCCTCTCTCCCTCCCTTCTTTCTTTCTTTCCCCCTCTCTCTCCCTTTTTTCTTTCTTGTCTTCTTTCCCTGCCTCCCTTCTCTCATTCTCTCTCTCTTTCTCTCTCTCCCTCTCTCACTCTTTCTGACAGAGTCTTGCTGTGTCACCCAGCCTGGAGTGTAGTGGTGGGATCTCAGCTCAGTGCAGCCTTGACCTCCCAGCTCAAAGGATTCTTCCTCCTCAGCCTCCCAAGTAGCTCGGACCACAGTTATGCATCACCACACCCAGCTCATCTTTTATTTTTTGACTTTTTGTAAAGACAGTGGATTTCGCTATGTTGTCCAAGCTGGTCTTGAACTCCTAGTCTCAAGCAATCTACCCCTCTTGGCCTCCCAACATACTGGGATTATAGGTGTGAGCCTCCACCCCAGCCTCATTATTGAAAATTTCAGTGAGAAGCTTTGAAAGCTATGTGACACTGTTATGCATCATTCTCAAGATAGATGTTTCCAATGCACACTTGTTACACATGTTCAAACTGAACCACTTTGGCTGGGTGCAGTGACTCACACCTGTAATCTGAGCATTTTGTGAGGCCGAGGCAGGTGGATCATCTGAGATCAGGAATTCAAGACGAGCCTGGCCAACATGGTAAAACCCTGACTCTACTAAGACAGCAAAAATTAGCCAGGTGCAGTGGTCTGCGCCTGTAGTCCAAGCTACTAGGGAGGCTGAGGTAGGAGGATCACTTGAACCCAGGAGGCAGAAGTTGCAGTGAGCTGACATTATACCACTCCACTCCAGCCTGGGAAATAGGCTAGATTGAACAGAGAGACAGAGAGAGCTACATTTGACTAGACTTCTTAATCTCTACCCAGTTAATCCTTATTGGATTTTTGGCTTTCTTAAAGATTAACTGATCGAATTAGATATTGATCCATCAAAATGAAAGATTTAGGGATAGGGTGAAAGTCCAGGACTCATTCACTGATTCCCTTCACAAACATGGAGTTTTACTAATATGTGTCCTTCAAAGTCCTGAGTGTGAGACAGGGAAGGGTTGAATCTCTTCCTGATATTAGACAGAAAGAAAGAAAACTTGAAAGTATCTTTGTTGAGGGATCCTTGGCCACATCAAATTTATCAAAATATTTCAGAGTTAAAACAGTTTTCAAAGACAGAGATGACAGTCCCTAAGAAAACACAATAGAAATCTTCATGTATCCGATGATCACCTGGGTCATATAATTGTTTTTGGTGCTGAGGGAGCTGAGTCTCACTTCGTCGCCCAGGCTGGAGTGCAGTGGCACCATCATGGCTCACTGTTACCTCCGCCTCCAAGATTCAAGCAATTCTCATGCTTCAGCCTTCCACATAGCTGGGACTACAGGCATGCACCCCCCACAGCCATGCCTCCATTTGGGTGGAAGAGGATGTGATTGGTTTAAAATTAAGGTCAAAGATCCTTTTTGATTGATTTTGTTTTTGTTTTTGGACAGAGTGTCTCTCTTTTGCCCAGGCTGGAGTACAGTAGTGGTGTGAGCATGGCTCACTGCAGCCTCAATCTTCTGGGCTCAAGTGATTCTCCCACACCAGCCACCCAAATAGCTGGGACTACAGATGCATGGTGACTCACAGCTGTAATCCCAGCACTTTGGGAGGCCAAGGCAGGTGGATCACTTGAGGTCAGGTGTTCGAGACCAACCTGGCCAGCGTGGTGAAACCCCACCTCTACTAAAAATACAAAAGTTAGCCAGGCATGGTTTCAGATGTCTGTGACACCAGCTTCTGAGGATGGAGACTGAGGCATGAGAATTGCTTGAACCCGGGAAGTAAAGGTTGCAGGGAGTTGAGATCATGCCACTGCACTCCAGTCTGGGCAACACAGTGAGACTCCATCCCCACCCTCAAAAAAAAAACGTTGTGCAGAGGAGGGTTTTTGTCATGTTGTCCAGGTTGGTCTCAAATCCCTGGGCTGAAATGATCCTCCCACTTTGGCCTCCCGAAGTGTTGGGGTTAAAGGCATGAGTCACTGCTCCCTTCAAGAATTTTAAAATGGCATCAACCAAAGCACAATCAACTTTTTTGAAATAAAGACAGAACTGCCTTTAGAGGAAAAAATTCAAAGCTTCCAATTGTTCATATAAAAAAAAAAAAAAAAGGACAGGATATAGCTCTGTGCCATCGTAGGCTGCACTGTCACCATCCCAGACCGACTGACTGTAGGTCAGATGGGAGTGTCCTTACAGAAATTAGTGACTTACCAGATCTGGATGTAGTCTAGAAGGTTCTCAGATCTCAGGAAGAACCAAGCAGGAACTCCAGGCTTGAAGACTTTGGGTCTCTCCTGTGGGTCCTTAGAAGCTTTTACTGACCTTTCTAATCACAACTCCCACCCACGCCCCTCCACGTATGCACTGCTAGCTTCCAATCAAAAAGCAATATCTGATTGCATTTGTGAAGCTCCACCCAGTTAATCCTGATTGGGTTTTTGGCTTTCCCCAGATTAATGGATTGAGTCAGATATCCATTCATATCACATATCTGTATTCAGTTCGTGAAGCAAGAAATTGACAGTGTTAGGGATAGGGTAGAAGTCAAGAATACATTCATTCAAGGGTGGGCGAGGTGGCTCATACCTGTAATTCCAGCACTTTGGAAGGAGAAGGTGAGTAGATCACCTGATGTCAGGGGTTCAAGACCAGTCAGGTCAAAAAGGTGAAACCCCGTCTCTACAAAAATACAAAAATTAGCTGGGCATGATGGCAGGCACCTGAAACCCAGCTACTTGGGAGGCTGAGGCAGGAGAATTGCTTGAACCCAGGAGGCAATGGTTGCAGTGAGCCAGATTTGTGCCACTGCACTCCAGTCTGGGTGACAGAGGGAGATTCTGTCAAAAAATAAAAAAATCATTCATTCATGAACTCCACAAACACTGATGGTATTTTATTAATATGTGAACTTCATAATCTTGAGTGTGAGGCAGGGAAGGATTTGATCTGTTCCCAACATTAGACAGAAAAATAAAATCTGAAAGTAGTGTTGTTAGGAGATCTTTGGCCACATCAAAATATAAAAATGCTTTCTACTTTAAAAAGCTTTATAAAAACAGAGGAGTCATCCCTACGATATCAGAATAAAAATCTCAATGTATTGAATGGTCTTTGGGATTTTATATAACCTAAGGTAGCAGATTACATGCTCGTTCTGGTGGAGGAGAGGTGCTACTGAGGGCGTGAGTGGTCTCAGTGCTTAGGTTAAGGCTTCTTTGGAAGAAATTGAAACCACATCGATAAACTTTATAAATTTAATCAGTGAAGAAGGGAGGGAGAGAAAGAAAAATAAACCAAGCTTGCAACACATTCAGCATTCATCAGGAGGTCTTCTTGCTCTCTGACCTGGTTCCTCATGGTTGCTGGCAGCCTACTGTTCCAAAATCATATAGACCTTAGATTACAGTTCCCCTTAACTTCCCTGCAGACAACGATTCAAGCATTGTAAAACATTAACTTTTTCATCTGAGATATTCTTTCAGGTTCTGCATGTCAGTGAAACTACTGATGCCAGCTGATCTGAAGGGCCATGCAATGCACCAACTCACCAAAGAATGCAGTTTCTACATCCTGTTGACTTCTTCCCTCTTACCGCTACCCCAACTTTCCGGCCCCTTGCTATCCAGGATCCACTGGAAACCTTCAGTACTCCTTGGGGAGATGAATTTGAGGATCTCCTCCTAGCTTCTCATTCAGCCACCTTGTGATCATTAAACTCTCTGCTGCAAACCCTGCTGTCTCAGAATATTGCTAAGCTACTGTGCAGCAGGCATAGGAACCTGATGGTCCTGTAATAAAGTCATGTCAAAATTACAAATGGAAGTGAGGGTGGAGCTGGTCAGGGTTGAGCTGGGTTTTTAATGGGAACCTGGGAGTGAAGCAAGACTTGCTGAACATGTTGGGGGTTATTGAGTGGGTGTAAGAGGAATCTATCTAACATTGCACTGATGCCCTTTTGGTTTTAATCCTTATGACCAAGTATGAGTCTTTCAAAACAATTTGTATAATCCTCCTTATTTTTCCTTTCAAAACCTTCAACTTCCTTTATCTCCCCAAATAATCTCGCATCTATTGCCACTTCTTTGCTTACTTCATAATAAACTTTTTTTTTTACAGAGTCTTCTTTTCTGTTAAGTACACCATATATGTTGTTGCCACACAAGATGAATAACCTGGTTCTATGGACAGAAAGGGTCAAAAGGATCCCATTCCTCAACAGCTGGGGGTGATGTAAAGGTCATGGTTATTCTTTGTCATATCTGCACCTGCATATTGCCAGTGAAAACTTGCAGGTCACATTGGGCAGGCTTCCAAATTCACCACCTGTGGAAGGTCTTTCGCTTGGCTTACATCCTGTCCCTGAGTAAAGAGTCTGATCGTGAGTTCATGAGTGCTTCAAACTCTACAAGTATTGATGAAGGCTTCCACCCACTGACAGTGAGAAGGCACTGATTTGATGCTGATCATGAAGTTCTGCTGGTTGTCTTGCAAGGAATATGTTTTATTCTTTTATCTTGTCATCTAAAGCCAATGATTGTAACCTCTGTTTGTACCTTCCAATGGAAAAAACAAAAACAAAAACTCAACTCTATTTGACCCTTGTCAGGTCAATAAAACAAAAGAAAATTTAAAAAAATAATTGATAGGAGGAGTTCCTTTCCCAGCCCAGGCAATAGAGTGAGACTCCATCTCAAAAGGAAAAAAAAAAAAATGGCCGGGCACGGTGGTGGCTCACACCTCTAATCCCAGCACTTCAGGAGGCCAAGGCAGGTAGATCACGATGCCAAAAATTGAGACCATCCTAGCCAACATGGTGAAACCCTGTCTCTGCTAAAAATACAAAAATTAGCTGGGCATGGTGGCGCCCACCCATTGTCCTAGCTACTCGAGAGACTGAGGCATGAGAGTCACTTGAACTCAGGAGGAGGCGGTTGCAGTCAGCCAAGATTTCACCACTGCACTCCAACTTGGTGACAGAGCGAGACTGTCTCAAAACAAACAAACACAAACGAACAAACAAAGAAAAAAGCTGGAAAAATAAATTCTGAAAGAATTTCCATCTCTATGAATTCATCTTCAGAAGTGATAGCATTTCCTGCTTGGCATTTTTTGCCTACATTTTTGGCATAAGATCTATCAACAAAAAGTATGAACCCAGGTTTGTGTAATGGAATATCTTAAACATCAATAGGAGGAGTCAATAGTTCTGATGCCACACACACACATGTATGGTCTTCTCCATCATCAGAAAATGGCAACAAAGTGGTAGAGTTATGCAGAGTGTAGCATTTGAAATGGAGATTTGAAGGTGACAAGGAAAGGATTTTGTAAGACATTAGTGTACAAGTTGAGCAATGTTGGTTCCTGTCACAATATTTTTATTGATTTATTTATTTTATTCATTTATTTTTTGAGATGGAGTCTCGCTCCGTCACCAGGCTGGAATGCAGTGGCACGATCTCAGCTCACTTCGACCTCTGCCTCCCCGGTTCAAGCAATTTTCCTGCCTTAGCCTCCTAAATAGCCGGGACTACAGGTGCATGCCACTACACCTGGCTAATTTTTTGTATTTTTAGTAAAGACGGGGTTTCACCATGT
Source organism: Homo sapiens (assembly GCF_000001405.40). Taxonomy (NCBI): domain Eukaryota; kingdom Metazoa; phylum Chordata; class Mammalia; order Primates; family Hominidae; genus Homo; species Homo sapiens. The sequence continues at coordinate 71,047 of NW_012132914.1, forward strand.
TAACTAGGATGGTCTCAATCTCCTGACTTCGTGGTCTGTCTGCCTTGGCCTCCCAAAGTGCTGGGATTACAGGCCTCAGCCACCATGCCTGGTCGGTTCACATCAAAATTTAAGAGGTATTCAATTGCATATGAAATTTGTAGGCAAAGTTTATTTCTTTTTTCTTTAAAGCATTAATTAATTTATTTATTTATAATGTATTTATTTATTAATTTTTTTTTGAGATGGAGTTTCACTCTTGTTTTCCAGGCTGGAGTGCAATGGTGTGATCTCGGCTCACTGCAACCTCTGCCTCCCGGTTCAAGTGATTCTCCTGCCTCAGTCTTCCAGTTAGCTGGAATTACAGGCACAGGCCACCACACACAACTAGTTTTTGTATTTTTAGTAGAGACAGAGTTTCACCATGTTGCCCAGGCTGGTCTGGAACTCCTGACCACAGGTGATGTATCCACCTCGGCCTCTGAAAGTGCTGAGATTACAGGCGTGAACCACCGTGCCTGGCCTAAACTCATCACTTTTAATACTTTCTACATCACATGAGGAAGAAGAGCAGAAACACTTGAGTACTTCATGAAGGTCAAGGTTGGTATGAGTTTGGGTTCTAATATGATCAATTTCTGCTTCTAGGGAACCAAGCAGTTCAGGTTAAGGAAGGTCAGGAAACTCTAGGGTTTTCTCTCCCTCCAAAGAAAGCTTTACGCATCAACTTAACAGAGAAAGCAAATCTCATCCCCATGTTGTCACTTAATAAAAAGCCATACTTTCCTAAAAATGGTCCAAATGTCATTTGGACTGCTTCAAACACAGGAATTTTCTGAACTTCATGTGAAACCCCTCCTCAGAAATATTTTCCTTTCTCCAAGGGATTTGCTGATATATTGGCTGTATACTGGATATGGCAGCCCTGGTTTCCACCAATTCTGTACCTAAGTCTGCAATGATCTTAATCTCACCTTCTCCATTTTTATTTAAGGCTATTATAGAAAACAATTTACCAGAGAGTTATTTTAAATTCCATCAATATGGAGACATCAGAAATGTCCTCTAGCTGGATGTGGTGGCTCCTGCCTATAATCCCAGCACTTTGGGAGGCTGAGGTGGGGGAATAACCTGAGGTTGGGAGTTCGAGACCAGCCTAACCAACATGGAGAAACCCTGTCTCTACTAAAAACACAAAATTAGCCAGCTGTGGTGGTGCATGAATGTAATCCCAGCTACTTGGGAGGCTGAGGCAAGAGAATCGCTTGAACTCGGGAGGTGGAGGTTGCAGTGAGCTGAGATCCCACCATTGCACTCCAGCCTGGGCAACAATAGTGAAACTCTACCCTAAAAAAAAAAAAAGGCAGAAAAGTAAAGAAAAACAAAGAAGAAATGTCCTCTATTGTGAACAACCTCTGGGACAAAAGCATTCTGTCCAATAGAGACCTGGTGCATAGGTGGACAATTTTCATTCCAATGGCCTGTTTCAAGGGTGGCAGGCAACTCTAGCAGGGTTTCTGTGTTTACACCAAACTGGATTTGAGTTTTAATAGTAAGGGGATCTCCCCCATAAAAAACCAACAGAAAATAATGGATGCTATGAAGAATATGGAGAAATGAGAACCCTGGTACAACATTGGTAGTTATGTAAATTCGTACAGCTACTAAGGAAAGCAGTATGGAGTTTCCTCCAAAAAATAAAAATAGGATTACCACATAAACCATAAATCCCACTGCTGGATATATATCCAGAAAAAAAAAAAGAAATATATTCAGGAGATATCTACACTACCATGTTGGTCAGGCTGGTCTCGAACTCCTGACCTCAAGTAATCCACCTGCCTCAGCCTCCCAAAATTCTGGGATTACAGGCATGAGCCACTGCACTCAGCTTGCACTCTCCTATTTATTGTAGCACTATCCACAATAGCCAAAATTTGGAATCAACATAAGTGTCCATCAACAGATGAATGGATCAAGAAAATGTGGTAAATATACACAACAGAATATCATTGAGCTGTAAACATGAAGGAAATCCTGTCATCTGCGACAACATGGATGGAACTGGAGGGCGTTATGTTGAGTGAAGTAAGCCAGATACAGAAAGACAAACATGGATGTTTGCACTCATATTTGGGAATTAAAAAACACGAAACTTAAAAATAGTAAAATGACGGTTATCAGAAGCTAGGAAGGGTACTGGGAAATAGAGAATAAGAAGGGGATGGTTAATGGGAACAAAAACACAGACAGGAATAAGATCTAGGGTTCAGTAGCACAATAGGGCAACTCGTGTTGACAATAGTTCATAGTAAATTTCTACATAATTAAAACAATGGAATTGGAATGTTGCTAACACAAAGAAATGATAAATTCTTGAGATGGTGGCTATTCCTGTTACCATGATTTGAACATTACACATTTTATGCTTATATCAGAATTTCAGGCCAGGTGCAGTGACTAATGTCTACAATCTGAGCACTTTGGGAGGCTGAGGTGGATGGTTTGCCTGAAGTCAGGAGTTCAAGACCAGCCTGGTCAACATGGTGAAACCCCCGTTTCTACAAAAAATACAAAAAATAGCCAGGCATGGTGGCGGGTCCCTGTAGTTCCAGCTACTCAGGAGGCTGAGGCAGGAGAATTGCTTGAACCCAGGAGGCAGATTTCTAGAGACTTCTGATGTATAAATGTCTAAAACAGGTTGATCAATCATGGAAGACACCAGAAAGTTTCCATTCAGGTTCCATTTATTTTTGACATTTTTAAATAACCATCCTTGCAGGGGTAAGTCCTGCATCACTCTAGAACTTCAGGTTCCATTTCTAAGTCTAGGACACAGGTCCCTGAAGGCCTCATTGATGCCAAGTCAGCATTTTTACCCAGTCCTGCCCCTGGCTGAGTCACCTTTGTTTTTCCACTCACAGTGAGCACGTGCCTCAAATACGTGGCTGTGTGCTTCCTTTAAGAAGCGGCTGACCGGGCCCTGCTGCTCACACCTGTAAACCTGGCACTGTGGAAGGCCAAGGTGGTCAGATCACTTGAGGTCAGGAGTTTGAGGTCAGCCTTCGCCAACATCGTGAAGCCCTGTCTCTACTAAAAATACAAAAATTAGCCGGGCGTGGGGGCATACACCCACAACACCAGCTACTTGGGAGGCTGAGGCAGGAGAATCACTTGAACCCAGGAGGTGGTGCTTGCAGTGAGCTGAGATTGTGCCACTGCACTTCATCCTGAGGGACACAGTGAGACTCTGTCTCAAAAAATAAAATAAAATAAAATAAAAATAAAATAAAATAAAAAATATAAAAAATAAAATAAAATTTTAAAAAATGCACCCATGTACAATATTTTAGTTCCCAAGTGTCCAGAAGAAAGCTTATCCATCCCACGAACCAGGCCTTCCCTAGGAGCAAAGATGGAAGTCCACTTTCTCAGATGGCCATGAGCCACAGTTAGGGCAAGGGACGGGACCAAAGAAGATCCTCTTGGGCTGCCTGACTTCCCTGAGTGTACGCATCAGCTCAGCCCGAATTGGGGTGAGGATCTCCCAATTGACATGACCCTTGTAGTCAAGACTCTCCAGAGGGGCAGGATACAACTCCAGGCCTAACTTGCTCAGCCCACGTGTGTGACGCAGCAGGTCTTTCAGAGCATTCATGGAGGTCTCATTTCCATGAAAGTTGAAGGTGGTGAGCTGGGAACAGTGGCTCAGGGCAGGCAGGAGGACCCTGAGTTGGGGGTCCTGGATCCGACAGTCCTTTAAGACGAGGGTCTTGAGAGTAGCAGCAACTTTCTCCAGCAGAACTCCAAGGGGCTCAAGATTGGTGGTCCACATTAGGATATGAATCAGACGCAGCTCCTTTAGCTGACTGAGGCTTGGGTACTGAGACAGACACTCCATGTCCCGATCAGTTAGGTAAGCATCACTGAATATAAAGGCCCCCAAGGGGTTCTTGAGGTACCTGGGGAGAGCAAGAAGTTAGTTATGGGCAATGGTGCCAGTTAGAGGAGGGGGGTGGGAAATCATCTCAATGGTAAACTTGAAGTGGGCATTGAGTAATTCTGCACCTTACTACCACACAGGTGTTATAGTAACTGCAATGGGGAAGCCTGTTTTACCCAAACACAAGTTTGTTCCCATCATCAGATGATGGTCTGCATGCAAGGTGCTGCCTGATGAAGACTCAGATCATTCAGGGGCCACTCCATTTTAGGCTCAGTCCTTTCACCCTTGCCTGTGTGATTGGTACCACTCTCACACCTACTCCCTCACCCTCCATCCCAGAAGCATGCACTTCTGATATCAATTATCTTTCCTGGAGTTCAAAACAACGTTTTACAGACAGGGAATTAGAGCAGTTTGCTAAGCTGCTGAAGACAGAGCTGCTACTGTGGAATGCACAGGTTTGATGTACTTTCTCTTTTTTTTTTTTTGAGACAGTCTCACATTGTAACCTAGGCTGGAGTGTAGTGGCACCGACTCAGCTCACTGCAGCCTCCACTTCCCTTGCCTCAGTCTCCCAAGCAGCTGGGATTACAGGTGCCTGTCTGCATGCCCGGTGACATTTTTTTTTGTATTTTTAGTAGAGACGGGGATTCACTGTGTTGGCCAGACTGGTCTCAAATTCCTGACCTCATGATCTCCCTGCCTTGGCCTCCCGAAGTGCTGGGATTACAGGCATGAGACACCACAACCGGCCACACCTTCCCTTCTTTCATACCATCCTCTGTATGAAGAATGTGTTTTCATCATATTAACTTTATACACTGTTCCTCACAAGGAGTTCACAAATGCACCCTCACTAGATCTGAACCCTCAACTAACCGGCTCCCTACACACCTCTCTCTGTGGCATCTACCCCAGGCCATCCCTCTGCCCTTATTTGAGTGGTCTTGTGATACCCATTTCAGGATATAGAGCACTGAAGAGCATAATGAGTTGACATTCTAGCGTCCCATTCCCTATGACATCACCGGTGGCTGGCACACAGTAGATGCCCACTAACATTTACTGTGAAAAAGAACATAAGTCTGTGGTATGGTCTGCAGAGAAAGCTCACCATCATTTCTTACCTGAGCAGGTGCTCCAGGTGCTCTTTGATATTACTGATCTTTTTTATATAAAGCATCTGGGGGTAGTACAGGCAGAGGAATGGAGAGTCCAAGTCAGGAATGCACGGCCACTGGACGCTCACGTACAACTCACGCTCATAACCGAAGGCTAAAAAGAGTTCACGAAGATTGCTCATCTGGCTCAGGTAAGGGGCAAACTTTCCCGTTTTATTGAGAGAGCACTTTTTCCAGACTTCCAACTCCTGGATACTGTCTGGGTATATCCTTTCCAATAGATTTCTGAAACTTGAAGTGGGCATTGAGTAATTCTGCACCTTACTACAACACAGGTGCACTAGGCCTCTTCTGTAGTGGATCCACCCAAAAAGGTAGCTCAGGCATTCATCCAGTGTACTTTCCTTTAGGCAGAGGTCTATGAACACCTTCAAGGGCTGGCGCTCTCCCATCCTTGGACAGTCCTCCACTGTCTGCCTCTTACTCATGGCCTCTGGGGAGCAGGAGAGGACCCTGGCTCCAGACCATATGGTCCAGAAATTCTCATCAACATCCCTCAAATCCAGCACTTGAAGTTTCCACCTCCTATGAGTAACATAGGGGAAAAGCTCAGAATGTAGGCAAGGACCCACCCCTGACCTGAGCTTTCACTCCACATCCAGGACATCAGTCAGCTGCTCCTGTCCTCAGTGCTCCTCCTTCTGTCTCTTCTCCATCCTGCTCCCTCTTGGATTCTGCCTGGTACCCACTTCTAGTACCTTTACTTTCTGCTGGGAGGAAGCAAGCTCCTGTTTCCTCAGTGGACCCTGTATGGTGAGCAGACCTTTTCCAGAGGATCTGGGCAATGGCCAAGGCCTCTCATGGGCACCGTCAGAAGCCTCTGAGCCACCCTAGCTCCCCAACCCCACTACTCCTCCTGAGCCAGCTGTCCCTTCCCTGGATGCCTGGACCCTTCCCCGAAAGCCACCTGAGTCACCTCACCTGGGGCGAACCTTCTGGGCCACCAGTGTATCAAGTCCCCTCAGGACAGCTTGCAAGGTCTCCAGATGAGGTGTCTTCATCAGGGATCCCAGAGGGAGGCGGAGGAAGGGCCAGGCCTGCACCATCAGCTTCAGGGCCTCAAAACGTCTCATGCTGAAGGCCTCCATGAACATCAGAGGGAAGACCTCCCTGGGCAGCTCATCCAGGGTGAAGATGGTCAAGAACTGGTTCCTCAGCAGGCTCTGCCCTGCCAGCTCCAGCAGTCTGGATGGGGCCTGGAGGCTCATTCTGACAAATCTCCGAGGGAAAACTCTAGAGGACAATCAAGTGAAAAGGCAAGTTTCTCGGGCCATTCCCCAGCAAGCCCCACTTCTCCTAGGGCCAAAGTCATTTCTCTAGCACGTGTGAAAGAGCCCTCAGTTTACTCCAATTCCGTTCTGCAATAAGTGGCTACAGAGGCATGGTTCTGCCCTTCTGGTACCAAGAAGAGTGTGTCCCAACCTCTAAAGAGCAGGCAAGATCCTTCCTAGTCCATGAATTATTAGCCACTGTTGCAATAAACTCATAGCACTGGGAAATGTTACCGAGGATCTCTGAAGCTCGGATCTCATGCCCAGCTAATCTTTTATTTTTTGACTTTTTGTAAAGACAGTGGGTTTCACTATGTTGTCCAGGCTGGTCTTGAACTCCTAGACTCAAACATTCCACCCGCCTTGGCCTCCCAAAGTACTGGGATTACAGGCGTAATCCTCTTCCGGGACTCATTATTGAAAATTTCACCAAGAAGCTTTGAAAGCTGTGTGACAGTGTTATGCATCATTCGCAAGACACAGGTGTTTCCAATACACACCTCTTACGCATGTTCAAAATGAACCACTTTGGCTGTGCGCAGTGACTCACACCTGTAATCCCAGCACTTTGGGAGGCAGAGGCATTGGATTATCTGAGGTCAGGAGTTTGAGACCATCCTGGCCAACATGGTAAAACACTACCTCTACTAAAATTACAAAAATTAGCCAGGTGCAGTGGTCTGCGCCTATAGTCCAAGCTACTAGGGAGGCTGAAGCAGGAGGATCGCTTGAACCCAGGAGGCATAGGTTGCAGTTAGCTGAGATTATACCACTACAATCCAGCCTGGGAAATTGGCTAGATTCAAAAAAGAGAGAGAGAGAGAGAGAACTACATTGGATTAGACTTCTTAAGCTCCATCCAGTTAATCATGATTGGATTTTTGTCTTTCTTCCAGATTAACTATCAAATTAGATATTCATCCATGAAAGTGAAATATTTAGGGATATGGTGAAAGTCCAGGACTCATTCACTGATTTACTCCACAAACATGGAATTTTAGTAATATGTGACCTTTGTAGTTCTGAGTGTGAGATAGGGAAGAGTTGAATCTCTTCCTGACATTAGACAGAAAGAAAAAAACTCGAAAGTATCTTTGTTGAGAGATCCTTGGCCACATCAAATTTATCAAAATATTTCAGAGTTAAAACAGTTTTACAAAGATAGACATGACAGTCCCTAAGAAAACACAGTAGAAATCTTCATGAATCCAATGATCACCTGGGTGGTATAATTTAATTTTTTTCGTGTCGGGGTAGCTGAGTCTCACTTCATCACCCAGGCTGGAGTACAGTGGTGCCATCTCAGCTCACTGTAACCTCTGCCTCCCAGGTTCAAGTGATACTTATGCTTCAGCCTTCCATGTAGCTGGGATTACAGGCATGCACCTCCACACCCATGTCTCCGTTTGGGTGGAAGAGTTACAATGAGGATGTGATTGGTTTAAAATTAAGGTCAAAGATCCTCTTTGGTTAAGATTTTTTTTCTGTAATAGGGCCTCGCAATGTTGCCCAGGCTGGAGTACAGCAGTGGTATGAGCATGGCTCACTGCAGCCTCAATCTTCTGGGCTCAATTGTTTCTCCCATGTCAGCAACCCATACAGTTGGGAAGACAGATGCATGCTACCATGCCCGGCTAATTAAAAAATATGTATATTTTGTAGAGGCCAAGCACCAGTGGCTCATGGCTGTAATTCCAGCACTTTGGGAGGCCAAGGCAGGTGGATCACTTGAGGTCAGGAGTTTGAGACCAACTTGGCCAGCATGGTGAAACCCCACCTCTACTAAAAATACAAAAATTAGCCAGGCAAGTTGGCAGTTGGATGTAATACCAGATACTCAGGAGGCTGAGGCATGAGAATTGCTTGAGCCTGGGAGGCAGAAGTTGCAATGATTTGAGATCGTGCCACTGCACTCCAGCCTTGGAAACAGAGCGAGACTCCATCCCCCCTTCAATAAAGAATATTTTATAGAGATGGGTTTTTGCCGTGTTGTCCAGGTTGGTCTCAGACCCCTGGGCTGAAATGATCCTCCCGCCTTGGTCTCCCAAAGTGTTGGGGTTAAAGGCATGAGTCACTGCTCCCTTCAAGAATTTTGAAATGACATAAACCAAAGCACAATCCAATTTTTTGAAATAAAGACAAAACTGCATTTAGAGGAAAAAATGCAAAGCTTCAAATTGTTCATATGAGAAAAAAAACAAAACAGGATATAACTCTATGCCATCTTAGGCTGCACTGTCACCATCCCAGACCAGCTGACTGTAGGTCAGTTGGGAGTGTCCTTACAGAGAGATTAGTGACTTACCAGATCTGGACTCAGTTTGGAGGGTGCTCAGACCTCAGGAAGAACTAAGCAGGAACTCCAGGCTTGAAGACTTTGGGTCTCTTCTGTGGGTCTTTAGAAGCTTTTATTGACCTTTCTAATCACAACTCCCACCCACACCCCTCCACGTATCCACTGCTAGCTTCCAATCAACAAGTGATATCTGATTGCATTTCTGAAGCTCCACCCAGTTAATCCTGATTGGGGTTTTGGCTCTCCCCAGATTAATGGATTGAATCAGATATCCATTCATATCAGATATCCATATTAAGTTCATGAATCAAGAAATTGACAGTGTTAGGGATAGGGTGGGAATCAAGAATGCATTCATTCAAGACCGGGCAAGGTGGCTCACTCCTGTAATCCCAGCACTTTGGGAGGACAAGTTGGGTGGGTCACCTGAGTTCAGACATTCAAGACGAGCCAGGCCAACAAGGTGAAACCCCGTCTCTACAAAAATACAAGAATTAGACAGGGACGATGGCACATGCCTGTAATCCAGCTACTCAGGAGGCTGAGGTGGGAGAATCGCTTGAACCCAAGAGGCAATGGTTGCAGTGAACCAAGATTGCACCATTGCACTCCACTCTGGGTGACAGAGGGAGAATTTGTCGGAAAAAAAAAATTCATTCATTCATGAACTTCACAAACACTGATGGAATTTCACTAATATGTGACCTGCATAGTCCTGAGTCTGAAGCAGGGAAGGGTCTAATCTTTCCCAGATATTAGACAGAAAACTAAAATCTGAAAGTAGTATTGTTGGGAGATCTTTGGCCACATCAAAATCACAAAAATGTTTTATAGTTAAAATAGCTTTATAAAAACAGAGGAGTCGTCCCTACAAAATCAAAATAAAAATCTCCATGTATTGAATGGTCTTGTGGGTTTTATATCACCTAAGGTAGCAATTTTTTCACTCCTGCTGGTGGAAGAGAGGTGCCACTGAGGACCTGAGTGGTCTCAGGGCTTAGGTTAAGGCTACTCTGGAAGAAATTGCAACCATACTTATAAACTTTATAAATTTAATCAGTGAAGAAGGGAGGGGGAGAAACAGACATAAACCAAGCTTGCAGTGCATTCAGCATTCATCATGAGGTCAGCTTGCTCTCTGACCTGCTTCCTCATGGTTGCTGGCAGCCTGCTGTCCCAAAATCATGTAGACCTTAGATTACAGTTGCCCTTAACTGCCCTGCAGACAACAATTTAGGCCTTGTAAAACATTAACTTTTTCATTTGACATATTCTTTCAGGTTCTGCATGTCAGTGAAGCTACTGATGGCAGGTGATCTGAAGGGCCCTGCAAGGCACCAACTCACCAAGGAATGCAGTTTTGACATCCTGATGACTTCATACCTCTTACTGCCACCAAACTGCACCAACTTTCCAGCCTCTTGCTATCCATGATCCTCTGAAAACTCTCAGTACTTCTTGGGGAGATGAATTTGAGGGTCTCCTCCCAGCTTTTCATTTTGCCACCCTGTGATCGTTAAACTCTCTGCTGCAAACCCTGCTGTCTCAGAATATTAGTATGCTACTGTGCTGCAGGCATAGGAACCTGATGGTCCTGTAAAAAAAGTCATGTCAAAATTACAAAGGGAAGTGAAGGTGGAGGCTGGTCAGGGTTGAGCTGTGTGTTTTAATGGGATCCGGGGAGTGAACCAAGACTTGGTAAACATGTTGGGGGTTATTGAGGGCGTGGAGGAGGAATCTTTCCAACATTGCACTGAGGCCCCCTTGGTGTTGATACTTGTGACCAAGAATGAGTCTTCCAAAACAGTGTATGTAATTCTCCTGATTTTTCCTTTCAAAACCTTTGTCTTCCTTTACCTCCCTGAATAATCTCACATCTATTCCCATTGCTTTGCTCATTTCATAATAAAAATCCTTTTTTTTTTTAAAAGAATCTCTTTCTCTGTGAAGTAGACCATATATTTTATTGCCACACAAGATGAGTAGCCTGGTATTATGGAGAGAAAGGGTCAAAAGGATCCCATTCCCCACCAGTTGGGGGTGATATAAAGGTCCTGGTTATTATTTGTCATATGTGCACCTGCATATTGCCAGTGAAAACTTACAGGTCACATTTTTCAGGAGTCCAAATTAACCACCTGTGGAAGGTCTTATGATTGGCTTACATTCTGTCCCTGAGTAAAGAATCTGATCTTGAGTTCATGAGTGCCTCAAACTCTGCAATTATTGATGAAGCTTCACCCACTTACAGTGAGAAGGACACTGATTTGATTCTGATCATGAAGTTTCACTGGTTGTCTTGCAAGGAAAATGTTTAACTTGTTATGTTGTCAGCTAAAGTCAATGATTGTAACCTCTGTATTGTACCTTCCAATGGAAAAAACAAAAACAAAACAAAAACTCAACTCTATTTGAGCCTTGCCAGGTCAGTAAAACAAAAGAAAATTTAAAAAAAAAAACTGATAGGAGGAGTCTCATTCCCTTCTTTTAACTTTTCTCACAAAAGCATTCCAACTTGTAACAGACTTTGGAACACACCCACTTTGTTGGTCTGTGTCTTCCACATTGATTCTCACATTTAGCTTCCAATGAAGATTTATTTAATTATTTCTGCCTTAAGCGCCTTACCTTCCACTGACACCAGGTTGCATGGTGACAGTTTGAACTGGGGTGGGATGAAAAAATATTTTTATGAATTTTATTAAATAATCCTTGCATGTCATCTCCATTGAAGAATGAATAGGGTCTTCTCCAAATATGTGCTGAGTATGGATGCATCCAATAAATGAAACTATTGTTTATTTCATATAGTAGAGCTATAGATGCATTCTATTTGCCTCGAGTTTCCAATGAACAAATGTCTAGTTTCAGTAAGTTCTCTGATTATATGGCAGAGGATAACATGGTCATGTTCTGATTCTGTGTCTATGTCAATACTTATAGCATTTCAGTCTTCATAATGTGTGTCAAATGAAAGAGTTCGATTCTAGGGGGAGTCTGGGACACTACCTAGATTAGACCCGGTTACACTAATGTTTCCTATGCATGGAGATAAGTTACAAGTAATGAAATCAACAATAGTCATAGGCCACCCATTTGCATCTATAGCTTCTGCTCAGTGCCAAGTCATTTAATTATCAATATTAACCAACCGTGTGTGAGAGCAGGTTCTACTATTAGTTGTGATCCTTCCCATTCATCTAAATGACTCCATAGCCAGTAATTGCTTTGGTTAGTGAGAATGGCTAAATTTTGAATAGGAGAACTTAGAAAGTGTTTGCTTTGACTGGTGAAAGTACGTAACAAAATAAAATGTAGGCTTGATCACTTTGTGTTAATACAAAACAAAACCAAGTCTCAGTCAATGGAAGGAGATCAAATGGAGTTTTGTCCCATTTTCTTAAAAAAGCTGTCTACCATGTGATGATGTCTGCTTCTAAGAAAGACTTTGTTCCTTGGTTATCCTTAATTTTAAGTCACCTGGTATGGTCCCATCCAATGCTGCTCATGGGCAGATTTCCCTTGGTGTCATTTTAAAAGATGCAGTCTCCAAATGGTAGGGCATGAAGGTCCAGTGATCATCGAAACCCTCCTTCACCAACTGGAAATAGGCTTTGAAAGGTCTTGCAGTACTGAGTCATATTGTTACTGAACGATGGGCTCACTCTCCTAAGTGCATAGAAAAGCAAAAAAGGCTGGGCATGGTGGCTGACACCTATATTTGCAGCACTTTAGGAGGCCAAGGTAGGCGGATCACAAGGTCAGGGGTTCGAATCCAGCCTGGCCAATATGGTGAAACCCTGTCTCTATGAAAAATACACAAATTAGCTGGGTGTGATGACCCATGTCTGTAATCCCAGCTACTTAGGAGGCTGAGGCAGAAGAATCACTTGATCCTGTGAGGCAGAGGTTGCAGTGAGCCGAGATTGCACCTCTGCACTCCAGCCTGGGTGACAGAGCAAGACTCCATTTTGGGAAAAAAAAATTTATTAACAGTTAACTGGGCTGGGCACAGTGGCTTATACCTGTAATCCCAGCACTTTAGGAGGCCAAGGTGGGCGGATCACAAGGTCAGGAGCTCCAGATCAGCCTGACCAATATGGTGAAACTCCCTCTCTATTAAAAATACAAAAATTGCTCTCCCTCTCCCTCTCCCCACAGTCTCCCTCTCCCCACGGTCTCCCTCTCCCCACGGTCTCCCTCTCCCTCTCTTTCCACGGTCTCCCTCTGATGCCGAGCCGAAGCTGGACTGTACTGCTGCCATCTCGGCTCACTGCAACCTCCCTGCCTGATTCTCCTGCCTCAGCCTGCCCAGTGCCTGCGACTGCAGGCGCGCGCCACCACGCCTGACTGGTCTTCGTATTTTTTTGGTGGAGACGGGGTTTCGCTGTGTTGGCCGGGCTGGTCTCCAGCTCCTAACCGCGAGTGATCTGCCAGCCTCGGCCTCCCGAGGTGCCGGGATTACAGACGTAGTCTCGTTCACTCAGTGCTCAATGTTGCCCAGGCTGGAGTGCAGTGGCGTGATCTCAGCTCGCTACAACCTCCACCTCCCAGACGCCTGCCTTGGCCTCCCAAGGTGCCGAGATTGCAGCCTCTGCCCGGCCGCCACCCCGTCTGGGAAGTGAGGAGCGTCTCTGCTCGGCCGCCCATCGTCTGAGATGTGGGGAGCGCTTCTGCCCCGCCGCCCCTTCTGGGAGGTGAGGAGACCCTCCACCTGGCAGCCGCCCCATCTGAGAAGTGAGGAGCCCCTCCACCCGGCAGCCACCCCGTCCGGGAGGGAGGTGGGGGTCAGCCCCCGCCAGGCCAGCTGCCCCGTCCGGGAGGGAGGTGGGGGGTCAGCCCCCCGCCCGGCCAGCCGCCCAGTCCGGGAGGTGAGGGGCGCCTCTGCCCGGCCGCCTCTACTGGGAAGTGAGGAGCCCCTCTGCCCGGCCATCACCCCGTCTGGGAGGTGTACCCAACAGCTCATTGAGAATGGGCCATGATGACAATGGCAGTTTTGTGGAATAGAAAAGGGGGAAAGGTGGGGAAAAGATTGAGAAATCGGATGGTTGCCATGTCTGTGTAGAAAGAAGTAGACATGGGAGACTTTTCATTTTGTTCTGTACTAAGAAAACTTCTTCTGCCTTGGGATCCTGTTGATCTATGACCTTACCCCCAACCCTGTGCTCTCTGAAACATGTGCTGTGTCCACTCAGGGTTAAATGGATTAAGGGTGGTGCAAGATGTGCTTTGTTAAACAGATGCTTGAAGGCAGCATGCTCGTTAAGAGTCATCACCACTCCCTAATCTCAAGTACCCAGGGACACAAACAGTGCGGAAGGCCACAGGGTCCTCTGCCTAGGAAAACCAGAGACCTTTGTTCACTTGTTTATCTGCTGACCTTCCCTCCAGTATTGTCCTATGACCCTGCCAAATCCCCCTCTGTGAGAAACACCCAAGAATGATAAATAAATAAATAAATAAATAAATATACAAAAATACAAAAATTAGCTGGGCATGGTGGTGCATGCCTGTAATCCCAGCTACTGGGGAGGCTGAGGCAGGAGAATCACTTGAACCTGGAAGGCCAATGTTGCAGTGAGCTGAGATCATGCCACTGCACTCCAGCCTGGGCAACAGAGTGAGACTCTGTCTCAAAGAAAAAAATAAAAATAAAAATAAAAAAGAGTTAACTGACAAGCAGATAGGAGACAAGTTCTAAACCTGTCTCCCCAATCTGGGGATGGTGGAGCAAGCTTGCATCATCTTTCCAACTGGTTTCAGATGATGCCAATTCAAACAGTCCGCCTGGCTGTGTTAATAGTTAAGAGGTTAAACCTTTTTCCCATCGGACATGCCTGAGCAATTTGGGCTTTGCGTCATCACCTGTAACAACTTAAGCAATGACTAATCTGTTGGAGTTGATCCTCTGGTTACATGATCAGAGCTAAAAAGTGCAGGGGATACATAATGTTCTATTATCAAAGGCATAGGTTCTCCAGTAAATACTTAATTATCAGTGTTTCTGATTGCAGTTGGTGAAAAAAAAATACCTTATGGGGGATCTGGCTGTGTTTTCCCATAGGGGGTGGTAAAAATTTCATTAAAGTAATCCAGTCTTGCTGGACATGATGGCTCACACCTGTAATCTCAGCACTTTGGGAGGCCGAGGCTGGTGGATCACTTGAGGCCAGGAGTTGAGCAATCTGGGCAACATGGTGAAACCCCGTTATCTACTAAAAATACAAACATTAGCTGGGTGTGGTGGTATGCCTGTAATCCCAGCTACTTGGGAGGCTAAGGCATGACAATCACTTGAACCCAGGAGGCAGAGGTTGCAGTGAGCTGAGATAGCACCACTGAACTCCAGCCTGGGTAACAGAGACTCTGTCTCAAAAAAAAAAAAAAAAAAAAATTAACCCAATCTCCTTTGTTAGTTTAGCTAATTTTAGTTTCAAGATACCATTTCTTCACTCGACCTTTGTAGAATACCAAGGATAATGAAGTTAATGGTAGTGCCATTGGATCTGAAAAATCTTATCTGTGTGATCACCTGCCCAGTAAACGGAGTTCTCCTACCACTGGAGATTTCTCCAGAGATGCCCCAGAAAGGAAACACATTTTATAACCATTTATTCACTATGGCTGTGGCATCAGCCTTTCTAAAAAGGTAAGCTACAACCCATCCTGAAAACAGACACACAATCACAAGAATTGTAGCCTTTTTACATGGCTCACTGACATCATTGGTCCATGACATTCCCCTTTCTTGCAGCTATATGTGTGTATGTCTATCTATTCCTATCTATATCTATACTTAATTTTTATTACCATGATTCACTTCCACTCCCCTTTCCATAGATAGCCACTCTACTCTTTGACCTAGCCTTGAATTTGCATGTGACCTCTTAGAATATAAGTATATAGAAAGTATTTAGAATATATACTTAAGATGGCTGAATAGGAACAGCTCCAGTCTACAGCTCCCAGCATAAGTGATGCAGAAGATGGGTGATTTCTACATTTCCAACTGAGGTACCAGGTTCAACTCACTGGGGAGTGCCAGACAGTGGGTGCAGGACAGTGGGTGCAGTGCACCGTGCGTGAGCTGAAGCAGGGCGAGGCATCGCCTCACCTGGGAAGCACAAGGGGTCAGGGAATTCCCTTTCCTAGTCAAAGAAAGGGGTGACAGATGGCACCTGGAAAATCAGGTCACTCCCACCCTAATACTGCGCTTTTCTAATGGGCGTAACAACTGCACACCAGGAGATTATATCCCACACCTGGCTTGGAGGGTCCTGTGCCCACGGAGCCTTGCTCATTGCTAGCACAGCAGCCTGAGATCAAACTGCAAGGCGGCAGCGAGGCTGGGGGAGGGGCCCCCACCATTGCCGAGACTTGAGTAGGTAAACAAAGCAGCCCAGAAGCTGGAACTGGGTGGAGCCCATCACAGCTCAAGGAGGCCTGCCTGCCTCTGTAGACTCCACCTCTGGGGGCAGGGCACAGACAAACAAAAGAAAGCAATAACCTCTGCAGACTTAAATGTCCCTGTCTGACAGCTTTGAAGAGAGTAGTCGTTCTCCCAGCATGCAGCTTGAGATCTGAGAACGGGCAGACTCCCTCCTCAAGTGGGTCCCTGACCCCCGAGTAGCCTAACTGGGAGGCAACACCAAGTAGGGGCAGACTGACACCTCACACAGCTGGGTACTCCTCTGAGACAAAACTTCCAGACGAAAGATCAGACAGCAGCATTTGCGGTTCACCAATATCCACTGTTCTGCAGCCTCTGCTGCTGATACCCAGGCAAACAGGGTCTGGAGTGGACCTCCAGCAAACTCCAACAGAACTGCAGATGAGAGTCCTGACTGTTAGAAGGAAAACTAACAAACAGAAAGGACATCCACACCAAAAACCCATCTGTACATCACCATCATCAAAGACCAAAGGTAGATAAAACCACAGAGATGGGCAAAAAACAGAGCAGAAAAACTGGAAACTCTAAAAATCAGAGTGCCTCTCCTCCTCCAAAGGAACGCAGCTCCTCACCAGCAATGGAACAAAGCTGGATGGAGAATGACTTTGATGATTTGAGAGAAGAAGACTTCAGAAGATCGAACTACTCCGAGATAAAGGAGGAAGTTGGAACCAATGGCAAAGAAGTTAGAAACTTTGGGAAAAAATTAGACAAATGGATAACTAGAATAACCAATGAAGAGAAGTTCTTAAAGGACCTGATGGAGCTGAAAACCATAGCATGAGAATTATATGACGAATGCACAAGCCTCATTAACATATGCAATCAACTGGAAGAAAGGGTATCAGCGATGGAAGATGAAATGAATGAAATGAAGTGTGAAGAGAAGTTTAAAGAAAAAAGAATAAAAAGAAAAAAACAAAGCCTCCAAGAAATATGGTACTATGTGGAAAGACCAAATCTATGTCTGACTGGTGTACCAGAAAGTGATGGGGAGAATGGAACCAAGCTGGAAAACACTCTGCAGGATATTATCCAGGAGAACTTCCCCAATCTAGCAAGGCAGGCCAACATTCAAATTCAGGAAATACAGAGAATGCCACAAAGATACTCCTCGAGAAGAGCAACTCCAAGACACATAATTGTCAGATTCGCCAAAGTTGAAATGAAGGAAAAAATGTTAAGGGCAACCAGAGAGAAAGGTCGGGTTACCCACAAAGGGAAGCCCATCAGACTATCAGCTGATCTCTTGGCAGAAACTCTACAAGCCAGAAAGAGAGTGGGGGCCAATATTCAACATTCTTAAAGAAAAATATTTTCAACCCAGAATTTCATATCCAGCCAAACTAAGCTTCATAAGTGAAGGAGAAATAAAATACTTTACAGACAAGCAAATGCTGAGATTTTTGTCACCACCAGGCCTGCCCTAAAAGAGCTCCTGAAGGAAGCACTAAACGTGGAAAGGAACAACCAGTACCAGCCACTGCAAAAACATGCCACATTGTAAAGACCATCAAGGCTAGGAAGAAACTGCATCAACCAATGAGCAAAATAACCAGCTAACATCATAATGACAGGAACAAATTCACACATAACAATACTAACCTTAAATATAAATGGGCTAAATGCTCCAATTAAAAGACACAGACTGGCAAATTGGATAAAGAGTCAAGACCCATCAGTGTGCTGTATTCAGGAAACCCATCTCACGTGCAGAGACACACATAGGCTCAAAATAAAGGGATGGAGGAAGATCTACCAAGCAAATGGAAAACAAAAAAAGGCAGGGGATGCAATCCTAGTCTCTGATAAAACAGACTTTAAACCAACAAAGATCAAAAGAGACAAAGAAGGCCATTACATCATGGTAAAGGGATCCATTCAACAAGAAGAGCTAACTATCCTAAATATATATGTACCCAATACAGGAGCACCCAGATTCATACTTTTTTTTTTTTTTTGAGCAGTAGCAAGATTTATTGCAAAGAGCGAAAGAACAAAGCCTCCACACTGTGGAAGGGGACCCGAGCGGGTTGCCCCACCCAGATTCATAAAGCAAGTACTTAGTGACCTACAAAGACACTTAGACTCCCACACAATAATAATGGGAGACTTTAACACCCCACTGTCAACATTAGACAGATCAATGAGACAGAAAGTTAACAAGGATATCCAGGAATTGAACTCAGTTCAGCACCAAGCAGACCTAATAGACATCTACAGAACTCTCCACCCCAAATCAACAGAATGTACATTCTTTTCAGCACCACGCCACACCTATTCCAAAATTGACCACATAGTTGGGAGTAAAGCACTCCTCAGCAAATGTAAAGGAACAGAAATTATAACAAACTGTCTCTCAGAACACAGTGCAATCAAACTAGAACTCAGGATTAAGAAACTCACTCAAAACTGCTCAACTACATGGAAACTGAACAATCTGCTCCTGAGTGACTACTGGGTACATAACGAAATGAAGGCAGAAATAAAGATGTTCTTTGAAACCAATGAGAACAAAGACACAACATACCAGAATCTCTGGAACACATTCAAAGCAGTGTGTAGAGGGAAATTTATAGCACTAAATGCCCACAAGAGAAAGCAGGAAAGATCTAAAATTGACACCCTAACATCACAATTAAAAGAAGTAGAGAAGCAAGAGCAAACACATTCAAAAGCTAGCAGAAGGCAAGAAATAACTAAGATCAGAGCAGAACTGAAGGAAATAGAGACACAAAAAACCCTTCAAAAAATCAATGAATCCAGGAACTGGTTTTTTGAAAAGATCAACAAAATTAATAGACTGCTAGTAAGACTAATAAAGAAGAAAAGAGAGAGGAATCAAATAGATGCAATAAAAAATGACAAAGGGGATATCACCACTGATCCCACAGAAATACAAGCTACCATCAGAGAATACTATAAACACCTCTACGCAAATAAACAAGAAAATCTAGAAGAAATGGATAAATTCCTCGACATACACACCCTCCCAAGACTAAACCAGGAAGAAGTTGAATCTCTGAACAGACCAATAACAGGCTCCGAAATTGAGGAAATAATTAATAGCTTACCAACCAAAAAAAGTCCAGGACCAGTTGGATTCACAGCCGAATTCTACCAGAGGTATAAGGAGGAGCTGGTACCATTCCTTCTGAAACTATTCCACTTAATAGAAAAAGAGGGAATCCTCCATAACTCATTTTATGAGGCCAGCATCATCCTGATACCAAAGCCTGGCAGAGACACAACAAAAAAAGAGAATTTTAGACCAATATCCTTGATGAACATTGATGCAAAAATCCTCAATAAAATACTGGCAAACTGAATCCAGCAACACATCAAAAAGCTTATCCACCATGATCAAGTGGGCTTCATCCCTGGGATGCAAGGCTGGTTCAACATACGAAAATCAATAAACATAATCCAGCATATAAACAGAACCAAAGACAAAAACCACATGATTATCTCAATAGATGCAGAAAAGGCTTTTGACAAAATTCAACAACCTTCATGCTAAAAACTCTCAATAAATTAGGTATTGATGGGACGCATCTCAAAATAATAAGAGCTATCTATGACAAACCCACAGCCAATATCATACTGAATGGACAAAAACTGGAAGCATTCCCTTTGAAAACTGGCACAAGACAGGGATGCCCTCTCTCACCACTCCTATTCAACATAGTGTTGGAAGTTCTGGCCAGAGCAATCAGGCAGGTGAAGGAAATAAAGGGAATTCAATTAGGAAAAGAGGAAGTCAAATTGTCCCTGTTTGCAGATGACATGATTGTATATCTAGAAAACCCCATCATCTCAGCCCAAAATCTCCTTAAGCTGATAAGCAACTTCAGCAAAGTCTCAGGATACAAAATCAATGTGCAAAAATCACAAGCATTCTTATACACCACTAACAGACAAACGGAGAGTCAAATCATGAGTGAACTCCCATTCACAATTGCTTCAAAGAGAATAAAATACCTAGGAATCCAACTTACAAGGGATGTGAAGGACCTCTTCAAGGAGAACTACAAACCACTGCTCAATGAAATAAAAGAGGATACAAACAAATGGAAGAATATTCCATGCTCATGGGTAGGAAGAACCAATATGGTGAAAATGGCCATGCTGCCCAAGGTAATTTATAGATTCAATGGCATCCCCATCAAGCTACCAATGACTTTCTTCACAGAATTGGAAAAAACTACTTTAAAGTTCATATAGAACCAAAAAAGAGCCCGCATTGCCAAGTCAATCCTAAGCCAAAAGAATAAAGCTGAAGGCATCATGCTACCTGACTTCAAACTATACTACAAGGCTACAGTAACCAAAACAGCATGGTACTGGTACCAAAACAGAGATATAGACCAACGGAACAGAACAGAGCCCTCAGAAATAATGCCGCATATCTACAACTATCTGATCTTTGACAAACCTGACAAAAACAAGAAATGGGGAAACAATTCCCTATTTAATAAATGGTGCTGGGAAAACTGGCTAGCCATAAGTAGAAAGCTGAAACTGGATCCCTTCCTTACACCTTATAGAAAAATTAATTCAAGGTGGATTAAGGACTTACATGTTAGACCTCAAACCATAAAAACCCTAGAACAAAACTCATAGGTGTTCTCACTCGTAGGTGAGAATTGAACAATAAGAACACATGGACACACGAAGGGGAACATCACACACCGGGGACTGTTGTGGGGTGGGGGGAGGGGGGAGGGATAGCAATAGGAGATATACCTAATGCTAAATTATGAGTTAATGGGTGCAGCACACCAACATGGCACATGTATACATATGTAACAAACCTGCACGTTGTGCACATGAACCCTAAAACTTAAAGTATAATAATAATGAAAAAAGAATATATACTTGCATTTTGTGTGTGTATTTATTTTAATCCACGTATATGCTCTAGTGTATGGTGCTACAGAAGAGGGCCTGACAATTAATTGTCCAGTCCCAGACACTTTGGAGAGTGAAGAGACGTGTTGTTATAATTAATTGCTTTTTTTTTGGAGATGGAGTCTCACTCTGTTGCCAGGCTGGAGAGCAATGGTTCGATCCAAACCATATCACAGGGGGTAATGCTGTCAGACAACGTATTTCTATTTCACTAGTAAAATTTCTTTGGAATAACAGATTTGGCAGTGAATATAAACATAGCAAACATTAGACCTGATGCTCTGGACCCCAACTCTTGCACAAGCCTCTGACTGTGGAGTTTTATTTGAAAGGATGAAAATGAGCAGCACATTGCAGGGACTGGGACAGTATCATGTCACCGCCAAAGATGTTGACAAACAGACATTCCGTCATTCCAGTCCCACCACTTACAGGCTGTCTGGCCTTGAAAATTTCTCCCTCTCTCTTTGAATGTGTCTCTTTCTCCATCAAATGTGTAGAAGGATAATCTCAATCTTCAGGTAAAAATGCTGAGCCCAAAGCATGGGGCATAATAAACCCTCCATAAATGTTGGCTACTTTTGTTGACATTCAAAGACAACAGGCATAATCAGGAAAACAGTTGAGGCCACAGGGGATAACTCAGCCCTGTGCCAACCACTCCCTCTG
This sequence comes from Homo sapiens, assembly GCF_000001405.40. Classification (NCBI taxonomy): domain Eukaryota; kingdom Metazoa; phylum Chordata; class Mammalia; order Primates; family Hominidae; genus Homo; species Homo sapiens. The sequence continues at coordinate 92,753 of NW_012132914.1, forward strand.
CCAGGACACAAGCTTCACATCCACCCCAGGAAGAATTAAGAGCAAGTCCTGCTGACTCTGCCTCCAGGACGTCCCTATGCTGTCCATGGCCACTCAAGTGGACACCAGGACCTCCTGTCTGGACAGTGCAAGAATCTTCTGAAGCGTGTCCCTGCCCTCTGGTTGTCCCCTCAGGGAACACGGTCCTCTCAGCCACCTCGGGGATGTGGAAGATAGGCTTCAAGTGGCCTCACAACCCTAATCCCAAACTGCCAATGACCCCTGAGTCACCCTTGCCCCTGGCTGCACCTCTCCAGTCTCATCTCCCTGAGCCAATTCACAACCTGCCAGTTCAGACACTGGTCTTCTCATTCTCTCTGTGTTTCCCCTAAAGCACGTGAACTAGTCATTTTGTCCTTCTTGCTGGGGTCTGAGTCACTGGCCAGTCAAGGCCAAATGCTGGATCAATGAGACAGGAGGAGGCCAATGACTCCAGGCCCCAGGTGAGTGAAAGGGAGGCTTTTATGAACTGGGTGCTATGGGAGAACCGCAGGCCCAGTGGGCATCCCTACAATGACCTCATGGTGTTTACATGTTTATGTGTGTGTGTGGTCAGCTAGGAAGTCACAGCTCTCCAGCATGGCTCCATGGCACAGAAAAGTAAAATATCCCATGTCTCTAGCAGGGCAAGTTTCCCGTGAGTCCAGCAAGAAGGCATGGGATCTGTGGAAAGGAGGCCTCTGGGAAAAACCCCACCTTTGAGGATAATGTTAAAAGCTGAACTTGAGACCCTGAGAATCCTATGTCCTTCCCACTCCCCGCAGGGCTTCTCTTGATCCGGCCCTGACTCCCGGATGCAGAAGCCCAGGGAGGAGCTGGGAGACAGGGAAACTTGCTGGGACGCTCCATGCATTTGTCTCCAAGAGGGTCCCCAAACCCAGGTGCCTGCAGCATCAGGGAGGCTCAGAGTTCCTCTGTCTGCCTGAAGGAAGCCTCATTTGCATGGATCCATGTAAGTTCTGAGATTCCTTCCCACACGTGGCCACCTGCAGGTGCCCCATAAATTCATCTTCCCAAGAAGAGCCAATGGGGATAGGCGAGGACCCCAAACCTGCTCCCAACCCCACATCCACAGGACGGAGAGGGATCACCTGAAGCACAGGCCAGGGGGTGAGTCCTGACCCCACTGTCTCCTCCTAATCCCAGAGGGCAGTGGAGTGGCCACAGGCACCCCACCAACTCCTCCTGTACCCCAAGCCCAAGATGAACAAACTTCCTGACTCACTGGCCTATCCCAACTTAAAAAAAAGCAGGACAACTCTCCCAGGTGGAGAAGACACCAGCTGCCTCTGCGGTGCTGAGCCCAGGAAGAAGATGATCACTGTTCAAACTGCCTTGGCAAGTTGTTTCAAAGAAATAAAACCCTTGGCTTCTCAGTGCTTTGAGTCACATTGCACTTAGTAAATGTTCGTTTTACTAATGTTTTTCACTTCCCTGTATATTTATATTCAGCAGTGAGAGACCTCTTCATATTCCAACAAAAAGTGATTAAAGGATTTGGGACACCTGTGATTATCCCCATGGGTTATTATGATCGCTCTGCACCGCGCAGCCTGCAGAGTTATTTTTCTGACCGGGATTGCAGTGCTGAGCCTGGTGTCCTCTGCTGAGTTCATTCTCCAGCTTCCTTGCATTTTATTCATCTTCCCTGGTAGCACCCGGAATTGCAGGAAGCAATCCCTGGTGCTCAGTGAAGGTCTTTGAATGAATCAAGGGGAGAGGAGTCAGGGGGAGGCAGAGGGTGTGGGAGGAGTCACATGCGCCAGAATCTTCTCTTCAGACATGTCACAGAGAGTCCCCTCCAGGCACTCTTGTTGGGCCTCAGTGCTGGACATTGGAGGACTTTTCTGACTGAGGATCATTGTGCCCTCTCTGGATCCACTGGAAAGCTCTGGGCAGCCATGTGAGCCTTGGTTTGACTTCCATCCTCCATGATTTTCCCTTTGCTTGTCAGAGGAGGTTTGGAATAACTTGGATGTCAGGGACTCTGAGCCAGACCCCATTCTTTTTCATTCCCTCCTGAAAAGCCCAGTCCTCACCGTCCCATAAGGCTCTGACCAGTGAAAAGATGGAGCTGCACGATTTCCAAAGAGAATCCTTTCCTTGGCCTCAAGCCACAGCTGCTTCCTTCTGACCTGCTGCTTGTCTTTGGATCCAGGATGGACACTCGCCACCCGCTCTTCCTCTCCTGGGACTCCCCACTCTCCTGACTCTGTGCCCCTGGGGCAGGATGGGGCAGCCACTAAAACCTCATGCAGACCAGGGCACATAAAGTGTCTTGGGAACTCACAGACCCAAGTCCAAGCCCCAGTGCCCCACGGTCTCAGACACAAGTCCCTGCCTTTCAGAGACACAGCTCTATGAGAGCCAGAGAACCTGGCTCCCTGCTCTGCTGCCACCTCCCTCCTTCCCCTTTATTTCAGCCCCATCAGCTCCTCTGATCACTCCCCTTCTTGGCCCCATTCCTACTTTCAGTCCCTCTGGCTCTGTCCAGCCTGGAGTGAGGGTGCAGACCTCCTCCCACCCCAGGCTCTGAGCACCTCCCTCAGCATCAAGTGTCTGCTTTCAGGGTGACCTTGTCCTCAGACTTGATTGGAGGAAGAAAGAGAGGAAGCCCCTACTTTAGCACACGATGTGCATGAATCTGACCTGGAATCAGACCCGGTTGAGGACCAGAGAAGGGCAACAGGGCCAGAACAGAGATTTTGACTCTTAGAAATGCACAGAGGGTGAACAGCTCAGGCTAAGAAGAGACCTGACTTGGACAGAAACAGACTGACTGCATTCCAGGTGCAGCCTTGTCAGCTCTAAGGCTGACCCAGGGGAGCCTGGGAAGGGATGGCCCCTGCACCGAGACATTTCCCAGGACCTCTTCTCAGCCTGGCACCCATAGGAAGACCAGAGGACTCAGGTCTCCTTCTGCGTGCCAGGCAGGGTCACCCTCCAGCAGTCCTGTCCCAGGGGCCTCTTTAGGGCCAGAGCAGCAGCTGAGGAACTCCCTGCTTTATGGCTTCTCATGTTCACCAAAATAGCTCAATAGAATTTTGGGAGAATTCCTCAATGACTGCTCTGGGGTGAAGGTCTCCCAGCATTGTGGCCATGTTCTGTTGTTCAGGAGATTTGGGCTGAGGTATCCAGGATGCATAAAGAGATACCTGCCTTGACAGCTCAGTCTGCAGGAGGGAAACAGAAGCTCAGAAATATTCTAGAGACCCTGAGCAAGTGCCTGGGGGAGCTTTGGTATTCTGGTGGAGATTCTGTGAGTGGAGAAGGGGTCAGGTCATCTTCTCAGAGGGGCTCTGAAGGATGCTCTGAGTTTGACAGCAGATGAGCACCTTGAGAAGAACAGGTGACAGGACATGGTAGAAATGCCCCCAAGTGCGGGATTCTCACTGGGGTCCTGGGGGTGGTGCTGGACCTTCTGAATTGGGCAGGAAGGGAAAGTCTGTCAATCAGTTCTTTTCAACATTTAGATTATTGAACTCCTTAGGGGATCCTCTGAGCTCCTCACCAGAGGGGTCTGTCCATCATTTGCTGCCTGAACACGGGCAGGTTCCTCTCCCTAGCCAAGTCTCAGGGTCACCACTTTAAAAATGAGGAATATAGCAACATGCCTTAGATTCCTCGTGAGGGAGAGCTGAGATCTTGGATGAATGGTACCAGTCCCTGCTGTGCCTTGTGCATGCTCAATCAACAGAGACACTCAGGATCACCTTTGGTGCTGAGCTCACCCTCAGCCTCAGGCTCACAAAGTGAGGGCAGGTGAAGTAGAAGCCGCACTGAGCACGTTTCAGTTTAACTCGATTGCACACATAGCAGGGCATTGATAGTGAGGTCAGAAACGTGGAGAAAGAACATTTACAGAAATATTCCATGATGGAGAACATCCTTCAAAGTACTTCAGTTTTGGAAGCCAGTGGCATCTCCGGGCTGTTTGGGTTTCATATGGAATGGGAGAGAAAGGCCTGGAGGACTTTCTGGAGGCGGGGGACGTTCTTGCTACTTTGTGCCCTAAAATAGCAGAAGAATGACTGTGTGATCCTGCTTAGGATGGGAGCCATCCCTGAACTTAGCAGATCTTTTAACATGAAATAGAGCTTCCAGGTTTTGTTGGGGAAATGTATTGTACATTTGCACACAATACAACCAGATGTGTGCACCGTTCTTAAAGACAGGAAGGCTGAGTTTCTCTCTCTCTCTCTCTTTCTTTCTTTCTTTCTTTCTTTCTTTCTTTCTTTCTTTCTTTCTTTCTTTCTTTCATTTCCTTCCTTCCCTCCCTCCCTCCCTCCTTCCCTCCCTCCCTCCCTCCCTCCCTCCCTCCCTACCTCCCTCCCTTCCTCCCTCCCTCCCTCCCTTCCTTCCTTCCTCCCTCCCTTCCTTCCTTCCTTCCTTCCTCTGGCATCTGCCCCAGCTCACATTCTCAGATTCCATCTTCCCAGGCTGATTTTCCAAGGCGAGCCCATCATTTTTGGGAGTAAACACGCTTTCCCTTGTAGTAGAGGCCAAGACTGTATCTGCCTCCTCTGCCCTCAAAGACAATGTTGTGTTTGAAGAGTCTGCACTGTCTCTTTTGTAATTATTCCCTTTTTAATTTTTAAACTCAATCTAGACAGAGTCTTTCAATCCTTCTGTGGAGATGCCCACAAAATACCCACCATGTTTTATGCTGTCTTGGTTCCTTCCCAGGGTTCTACTAGAACACCCGGTCCCATCCTGCCCAGCCGCCACCTCACTTTGTCATTCTGTCCTGATTTCCTTCAGTGAAGCCTTGACCTTAGTCTTGTGATCAATCACACCCTCCGTGGTTCCCTTTTCAACCTGAACCCACATATGACCTGCCCTGTTATAAAACATAAAACCCAGGTGACCATTGGATAAAGGAGCTTTTTAATCCGTTTTCTTAGGGTGGACATCACTGTCTTTTTAAAGCTGTTTTAACTGTCTTAACGAAACGTTTTGATAATTTCGATGTGGCCACAGATTTTCCCATAAAGATATCATCAGGTTTTGTTTTTTCTTTCTAATGTCAGGAACAGATTAAACCTTCCATGTCTCTATGAAGGTCACATATTAGTCAAACTTCATCAGTGTTTGGGGAATAAATGAATTAATGAGTTTTGGACTTTCACCCTGTTATTTATTCTTTCACTTTCATAAATGCACATCTAATTTAATCAATGAATCAGAAGAAAGTGTAAAACTCAATCAGGACTAACTAGGTGGAACTTCGGAATCTAATCAGGTATCACTTTCTGATTGGAAGCTGGTGATTGAGAAGGGGAGGGTGTGGTTAGAAACATCAATAAAAGCTCCTGAGTTTGCAAAGGAGAGACCCAAAGCCCTGGTGCCTGGAACTACTGCTTGATTCTCTGAGAGATCCCAGCACCCTACAAACTGAGTCCAGATCTGGTAAGTCACCACCTCCTTAGGAACATGCCCATCTGATCTGCAGCCAGCCAGTCAGGGATGGTGACACACAGCCCAAAGTGGCACAGAGAATTTCCTGTCTGTTTTTTCAATTTAACAGATGTAGGTTTTGATTTTTCCTCTAAATATAGTATTCACTTCATCCCTCAAATTTTGATTTCTGCTTCATTTTTCTCATTTCAAAATTCTTATTGAAGCAGTTTTTTAAAAAAGATATTAAAAATTTACAGTTGGATGAATTTTTATGTCTTGACATGTGAAGTTATTTGTTTCTGTGCCCTTCAGCTACAGTTCACACACTTAGTTGTATTGTGATTTTCTCGAGTCTTGTTCTGAACATGGGATTTATCTCTGCCCTTAGACTCTGTCCCTAAGTGGGTGATTGTGAGTATGTAGAAGGGATGAGTATTGGATCCTTCATCTGAGACTTAGTGTTTCCACCCGCACCTTCCAAGTGCTCTAGAATACTGCCACACTGCTTTTATAGTTTCTCTTATAATTTTTCAAAATAAAAACAAGTGGCATTGATTTTAAGGAGTCACTTCAGTCTTCCCCAAGCATGCTAATTGTGTAAACTGAGAATGCAGGCTGTGTGGGGCCACAGGACAGTCATTCTCATTGTTTTTGGGTGGTAAGTAACAAAAAAATTTCCCTCAAAAAGGTGGAGCTTAGCTTTCAGGATCCTGAGTGACAGATCCCAGTAATCCTGAGTTTCAGTGGAGCAATGTATAGAAATTAATGGGCCACTGGCCACCTCGTCCCCTCCTTGGTGTTTGGAAGACATTCTTTGTGGTAGTCACAGGGGCACAGATACAGATTTGTGGCCACCAAGTGCAGAATGGAACTGGGGGGAATTGAGGGCTTTTCCACCTCCACCAGAGCAATGAGATTAGCAATAGGAGAAGATGAGGTGATCATATTTGGCCTGAGAGTGATGCCTTTTCTCTGGATTTGTCCTCTAGAGTTTTCCCTTGCAGATTCATCAAGATGAGCATCAGGGCCCCACCCAGACTCCTGGAGCTGGCAAGGCAGAGGCTGCTGAGGGACCAGGCCTTGGCCATCTCCACCATGGAGGAGCTGCCCAGGGAGCTCTTCCCCACGCTGTTCATGGAGGCCTTCAGCAGGAGACGCTGTGAAACCCTGAAAACAATGGTGCAGGCCTGGCCTTTCACCCGCCTCCCTCTAGGGTCCCTGATGAAGTCGCCTCATCTGGAGTCATTAAAATCTGTGCTGGAAGGGGTTGATGTGCTGTTGACCCAAGAGGTTCGCCCCAGGTGAGGTGACCCAGGTGTCCAGGTGGGGAGGGCCCTTTTGTCCAGGGTAGGGACAGCTGTTTCAGGAGGAGGAGGGGCACCATGGAGGCCCAGAGGTTTCTGATGGTGCCAGTGAGGAAGCTCAGGAAGGCCTTGGCCATTGCCCAGCCCCTCTGGGAAAGGACTGCTCACCATGCAGGGTCCACTGAGGAAACAGAAACTTCTCTTCTAGTGGCTCTGAAAGCTACAGGCAATGGGGATGAGGCAAAATCCGGAGGGAAAAGGGGTTGGACAAAATCAGAGAGGGAAAAGTGGCAGAGAGGAGAACAGCTGATGTCTGGGATGTAAATAAAAGCTCAGGTCCTTGCCTTAGTTTGGAGCCTCTCTTCTCCTTTACCCACAGGCAGTCAAAACTTCAAGTGCTGGACTTGAGGAATGTGGATGAGAACTTCTGCGACATATTTTCTGGAGCTACTGCATCCTTCCCGGAGGCTCTGAGTCAGAAGCAAACAGCAGATAACTGTCCAGGGACAGGCAGGCAGCAGCCATTCATGGTGTTCATAGACCTTTGTCTCAAGAACAGGACACTAGATGAATGCCTCACCCACCTCTTAGAGTGGGGCAAGCAGAGAAAAGGCTTACTGCATGTGTGTTGCAAGGAGCTGCAGGTTTTTGGAATGCCCATCCACAGTATCATAGAGGTCCTGAACATGGTGGAGCTTGACTGTATCCAGGAGGTGGAAGTGTGCTGCCCCTGGGAGCTGTCCACTCTTGTGAAGTTTGCCCCTTACCTGGGCCAGATGAGGAATCTCCGCAAACTTGTTCTCTTCAACATCCGTGCATCTGCCTGCATTCCCCCAGACAACAAGGGGCAGTTCATTGCCCGATTCACCTCTCAGTTCCTCAAGCTGGACTATTTCCAGAATCTGTCTATGCACTCCGTCTCTTTCCTCGAAGGCCACCTGGACCAGCTGCTCAGGTGAGGAAGGATGGTGAGCTTTCTCTTCAGACCACAGCAGAGCCTTTCTTTGTTACAGTAAACACCAGTGGGTATGCACTGTGAGCCTGTGAGGAAGTAAGAGTGAGGGGACACTAGAATATCCATGCATTATCCTGTTGGTGGCTCTGTCCTGATACGGGTATCACACAACCATCCCAATAAAGTCAGAGGGATCTCCTGGGCTAGATGATATAGAGAAGGTGCCAAGCTAGGAAGCTAGCTACTGCAGGGTTTAGATCTGGCGAGAGTGCATTTGTGAATTCCTCCTGAGGATGTGTGTCTAAGTTAAGATGATGGGAAATAGGGAGGTGAAGAGGGCACTAAAGAGAATGCCCATCCCACTCCTATATTTTAAAATATGAGGTCTATCCTCACCTGCCTAGTGAACAGGCAAAATCCTATGTTTCCCTGTCAGCACCCTGTTTTGAGCTCCAGGTCAGGTAATTAATGTATGGGAAATACATGATGATAGAATAGAGGGTGAGGGAGCAGGAGCAAAGAATGGTAAAAGTGATAGATGGTTTGCTGATGGTACAGGCATGTCAGGGTCCCCTGCAACCTGGCCAACCCAGCTGATGTTGCAGGATCCTGCCTGGGTTTGTCATTTATGCCTGTGTCTCCATCGGGCTCCTGTGGCCCAGAGATGTGGTTTTCTACCTGACAGATGAGGAAAGGGAGACTTAGAGTTCATGGACTTGATCCAATCACCTCGGTGATGGTGAAGGACTGAGCCTCGATTGGGACTGCACTGAAGGAACAGAGTCTCCATTCCCACACCCCAGGTGCTGACTATCCTCAGATGAGCAGAGCAGCCCTGGGTTATGGAGAGCATCATCTCTCACCCTGAAGTCATCCCCACCTCTCTCCTCTAACTCCTTCTTGTTCTCTCCCAGGTGTCTCCAGGCCTCCTTGGAGATGGTCGTTATGACCGACTGCCTGCTGTCAGAGTCAGACTTGAAGCATCTCTCTTGGTGCCCGAGCATCCGTCAATTAAAGGAGCTGGACCTGAGGGGTGTCACGCTGACCCATTTCAGCCCTGAGCCCCTCACAGGTCTGCTGGAGCAAGCTGTGGCCACCCTGCAGACCCTGGACTTAGAGGACTGTGGGATCATGGATTCCCAACTCAGCGCCATCCTGCCTGTCCTGAGCCGCTGCTCCCAGCTCAGCACCTTCAGCTTCTGTGGGAACCTCATCTCCATGGCTGCCCTTGAGAACCTGCTGCGCCACACCGTCGGGCTGAGCAAGCTAAGCCTGGAGCTGTATCCTGCCCCTCTGGAGAGTTATGACACCCAGGGTGCTCTCTGCTGGGGGAGATTTGCTGAACTTGGGGCTGAGCTGATGAACACACTGAGGGACTTAAGGCAGCCCAAGATCATTGTGTTCTGCACCGTCCCCTGCCCTCGCTGTGGCATCAGGGCCTCCTATGACCTGGAGCCCAGTCACTGCCTCTGTTGAATGCCTGCCATCAGGGTGGATATATTTCAAGCTTTCTTCTGGTCATTTCGGAGCTGAAACCTAGGCCATGAGTGCATGTTAAAGGGAGCACAGACCCATCGTTTCAAATGCCTCCTCAGTGTGAATGGGAAAGGAATGAGGATGCAGGAGGGGCAGGACTGGGGGAAAAGTTGACTTGGAGTGGATGGGCTCTTTAGAGACCTGTGTCCCAGAGAATCAGAAATGGGAATCTGAATTGCTAGAGTGAGAATCAGGGAGGAGAGACACATGAGAGGGTTACCCCTGCACAGATGGTTGTAAAGTAACAGTCAGAAATAAAGGGAAACTGAGTGGAAACTATCTGGTGTCCTCCGTAATTGCTTAACATGGCTTAACAATTAAACAATTTAAACCTAAAAAAGTCCAGTTACTGATCGAGCTAATAAGGCACTGATTTGTCTGTGACTGATGAGGTTCAGCTCCTGGAAATCAAACCATCAAAATGGAATTTGATCATTTAGATCAATCCCCCTCCTGTTACCTTCTTGCTATTCTCTGTGCCTATTTAGTGGCACATGAGAGACGCACACAGGGCCTGAAGCATTCTAAGTGCAAAGTGAGTGTCAGCCACTTAAGTTAAGCCCCTTCAGGTGCCCTCATTCTGTCCTGATGCCGAGACCCTGTTCACTCTCAATGGGTGGATTCAGAGCTCTCAGTTCCTGACCGTTACCTGTGCTGGGAAAGGACTTCACTGCCCAAGGCGTGGCCCTGCCCTGGAAGGGGAGCTCCACACTGTATGAGCAGGAGCCTCAGGGCATCACTAACCCATGCCTGTCATGGTGGGTAGCGGCCCTTGCTGAATTAAAGTAGTTGTGGCCAATAAAGACATCCAAATTCCCTTTCAGCAAAATGCTGACATTATGTAGGCATATAATACCTGTAACATCAATGAAAGACCTTTTCTTAACTCCTCCTTTTTCTCCCTGTGAAGGAAGACTAGTGCATGGTAGTAGGAATCACACATCCTTAGAGGGTGGATAATGATCAAGTGCCTGTGGGTAATTAATGACCACACCTGTGCTGAAGGACCCTACACAAAGGGCACCTAAGTGTAGAACCCTGCCGAGGACTCAGGGGCTGGTGCTGTTGGGCACGAAACAGCCAAGAGGCTCAGCTTCCCTGTAAAATGAAGATGATGATGCCACCACCCTATGAGACTATCGTAGGACCCAATGAGATGGTGTATGGTCAGGACTTGGAATGGGGCCTGGCATACAGTAAGAGCTCAATATATGCATCTTGTTCTTTTTTTTTTCCCCTCCTAATAGAAGTCCCATCATTCTTCACCCTTCAATCTCACCTTCTATTCCTGATAATAGGGAGGCAGCAGAAACCCACGGCAGGCAATGGGACTCAACTTCTACACACCACCACCACCACTTAATCGTGATTCCCCCAAACAGCAGAGCCTCAGCAGCCAGCAGAGGTTGGGATGGGTGGGGCAGGACTGAGTTCATCTCTAGTGATCATGAGATAAAAATTTCCAACCCATGAGACTCATGTGCCATCTGCTGGTTGGTCAGACCATCTGGTGTAATTCATTGATGCAAACAGGATGATATTGAGTGGTATCTCCAAAAATCTGCTGTTATGTAAGTGTTTATAGAGAATAAATATTGTGATTTATATATAATTTTATACATATTGAATACATATTTTTACATAAATTTATGTACATAATTTTATACATATTGAATATATATAATTTTATACATATTGAATATATGTATATTGAAATTTTAAATTATAATGGGAATTTAGTATTTTAAAGTATGTAGTGCAATATTTTAAAAAGGTTTGTAGGCTGGGCACAGTGGCTCACGACTGTAATCCCAGCACTTTGGGAGGCTGAGATGGGTGGATCACGAGGTCAGGAGATGGAGACCATCCTGGCTAACATGATGAAACCCCGTCTCTACTAAAAATACAACAAATTAGCCGGGCATGGTGACAGGCACCTGTAGTCCCAGCTACTCAGAAAGCTGGGGTAGCAGAATGGCATGAACCCAGGAGGCAGAGCTTGCAGTGAGCCGAGAGCGTGCCACTGCACCCCAGCCTGGGGGACAGAGTGAGATCCGTCTCAAAAAAAAAGAAAATGTTTGTGTTGGCCTGGGCAGCACGTATACTAAAGTTGGAATGACACAGAGAAGATTAGCATGGCCCCTGCGCAAGGATGATGTGCAAATTCGTGACAAGTTCCATATTTTTCAGGAAACAACAGATGCTGGAGAGAATGTGGAGAAATTAGGCATGCTTTGACAGTGTTGGTGGGAGTGTAAATTAGTTCTAGCATTGTGGAAGACAGTGTGGTGATTCCTCAAGGATCTAGAACTGGAAATATCATTTGACCCAGCAATCCCATTACTGGGTATATACCCAAAGGATTATAAATCATTCTACTATAAAGACAAATGCACACGTATGTTTAGTGTGGCACTGTTCTTAATAGCAAAGACTTGGAACCAAACCAAAAGCTCTTCAGTGATAGACTAGATAAAGAAAATATGGCACATATACACCATTCAATACTATGCAGCCATAAAAAATGATGAGTTCAGGTCATTTTCAGGGACATGGATGAAGCTGGAAATCATCATTCTCAGCAAACTAACACAGGAACAGAAAAGCAAATACCACATGTTTTCAGTCATAAGTGGGAGTTGAACAATGCGAACACATGGATACAGGGAACATCACACACTGGGGCCTGTTGGGGGGTAGGGATGGTGGGGGAGGGTTAGCATTAGGATAAATACCTAGTGTAGATGATGGCTTGATATGTGCAGCAAACCACCATGGCATATGTATCCCTATGTAACAAACCTGCACGTTCTGCACATGTGTCCCAGAACTTGAAGTATATTTAGAAAATGCTTAATGTGGCATTGAGTCTCAAATAAAATGACACCTTCAAAACTGATTTTGAAGATCAATGAATAAGAATTGCTCTTATTTAAAAATATTTAAGTTTATACAATTTTGGAGCTGGAAGGAAGTGCAATATTTTTAGGGATATATGATTTATTTTCTTAGAGCAGTTATAAGGTTGCAGTGAAGTTGAGCAGAAAGTGGATCATTCCCACATACTTCATGACCCCACTCTAGCGCGGACTCCTAAAGGATCAACGTCCTGCCCCAGCGTGGTCCATTTGCTCCAATGCATGAACCACACGAACCATCCTTATCACCCAAAGTTCATAATTAACATTAAGGGTTCACATCTGGTGCTGTATATTCTATGAGTTCTGATGAATTGATGATGACATGTATTCACCCTTATAGCATCATGCAGAGTAGCTTCAGTGCCCTAAAAAAATCACCTGTTCTCTTTCTATCCATCCCACTCTACCCTGACTCCTTGCAACCCCTGGGCTTTCTACTGTGTCCATAGATTTGCCTTTTCCAGAATGTCATGTGGCCTTTTCATGTTGGCTTCTTTCACTTGGTTATGTGCATTTAAGTTTTTTTTATGTCTTTTAGGGCTTAATAATTTACACTGTCAGGATGTGCTACAGTTTATTCATCCATTTATCTGCTGAAGAATATATTGGTCCCTATTAAGTTTTGTCTATTATGAATGTAGTGGTTAAAAACATCCAGGTTTTAGGTTTTCTCATTTGGGTAAATGCCAAGGAGCGTGGCTGCTGGACCATGTGCCTAGGTTGTGTTTGATAATGATTTTTTCCTTGACAATCTCATGTAGACAGAGACTGCTTCTTCAAGGGCAGGGACTGTGTCTCTGTCACCCTGTGGTCCCACAGCAGAGCATGGAACCTGGCAGGTGGCTGTAAATGCTTATTGATCACATAGTGCTCAGAAATCACTTTATAGCCACTACAATGCAAATGTCGGGCAGTCAACATGAGCTGCCACCAATAATATAAACACGTTGAATATGGATGAAGTCACCCTCCTTTTGCCGGGGTCACTACCTGTGTGTCACGGCAGTGCCGTCATCACATGGATGAACTTCATCTGTTTTTTATAGATTTCCCCCCATGTAATACAGGACACAGTCTTTAAACAAAGAGTCATCAGAGTTCCTGATGGCCACTGGTCTGAGTCTGTCCTTTTGGCACTAAGGGCCCTCATAACTGCACTTACCTACCACAGGCGTCCCTGTAAGCACCACTAGAGGGCGAGCATCTTCACCAAACCTGATGGACCCAAGAAGTCTGACCTGAATGTCTCCCTGCTAGGCAGGGGTCCTCAGAGGAATCTTCTATCCAGTCCAGATGGAGGGAACTGGAAGAGTCTCCTCAAACCCAGGACCAACAAAGAGATTCCCTCCAAGATCCCAATTAGGGAGCCAGGACAGGGACTGAGAGGGAACAGGGAAGGGAAGGCACCATGGGTCCCAAAACCTGGAACTGATGGAGAAGGTCCCTTCCAGAAACTGTTTGGAGAGAACCAGCTGGGAAGAATTAAAGTCTCTGAGATCTTCCACCTAAGAGCTGGACATCTGAATTCAGGAAGACTTACCCGAGGCCTTCCCATGGCGCAATCGAGAAGAGCTCACGGGGCTCTTGCCAGTGCAGGATGCATTGGTTCTGGAGGCATCAGGAAGAGATCGGAGGTCCCCTTTGAATCCCACTTCTAACACCAATGAGGTCCACTAAAAATTATGGGGTCTATAGATTTAGAAAAAAGGAGCGTAATTTCTTCTAAAGGTTTACAACCTGCTCGCTGGGAAATGGGCCTCCAGGCAGGACCTGAGGCAAGCGCTTGGAGGGAGGGAAGGTGACCCAGGAATCTATGCTGAACCTGTTGGCCACCAAGTGTGCATATTCAGCAGGTCATTGGAGCAGCTATGAAAATTCACAGGGTGGGGGATGCATGCATGTATGGTAAGCAAATATACATGTCACATACATCCCAGGTTCACCTGGTGGTTGAGGCTTTACATTTAAATGCATTATAATTAGGTTCTCTGCATCCAAAGGAGAAGTTGGGACATGAAGGTCCCCAATTCCTAACTAAAGGGCCTGGGGAGTCACCTTCTACAAATCACAAAGTCCCCTCAGAGGGGGTTTATTTAACCCTATATAAAGTGGCTTAAGGCTGAGTGCAGTGGTTCACGCCTGTAATCCCAGCATTTTGGGAGGCCAAGGTGGGCAGATCACTTGAGGTCAGAAGTTGGAGACCAGCCTGACCAACTTGGAGAAACATCATCTCCACTAAAAATACAAAATTACCTGGGCATGGTGGTATATGTCTGTAATCCCAGCTACTCGGGAGGCTGAAGCAGGAGAATCGCTTGAACGCAGGAGACGGAGGTTGCGGTGAGCTGAGATCACACCATTGCACTGCAACCGGGGCAACAAGAGCAAAACTCGGTCTCAAAATCCATAAATAAATAAATAAATAAATAAATAAATAAATAAATAAATACAATAAAGCGGCTTGTTTTCCAGCCTGACTCAGGGTAGCCCAGAGTCTTCTGATGGTGCTGGTGAGGAAGCTCAAGGAGGCTTTGGCCATTGTCCAGATCCTCAGAGAAAGGACTGCTCACCATACAGGGTCCACTGTGGGAACAGAAACCTGCTTTTTCCCAGTGGAAGGTAAAGGGACTAGAAGTGGGGAGCAGTATGAATCAAAAGAGAAAACGGACTGAGAAAAGTCAGAGAGAGAACAGGGAGCAATGAGAATGAAAGCAAAAGTCAGGGATGGGTCCTTCTAAATTCTGAGCTTCTCCCTTACTTTACCTATAGGAGGTGGAAACTTCAAGTGCTGGACTTGCTGGATGTTGATGAGAATGTCTGGGCTGGATGGCCTGGAGGCTAGGCCCTGTCCTCCTCCCCAGAGGCCATGAGTAAGAGGCAGACAGCAGAGGACTATCCAAGGATGGGAGAGCACCAGCCCTTAAAGGTGTTCATAGACGTCTGCCTCAAGGAAACACCCCAAGATGAATGCCTGAGATACCTCTTCCAGTGGGTTTACCAAAGGAGAGTTTTAGTACACCTGTGCTGTAGTAAGTTGGTGAATTATCTAACACCCATTAAATATCTTAGAAAGTCATTGAAAATAGTCCACCTGAATAGTATTCAGGAGTTGGAAATTCACAACATGTCCTGGCTGCATCTGATAAGAAAGCTTCATTGTTACCTGAAGGAGATGAAGAATCTTCGCAAACTCGTTTTCTCCAGGTGCCATCATTACTCGTCGGACAATGACCTCGAGGAATGGTTACTCACCAAATTCAGCCTGTGTTCCTCAGGCTGGAACACCTCCAATTGCTTAAAGTAAAATTGATCACCTTCTTCAGTGGGCACCTGGAACAGCTGATCAGGTGAGAAAGGATCGTGCACTTTCTCTGAAGACCACAGCACAGCCTTTTTTTGTTACAGCAAACGCTAGAAGGCATAACTTTTGTGTCAGCCAGTGGTGACATCACAGTGAAGGGGACACCAGAATATCAACACATTGTCCCATTCAGTGCTCCATGTTCTGGAGTGGCTATCACAGGATCTCTGCAATGAGGGCAGCGGGGTCACCTGGGGTAGAGGCTAGAGAGCTACATCATGTACAAGCCAGGTAGTGGGGGTTTCAGCTCTACTGGGGGGTGCATATGTGAATTTCTTGTTACAAAGTGTGTTTCAAGTTGATATGATAGGAAAGAGGTAATAGAGGAGGGTATGAAAGGAGGGACAGCGCATCAAACCTGTGCATTTCACAGTAGAAACTCTGTCCTCACCAGCTTAGTGATCACAAATGATCCTGTCTCTATTCCCTGTCTGTAAAAGGTTGTTTTGAACCCCAGGAAAGGTAACTGACATGGGAAATGTGTGCTTCTTGAATGGAGGCTGAGGGAGTAGGCGTGAGAGTGGTAAAAAGTGATAGGTGGTTTGCAGATGCAGGCACGTCAGGGAGCCCCTGCCAGTAGGTAGCCCTAGCTGATGACCCTAGACCTTGCTCAGTTGAGTTCTTCATGCACATCTCCCACCGGGTACCTGTGGCCCAGAGATGAAGTTTTCTGCTAAAAGATGAAGAAAAGAGGCTTTAGTGATGTGATTTTGTGGCCTTGAACCAATCACACAAGCAATGGTGAAAGGATTGAGGCTAAACTAGGACTGCCCCTGAATGATCAGAGTCCTCATCACAGAGCAACTTGCATGTGGACCATCATCACATGATGGGAATAAACTTGTGTTTGGGTGAAGCAGACATTTCCCTTTCAGTTATTCCCCACCACCTTCATCTAACTGGTATCACTGCCCAGAACTAACTTCTTGATCTCCACAGGTGCCTCCAGAACCCCTTGGAGAACTTGGAGTTAACTTGTGGCTACCTATTGGAAGAGGACATGAAGTGTCTGTCTCAGTACCCAAGCCTCAGCTACCTAAAGCATCTGAATCTCAGCTACGTGCTGCTGTTCCGCATCAGTCTTGAACCCCTCGGAGCTCTGCTAGAGAAAATTGCTGCCACTCTCAAGACCCTCATCTTCGAGGGCTGTCAGATCCACTACTGCCAACTCAGCGCCATCCTGCCTGGCCTGAGCCGCTGCTCCCAGCTCACCACCTTCTACTTTGGCAGAAATTGCATGTCTACGGACACCCTGAAGGACCTGCTGCGCCACACCAGTGGGCTGAGCAAGTTAAGCCTGGAGACGTATCCTGCCCCTGAGGAGAGTTTGAATTCCTTGGTTCGTGTCGATTGGGAGATCTTCGCCCCACTTCGGGCTGAGCTGATGTGTACACTGAGGGAAGTCAGGCAGCCCAAGAGGATCTTCACTGGTCCCACTCCCTGCCCTTCCTGTGGCTCATCACCGTCTGAGGAACTGGAGCTCCATCTTTGCTGCTAGGGAAGGCGTGCCTAGTGGGGTTGATAAATCCAAAGTTCTCTTCCAGGCACTTGGACACTAAAATCTAGTATGTAAGTGCAAGTTATGTTTGTTTTTTCTTATTTCCTTTTTTAATAATTCTAAAATTTTATTAAAGAACATTTGAGACAGGGTTTCGCTGTGTTGCCCCAGCTGGTCTGAAACTGCTGGGCACATGGGATTCTCCTGCCTTGGCCTCCTAAAGTGCCAGGATTACTGGCATGAGTGATTGTGACCAGGCCACATGCAACTTACAGGAAGCACAGAATTCTTTGCTTCAGGCAGGTGCTCAGTATGAGGGAAAAAAGATAACAGCAGGGGGCAAGACTGGAGGAAAATGTGGAGGTGGAGTCAATGAGACCTTACGGGACCCATGTCCTACAGAGTCAGAAAGAGAAGCTAAAGTTCTACAGTGATGAGAATGTTATCCCTGCAGGGACGGTTACCAAGAAATATCAGAAATAACCTCAATGAAAACTTTCTGGTGTCCTCTGTATTTGATTGACTTGTTTTAGCGATTTATACATCAGAAATCTCTAGTTATTGAGTTACTGATGGAAAAGTATCAAAGTACTCTGTTGTCTGTGATTGAGATTCAGCTGCAAAACATCTAATTCCCACCCATTCTTTTTCTTTGCTTTTTTTTAAAAAAAAAAAAAAAAAAAAAAAAAAAAAAGACAACATCTTGCTTTGTCACCCAGGCTGCAGTGCAGTGGTCCCATCTGGGCTCACTGCAATCCTACCCTTCGGGGCTCAAGTGATTCTCATGCCTCAGCCACTCTAGTAGGTGGAATTGCATGCAAGTGCCACCAAGCCTGCTAGTTTTTGTATTTTTAGTAGAGACGCGGTTTTTCCATGTTGACCAGGCTGGTCTTGAGCTCCTGGCTTCAGTGATCTGCTGACCTTGGCCTCCCAATGTGCTGGGATTACGGGTGTGCCAATGATCTCCACCCATTCTTTACTTCTCTTCAGTCATCTGTTTTTTCCTTACATTTTCGCCTGCAAGGAGCAGCTCAGTCAGGCACAAAGGGACGGGCAGAGAGGGGCCCCGAGGAGAAGATGGGCTTGAGGTGGTAGGCAGAGCTGGGATCAAGCTACAGGGGCCTTTGTTGGGAAGCAGAAATGGCACCTAGTTCAATGACCTGGCCAGCTATGGGGCCACTGTGCCCACCCTGCTAACAGTGCCAAGTTCCTGGGTGTCGAAGGGAGGTTCTGTGCTAATCCTCCTGGGGCTGCATTTCCAAGATCTGCCCCCCACAGGGGTGACCACAGAGACTGACGTTCCTAATTGCTGGGTCTGGGGACCACGGTCCACCCCTGGAGGCACCCCACCTTGGCAGGGTTGTGAGCCAGGCCTCTGCCCCGTGTTCCTGAGGCAGACAGCTGTGCCACCCACACCCTCTCATGGCTTAATGAGACCCGCTCCCGGGTCTGGAGCCTCTACAAAGCCTCAAACTCACTCCTCACGGCCTGCTGTTAGCCTGCAATATTCTTAACTAGAGTGCAGTTGGGGCTCATTCAACCAGACCCAGAAGCATTGGGTTTGTTTTTGCAGGGTTGGCCAGAGCTGCTGTGAACCTGCATCTCACCTGTCACCTCTGTGGAGAAACACAGAGAGAGGGCATAACTGAGGCTACATACACTTTGAACCTGATGGGATCCTGGGACAAGAGGGAGTCCTGGCCCTCCCGAGTTGGCAGGACAGTAGCTCCAAAGGCACAACTGAAGCTGCCCAGGTCGCAGTTCCAACCAAGGTCCCCCAGTGCTCTTGAGGGCTCAGGAGGTCTCCCCTTCTCCTGCAGCATGGGGGTGTCTGCTCCCACTGTGTGGTCCCTCCTGGCACCTGCTGTAATTTTGGAGCGGAGTTGGGGTCAAGCATGTATGCTGTGGCAGCCCAGATGAGCGTGTGCATGCTCAGGTTCGTGCTGATGCACCGTCTGCCTGCTGTCTTGAACACTCTGGGCTTTGGGCCCTGATGAGCATGGGAGGGAGGCTGAGAGGGGGCTGAGGACAGATCAGTGCTGGCCTTTGGATGCTCCTTGATGCAAGTGACCTGGGCGCCATGGGTGGTGGTGGGAGGCAGACAGACTCCTGGATGGGAAGACGAGGGTACCTGGTGAGGCTCTACCTTGTGACCAAGGCGGGCCTGAAGCCCGTGGGCTGGTCCACCAGTGCTATGGACCAGAGTGGGAATATGTGGTGCCTTTTCTGTGCCTGCCAATGGCTACCTATGACCCAAGCAGCACATACTTCCTTCCCCATGATGCCCCAACAGCCCCAGACTCAGGGAAAACATCAGGATGAACAGTGGCAGAGTGAAACTACCCACTCTTGGGATGATTTTCCTGCAGACAAGCAATCCACTCTGGGGCCTTTTCTCTACTGAGAGCTGTGGAGATGATGAGATGACTTTCCTGGAAAGAGCAGCAGACACCACTGTGTACTCCAGGGACAAACATGGAAGCTGCTTTTGCTGTGCCTGGTTCATTTGCAGCCTTGCAAAAATCTGGCACCTGTGCTGGCACCTGAAGCTGCCTGCCCCACTGCTGTGGGAGCCAGTGACTGTCCAAAGTGACCAGACCCCCTGCTCACTCAGACACCCCTCACTGCTCCAGTCCTGACCCTCCCTTAATAGGCATGTGATCCAGGCCTGAAGCATGAGCCAAGCATAGTCTACCAGTCTGAGTGGGCAGAACAAACCCAGTGAACCCCATCAAAACTCCGGCAAAGGTGCCCCCAGCCATAGAGGCTTCTGGCCAGAAAAGTCACATCCCAAGGATTTCATAAGAGAAAATTACTTAAACACAAAGAAAGACAATAAGAAAGGAAGGATGGAAGAGAGAAGTCTCTAACCAACCAGAAAACAAGAAATTAAATGGGAGTACTAAGCCTTTATCAATAACAACAATGAAGACAATATATCTCAGTTCTGCAAGTGAAAGTCTTAGGGTCGTTGAATGAGTAAAAGAATAAGACCATACTATATGCTGTTTTCCAGAAACTCACTTCACCTATAAGGACACATGTAGTCTGAAAGTGAAGGGGTAGAAAAAGATATTCCATGCAACACACCTGTGTTTCCAGCTAACTGGCAGACTGACATGGGAGGATCATTTCAGCCTGAGAGGCCGAGGCTGCACTGAGCCGAGATTGCACCACTGCACGCCAGCCTTAGAAACAGAGTAAGGCTCTGTCTTTCAAAAGAAGAAGAAAGAAAAGAAAAGCAAAGAAGATGTCTCTTCACATTTTATGCTGCACAGGCATTTTTTTTCTGATCTGCACTGCACTGCCAAGCCAGGTGTATTCTGTTGAGCTCACTTTGCAGCTGCCTTGCTTCTTGTTTATCCTAAGTAGCACCCAGAATAGTAGGTGGCACATTACAGGCACTCAGTCAAAGGTTTTTTTTTTTTGTTTCACATTTTTTTGTCTGTTTGTTTTGTTTGTTTGTTTGTTTTTGAGACAGAGTTTCACTCTTGTTGCCCACCCAGGCTGGAGTGCAATGGCGTGATCTCAGCTCACTGCAACCTCTGCTTCCCGGGTTCAAGCAATTCTCCTGCCACCACACCCGACCAATAGGAAGGGGAGGCACTGGATGTTAATAGTGTCAAATGTGCCAAAATCTTCTCTGTGGTTTTTCCCCAGAGTCTCCCCCTCCAGGGCCACCTGAAAATCCTCAGCCCTGGACAATGCAAGATTTTTTTTGACTGAGGATCACTGTGCTCCTTCTAGATCCATCAGAAAGTGCCAGGCAGTCTGATAGGTCCTGGTTTGACTTACATCTAGCAAGACCTTCACCTGGTTGGCAGGAGTAGATATGGGGGTCACTTGGATGACAGGGACTCCAGTCCAGACCCCATTCTACCTCATTCCCTCCTGCAAAGTTCAATCCTCACAGTCCTATGAGGCTGTGGCAAGTGCAGAGACAGAACTGCACCATATCCAACGTGCCTCCCTTCCCCTGGCCTCACACCAAGTCTCCCTCCCTCTGACATGTCCCTTGTCTTTGCATCCAAGGTGGATGTTTGCCATTGACTCTCTCTCCCCATGTCTCCCTGCTAGACTGACTCTTTGCCCCTGGGGTGAGATGGGGCAGCCACTGGAACCTCATGTAGACCAGGGTGAAATCAAAGGGCCTTAGAAACTCACAGCTCCACATCCAGGCACAGGTCCTTTGAGGATCTCAGACACAAGTCCACAGCTTATCAGGGATGCGGCTCTGTGAAAGCCAAATAACCCGGCCCCCTACCCTGCTGCCATCTCTCTCCTCTGTGCTTACTCTGGCCCACATCAGCTCCTCTGGGCCACTCCCTTTCTGGGCCCTGTTCTTTTCCTTAGTCCTCCTGGCTCCATCCAGCCTGCAGCGAGTTCCGAGACCTTCCCCACCCCAGGCTGCCACAAGCACCTTCTTAGGCATCTACTCTGCTTTCAGAGTGACTTCTCCTCAGATCTTTATTGGGGAAAAAAGGAGGGGCAGCCCCTGATCTTGGAAAAGACGGTCACAAATGCGACCTGGAATGAGATCCTGTTGAGGACTAAAGAAGTCCAGCAGGGCCTGAACAGTGATTTCTACTGTTAGAAACATGGAGAGGGCAAACACCATGGGCAAAGAAAGCCCTGACTCAGAAACAGACTCACTGCATTCCAGGTGCAGCCTCGTCAGCTCTAAGACTGGGCAAGGGGATCCTAGAAGGGATGGCCCCCTGCACTGGGACCTGTCCCAGGCTCTGCCAACAGCCTGGCACTTCTAGGAAAACCAGAGGAGTCAGCTCTTCCTGTGGAAGGCAGACAAACTTCCCCTCCATTGGTCCTGGGTGCCTCTTTAGGTCCGGAAGAGCAGCTGAGGAGCTCCCTGCTTTGTGCCTTGCTATGTGCACCCAAAAAGCTCAGTAGAATTTGGGGAGAATGTATGAGTCACTGCTGATTCCAGGGAGAGTGTCTCTTAGCATTGTTTGTGGCCATAGTCCTCGGTGCAGGAGAGATCGGCTGACATTTCCAGGAAGCAGAGGATTCAGCTTCTCTCACAGCTCAGGCTGGGGGAGGAAAACAGAAATTCAGAAATATTTTAGAGACCCCAATCAAAAGCCTGGAGAAGCTTTGGAATCCCAGTAGAAATTCTGTGAGTGGAATTGAAGTCAGGCCGTCCCTTCAGATGGGCTCTGAAAGCTACTCTGACCTGGACAGCAGAGGAGCACCTTCAGAAGCACAGGCAACCAGAACATGGTAGAAAGACCCCCCAAACTGCAGGATTCTCACTGGGGTCCTGAGGATGGTGCAGGATTCCCCCAAGAGGTTCATTTTTCTCCCAAATTCTTCAGATACACAGCTTGCACCATTCATGCTTCCAGATTGAAAAGTCTCCCTCCTTATGTCTGACCACACTGCTCCTCTCTGGGCTCTGCCCCAGCTCACACACTCAGATTCACTCTTCCCAAGCTGGTATTCTGAGGGAAGCCCATCCTGTTTGCGAGTAATGATGCTTCACCTTCCAGTAGGAGTCAAGATTGTGTCTGCCCTCTCTGCCCTCAAAGACACTGTGATGTTTTACGAGTCTGCATTATCTCTTTTGTAATTAGGTTTTTTTAATTTTTAAACTCAATGTAGAAGGAAGTCTTTCAATCCTTTTGTCTAGATGCCCACAAAATACCTGCCATGTTTTTTGTTGTCTTGGTTCCCTCCTAGGGCCCCATTAGAACAGTCAGTACTGTCCAGCCCAACCTCCACCTCACTTTGTAATTTAGGCCTGATTTCTTTCAGTGATGCCTTGACCTTAACCTTGAGATAAATTACACCCTCAGTAGTTCCTGTCTTCCACCTGAATGGGCATATGATCTACCATGTTAGGTAGCGCAAAACCCAGGTGACCAGTGGATACACTGAGATTTTTATTGTGTTTTTAGGGATGACATCACTGTCTTCTTAAAGCTGTTTTAACTCTGAAAAGTTTTGATACTTTTGATGTGGCCAAAGGTTCTCCAATAAAGATACCATATATAAATATATGTATTTCTAATGTCTGAAACAGATTAAAACCTTCCCTGTATCACTATGAAGGTCACATATTGGTAAAACTTTACCAATATTTATGGAATAAGTGAATAAATGAGTTTTAGTCCTTCACCCTATTATTAATTCTTTCACTTTCATAAATCCATATCTAATTTAATCACTTAATAAGAAGAAAGTTGAAAACTCAATCACCGTTAACTGGGTGGAAGTTCAGGATCCAGTTGGATGTCATTTTTGGATTGGAAGTTGGTAATTGAGAAGGGGGTTGTGGTGAGAAAAGTCAATAAAACTCCTGAAGATGCACAGAAGAGACCCAAAGCCCTGGCTCCTGGAGCTACTGCTTGATTCTCAGAGAGGTCCCAGCACCCTGCAAAGTGAGTCCAGATCTGGCAAGTCACCACTTATTAGGGATGTGCCCGTTTGATCTGATGTTCTGTATAGCATGTCACACAAAAGTCTGGAAGACACTAGCACATACACTGTGAAGAGAAGTCTCAAAAAAAGGGAAGGTTATAGAAGACACTTGCTCTGTGTTTTTGGAATGTTTTGCATTGAGAATTCTGTCCAGAGAAGGGAAAAAGAATGAAAAACAAAGGAAGCTCACCCAAATGTACCTCTATGTACCTTTTACCATGCTGGACTTTCTTTTGTTTTGTTTTCTTTTCTCTCTCTCTCTCTTTTTTTTTTTTTTTTTTGATATGGCATCTCGCTCTGTTGCCCAGGCTGGAGTGCAGTGGCATGATCTTTGATCACTGTAACCTCCACCTCCTGGGTTCAAGCAATTCTCCTCCCTCGGCCTCCCCAGTAGTTGGGATGATACTTGCCACCACGCCCAGTTAATTTTTGTATTTGTTTTTATTATACTTTAAGTTTTAGGGTACATGTGCACAATGTGCAGGTTAGTTACACATGTATACATGTGCCATGTTGGTGTGCTGCACCCAGTAACTTGTCATTTAACATTAGGTATATCTCCAAATGCTATCCCTCCCCACTCCCCACACAACAGGCCCCAGTGTGTGATGTTCCTCTTCCTGTGTCCATGTGTTCTCATTGTTCAATTCCCATCCTATCACAAGGACAAAAAAACAAACACCGCACGTTCTCACTCATAGGTGGGAATTTTTGTGTTTTTAATAGATACAGAGTTTCACCGTGTTGCCCAGACTGGTCTCGAACTCCTGACCTGAAGTGATCCATGCGCCTCAGTCTCCCAAAGTGCTGGGATTACAGACGTGAGCCACCACACCGGGCCAATTGCTGGACTCTCATGTCACACATGGATATGGTATCACAAAGGCAATTTTTTCCATAATCCAATGTATTTATATTATTGGTAGTGAGCTAATGTTGACGTCCCTAAGTTAGCAATTCAGTGGCTATACCCATGACAAACGTTTCCATGCATCACGTGGTCAACAGCATTTGCTTCTGGGTTCAAGAGATTCTCTTGCCTCAGCCTCCTGACTATCTGGGATTACAGGGGCCCGTCACCACCCCAGGCTAATTTTTTGTATTTTTAGTAGGGACGGGTTTTTACCACATTGGCCAGGCTGCTCTCAAATTCCTGACCTAGTGATCTGCCTGCCTCGGCCTCCCAAAGTGCTGGGATTACAGGCGTGAGCCACCACGCCTGGCCATTAACCATTCTTAAAATATCACATTGCATTCTTTAAAAGTTTTATATCTTTCATATACATAAATTACAACACAAATATTTATACTCAACTAGTATTCACATTATAGTAAATTTTCTTTTCTTGCTCTGTTGCCCAGGCTGGAGTGCAGTGGTGCGATCTCAGCTCACTGCAACCTTCGCCTCCCGGGTTCAAGCGATTGTCCTGCCTCAGTCTCCTGAATACCTGGGATTACAGGCGAATGCCACCACGCCCAGCAATTTTTTTTGTATTTTGAGTAGAGACGGGGTTTCACCATGTTGGCCAGGCTGGTCTCAAAATCCTGACCTGAAGTGATCTGCCCGCCTCAGCCTCCCAAAATGCTGGGATTACAGGTGTGAGACACCAAGCCTGGCCATGACAATGGCCTCAGCCTCCCAAAGTGCTGGGATTACAGACATGAGCCACCGCTCCTGGCTCATAATAGTAAATTTAAAAAAATACCATATAATATAATCCTTGCAACATTAAATTACACCATCTGATCTGATCTACCAGCAGATGGCACCCGAGACCTATGGATTGGACATTTTACTCTTCTTAGGAATGAATCCAGTCCAGAAATGCCCACCCTGCCCCCTGCTGGCTCCTGGGGCTCTGCTGTTTGGGGGAGTCATGATGAAGTTGTGGCAGAGGGTAGAAGATGAGCCCCATTGCATGCCCTGGGTTCTTGTTGCCTCCCTGTTATCAGGAATAGGAGGTGAGATAGATTGAAAGATGAAAATTGCTGGGACTTCTGCTGAGAAGAGAAAAAAGAACAAGATGTATTCATCTAACTGTATGCCAGTCCCCATGCCAAGCCCTAAACATGAACCATCTTATTGGATCCTTGCAGGGTCCTATAAGCCGTTGGACATCATCCTCATTTTACAGGGACCTGAGGCTCTTGGTTAAGATCCCTGACAGCAATACCAGCCCCTGAATCCTCAGCAGGATCCTTCACTTGGGTGCCCATTATGCAGGCTTCCTCAGCACAGGGAAGGTCACTCATCACCCACAGGCACTTGATTGTTATCCACCCTTTGATGATGTGAGATTCCAGAACACGCTGCACTGGTCTCTTCCTTGATAGGGAGAGAGGGGAGGTGTTATGAGAAAATCTCTCATCGATCTGACCTAGCTCCCTAATAAGAAGTAACTTTTTAAATGTCAGATGGAAATATTTAAAAAGTGTTACATACCTGTGTAGTTTTAGTATTTTACTTAAAGGGAATGTGGCTGTCTTTACTGGCTACAACCAGTTTAATTCAAGAAGGGCTGCTAGTCATCAGGGGAACAAGCAAGGGTTGGTGCTGCCCAGAGTCTCCAGCTAATACACAATATGGACATCCCCTTCCAGGGCAGCGGGAAGAGAGTGGCTCCTTGTGCAGTGAAGCTGACATCCACCAACTAAGGCTTCTGGAACCATGTGGAGACTCACAAGGAGTGGGCAGGGTCTCAGCATCTGGCTAGCAGTGAAAGACCCTGAGAAGAAGGTGCTTTCCACGTGGATTGGCTCACTGTTCTTGCCCAGTAATGTTCCAGACCCTTGGTTTCCACCTAGTGTGTATTAACCCACTGAACAGCCACAGAAACTAACAAGGAATTAACAGACATCTAAAGAAGTGAAGAACTGGAGGAGGCCAAGCCAATCGTGGTGGTCCACGCCTATACTCCCTGCATTTTGGGAGGCCAAGGCAGGAGAATCACAAGCTCAGGAGTTCCAGATCAGCCTGGGCAAGACAGCGAGACCTTGTCACCACTTAAAAAAACAAGCAAACAGGCATGGTTGCTCACACGCCTGTAGTCCTAGCTCCTCAGGAGGCTGAGGTGGGAGGATCGCTTGAACCCAGGAAATTGAGGCTGTAGTGAGCTATGATTGTGCCGCTGCACTCTAGCCTGAGTGACAGGAGACCTTTAAAAAACAAAAACAAAAACAAGCCTGACACAGTGGCTCACGCCTGTAATCCCAGCACTTTGGTAGGCCTACTTGCGTGGATCACCCAAAGTCAGGAGTTTGAGAACAGTCTGACCAACATAGTGAGGAAACCCTGTCGCTACTAAACATACACAAATTAGCTGGGCATGGTGGTGCATGCCTGTAATCTCAGCTACTTGGGAGGCTGAGGCAGGAGAATCATTTAAACCCCAGGTGGAGGTTGCAGTCAGCTGAGATGGCACCATTGCACTCTAAACTCCAACCTGGTCAACAAGCGTGAAACTCTGTCTCAAATAAAAGAATGGGAGGAAACTGATTACAATAACCAAATTTCATTTAAATGCCTTGATTTTCTTGGGTAGCATCTTATTGATTGGACAACTCAGTGCCTTTTGTTTTTTCCATCAATAACTGAAGATTCCTGAGGCTTAAACTGGAAAACAGGTTACTTAATAATAGAGGGCACTAGACAGTTACCACTCAGTTTTCCTTTATTTCTGATTGTTTCTTTACAACCATCCATGCAAGAGTAACTCCCTCATGTATTCTCAAGCCTCCACTCTAGACATTCAAATTCCCATTTTCCACTCTACAGGACACAGGTCCCCAAAGTCCCATCGAATCCATGGCAACACTTCCCCCAAGTCCTGCCCCTGCTTGATCACCTTCCCTTTCCCACTTTCAGAGCCCATGTGTGAAATGATGGGTTCTGTGCTCCCTATAGGATGTACCTAAGACCTAGGTTTTAGTTTCCAAGTGTCCAGAAGAAAGCGTTTGACATATCCACCCAAATAGGCAGGCATTCAACAGCAGCATTGATCTGCCTCCAGGTCATAAAATGACCTGTTGCCACAGTCAGGGCAGCAGTCAGTACAGAACAAGATCCTCTTGGGGTGCCTTAAGTCCCTCACTCTCTTCATCAGCTCAGCCCTAATTTGAGCAAATCTGCTCCAGCAGAGAGTACCATCAGCATCATAACTCTCCCGGGGGGCAGGATACAGCTCCACGCATAAGTTTTTGAGTATGATTGTGTGGCTCAGCAGGTTCTCCAGGGTGGCCATGGAGATGGGATTTCCACAGAAGCTGAAGGTGTTGAGCTCAAAGCAGCGGCTCAGGGCAGGCAGGATGGCGTTGACTTGGGAGTCTATGATGCCACAGTCATCTAAATCCAGGTACTCAAGGGTGGCTGCAACTTTTTCTAGGAGAATTTGGAGAGGCACAAGACTGTAATTGGTCAGTCTGATGCCACTCAGGTCCAGGGTCTTTAGTTGACTGATACTCGGGCACTGGGATAGATGCTTCAAGTCTGATTCCAAAAGCACACAGTTAGTTATTGTGAGGACCTTTAACGAGGTCTTCAGACAGCTGGGGAGAGAGAGCAAGAAGTTAATTCTGGGGAATCATAGGGGTGAGTGGAGGGTGGTGGGGAATGGCTTCAAGGTAATGGATGGAGACCATTTTGCCCAAGTCCAGGGTCATTCTGATGGCCTGATGGTCAACACTTAGGATGATGTGTGATGAAGAGTTTTGCCACCGAGGTCAATTCCACTTTAGGCCCGGCCCAGTAACTCACACCTGTAATCCCAGCACTTTGGGAGGCTGAGACTGGTGGATTCCTTGAGATCAGGAGTTTGAGACCAGCCTGCTGAACATGGCAAAACCTCCTCTCTACTAAAAATCCAAAAATTAGCCAGGTGTGGTGGCGGGAGCCTGCAATTCCAGCTACTTGGGAAGCTGAGGCAGAAGAATCGCTTGAACCCAGGAGGTGTAGGTTGCAGTGAGCAGAGATCATGCCACTACACTCCAGCCTGGGTGACAGAGAGAGACTCCGCATTAAAAAAAAAAAGGAGAAAAAAATAATTCCATTTGAGGCTGAGTCACTTCACCATCATTTATAGGAATGGATCAAGTTCACAGAATCCCTAAAGCTCCCTTTCCTCATCTGTCAGGCAGAAAACCACATCCCTGGGCCACAGGAGCCCAGTGGAGATTCAGGCATAAAGGACAAACCCAGACAGGATCCTGCAACATCAGCTACGGTGGGCGGGCTGCAGGCGTCCCTGACAAGCCTGTATCATCAGCAAACCATCTATCACTTTCACCATTCTTTGTGCCTGCTCCCTGACCCTCTGTTTCAGAATCATGCATTTCCTAGGTAATTAATTTACCTGGAGCTCAAAAGAAACTTTTACAACACGGAATTAGAGATGGGATCATTCATGTTCACGAAACTGTGGGGCACAAAGCTGATTTTCTGACATGTGCAGGTTTGCTGAGCATTCCCCTCTTCAGTGCCCACTTCACTTCCCTACTTCACATCATCTTCTTAAAAATTATCTTGTTGGCTGGGCGTGGTAGCTCTCGCCTATAATCCCAGCACTTTGGGAGTCCAAGGTGGGTGGATCACCTGAAGTCAGGAGTTGGAGAATAGCCTGGCCAACATGGTGAAACCCTGTCTCTACTTAAAATATAAAAATTAGCCAGGTGTGGTGGCTCACGCCTGTAATCCCAGGCACTCAGGAGGCTGAGGCAGGAGAATCGCTTGAACCTGGGAGGCAGAAGTTGCTGCGAGCTGAGATGTCACAACTGCACTGTAGCCTGGACGATCAAAGTGAAACTCCATCTCAGAAAAGAAAGTTATCTTGTTTGTTTTTACTTTTATTTATTCATTTCTGACAGGGGTCTTGGTATGTTACCCAGACTGGTCTTAAACTCCTAGGCTCAAGCTATCCTCTTGCCTCAGACTCCCAAACTGCTAGGATTACAGGCATGAGCCACCGCCCCTGGCCTATTTTTCATCATCTTAACTTAGACACACATCCTCAGGAAGAATTCAGAAAGGCACCCTCACTAGATCTGAACCCCCCAGGAGCTAGCTTCCTAGCATGGCAGCCTCTCCATAGCATCTCCCCTAGCTGATCCCTCTGCCTCTATTGGGAGGGTTGCATGATACCCATTTCAGGACAGGGCCGCCAACAGGACAATGCATGGACATTCTAGTGTCCCCTTCACTGTTTCATCCTCATAGGCTGGCTCACAGTAGATGCCCACTAGCGTTTACTGTAACAGGCTCTGCTGTGGTCTGCAGAGAAAGCTCACCACCCTCCCTCACCTGAGCAGCTGGTCCAGGTGGCCTTCGAGGAAAGAAACAGAGTTCATAGAAAGCTTTTGGAGGCAGCACAGCTTGAGGAACTGAGTGGTGAACTGGGTAACAATCTCCTTCTTCTGCTCTGGGGAAACGTAGCGAGAGACATCCATGTGGGAGAGAACGAGCTTCTGAAGATTCCTCATGTGGCCCAGGTATGGGGTAAACTGTGTCAGGATGGGCAGTACCCACTTGCAATTCACTTCCACCTCCTGGATACAGTCTAGGTTCACCATTTTCAGGATGCTTCTGATATTGCGGAAGGGCATTCCCAAAATTTTCAGCTTCTTACAGCACAGGTGTAGTAAATCTTTCCTCTGCTTGACCCATAGAAGGAGGCAGGTGAGGTATTCATCCAGAGTCCTGTTCTTGAGCCAAAGTTCTACGAACACAGTCAAGGGCTGCTGTCCTCTCATCCTTGGACAGTCCTGCACTGGTGTTTTGTTCCTCTTGGCATTGAGGAAGCACCCACGGGCCATAGCTTCAGACCAAACCATCCAGAAGTTCTCACAGACATCCTGTAAATCCAGCACTTGAAGTTTCC
Organism: Homo sapiens; assembly: GCF_000001405.40. Classification (NCBI taxonomy): domain Eukaryota; kingdom Metazoa; phylum Chordata; class Mammalia; order Primates; family Hominidae; genus Homo; species Homo sapiens. Next base: position 123,074 of record NW_012132914.1, read on the forward strand.
ACCTCCTGTGGGAAAATAGAGGTGAGAATGAGAATTTCAGAACTCATTTCTGAACTTAAACTCCACATCCTGCATAGCAGCTCCTCCCCTCCCTGCTTCTTCTCCCTCTCTCTGACTTTTCTTCACCCTGTTTTCCCCTTGGATCCTGCCCACTTCCACATTTTTTTGTTTTTCTTTTGAGACCAAGTCTCCCTCTGTCACCCAGGCTGGAGTGCAGTGGTGTGATGTCACCTCACTGCAACCTCTGCTTCCCGGGTTCAAATGATTCTCCTGCCTCAACCTCACAAGTAGCTGGGATTACAGGAACCCACCACCATGCCCAGCTAATTTTTGTATTTTTAGTAGAGTTGGGGTTTACCATGTTGGACAGGCTGGCCTCCAACTCTTGGCCTCAGCCTCCCAATGTGCTGGGATTACATTGTGAGCCACCGTGCCCGGCCCAGTTCTCACTTTTCATGGTGCCTTTCAGTGCCATTAGAGGAGAGGTTCCTGTTACCTCCATGGACCTTGCGTGGTGAGCAGTGCTTTCCCTGAGGAGCTGGTGAATGGCCAAGTCCTCTCGGCTTCCTCACCACCACCATCCCCCTTGGGCCTCCTCACTTGTCATGACACAGCTCTTCCTTTGGTTGGATACCTGGGCCCTCCCCACCAGCCCACCTGGGCCACCTCACCTGGGATGAACCCCTTGGGTAAGCAGTGCATCCAGCCCATCGAGCACAGCTTGGAAGGCCTCCAGACAAGGCATCTTTATCAGAGGCCTCAGAGGGAGGCGGCGGAAGGGCCAGGCCTGCACCATCAGCTTCAGGGCCTCACAGCGTCTCCTGCTGAAGGCCTCCATGAACAGTGGGGGGAAAAGTTCTGTGGGCAGCTCCTCCAGGGTGGACATGGCCAAGGCTTGGTCCCTCAGCAGGCTCCGCCCTGCAAGCTCCAGGAGTCTGGGTGGAGTCCGGATGCTCATCTTCACGAATCTGCAGGGAAAACTTCCAGAGGACAAACCCAGAGAAAAGGCATCACTCTCAGGCCAAGCCCATGCAATCTTATCTTCTCCCAAGGCCAAAGTCACTGCTCTGGCAATGGTGAAACAGCCCTCAGTTTACTCCAATTCTGCCCTGTACTCAGTGGCCATTAAGCCAGCATTCTGCCTCTGCTGCATCAGCATGAGCGTCTCCGAAGCAGTGAGGAAGCAGGGCCACCACGAGCCCTTCCTTTCTATCCAGTGCTCCATCCAGTGACTAGTGAGTGTGGAGGAACCTGAAAGTGAACCCCTCCTACCATTGGGGGAAATTACTAATTACTCAAGGTTCTAAAACAATGGGAATGGGAATGTCACAAGCCTACATGCCCACATTTTCAGTTCCTACAAATAAGCTTGTTGGGAACATTCATGGGGCATCCCTAGAACAGGTTCTATTTGTTTTCTTTTCATTATTTAAGCTTGCTTTCTCTTTCTCTCTCTTTCTTCTTTCCTTCTTTCCCTCTCTCCCTCCCTTCTTTCTTTCTTTCCTCCTCTCTCTCCCTCTTTCTTTCTTTCCCCCTCTCTCTGCCTTCTTTCTTTCTTGTCTTCTTTCCCTGCATCCCTTCTCTCATTCTCTCTCTCTTTCTCTCTCTCCCTCTCTCACTCTTTCTGACAGGGTCTTGCTCTGTCACTCAGCCTGGAGTGTAGTGGTGGGATCTCAGCTCAGTGCAGCCTTGACCTCCCAGCTCAAAGGATTCTTCCTCCTCAGCCTCCCAAGTAGCTGGGACCACAGTTATGCATCACCACACCCAGCTCATCTTTTATTTTTTGACTTTTTGTAAAGACAGTGGATTTCGCTATGTTGTCCAAGCTGGTCTTGAACTCCTAGTCTCAAGCAATCTACCCCTGTTGGCCTCCCAACATACTGGGATTATAGGTGTGAGCCTCCACCCCTGCCTCATTATTGAAAATTTCAGTGAGAAGCTCTGAAAGCTATGTGACACTGTTATGCATTACTCACAAGATAGATGTTTCCAATGCACACCTCTTACACATATTCAAAGTGAACCACTTTGGCTGGGTGCAGTGACTCACACCTGTAATCTGAGCATTTTGTGAGGCCGAGGCAGGTGGATCATCTGAGATCAGGAGTTCAAGACGAGCCTGGCCAACATGGTAAAACCCTGCCTCTACTAAGACAGCAAAAATTAGCCAGGTGCAGTGGTCTGCGCCTGTAGTCCAAGCTACTAGGGAGGCTGAGGTAGGAGGATCGCTTGAATCCAGGAGGCAGAAGTTGCAGTGAGCTGACATTATACCACTCCACTCCAGCCTGGGAAATAGGCTAGATTGAACAGAGAGACAGAGAGAGCTACATTTGATTAGAATTCTTAATCTCTACCCAGTTAATCCTGATTGGATTTTTGCCTTTCTTAAATATTAACTGATCAAATTAGATATTCATTCATCAAAATGAAAGATTTAGGGATAGGGTGAAAGTCCAGGACTCATTCACTGATTCCCTTCACAAACATGGGGTTTTACTAATATGTGTCCTTCAAAGTCCTGAGTGTGAGACAGGGAAGGGTTGAACCTCTTCCTGATATTAGACAGAAAGAAAGAAAACTTGAAAGTATCTTTGTTGAGGGATCCTTGGCCATGCCAAGTTTATCAAAATATTTCAGGGTTAAAACAGTTTTCAGAGACAGAGATGACAGTCCCTAAGAAAACACAATAGAAATCTTCATATATCCAATGATCACCTAGGTGGCATAAGTCTTTTTGGTGTTGAGGGAGCTGAATCTCACTTCATCGGCCAGGCTAGAGTGCAGTGGTGTCATTTCGGCTCACTGTTGCCTCGGCCTCCAAGATTCAAGCAATTCTCATGCTTCAGCCTTCCACATAGCTGGGACTACAGGCATGCACCCCCTGCAGCCATGTCTCCATTTGGGTGGAAGAGGATGTGATTGGTTTAAAATTAAGGTCAAAGATCCTTTTTGATTGATTTTGTTTTTGTTTTTTGGACAGGGTGTCTCTCTTTTGCCCAGGCTGGAGTACAGGAGTGGTATGAGCATGGCTCACTGCAGCCTCAATCTTCTGGTCTCAAGTGATTCTCCCACACCAGACACCCAAATAGCTGGGACTACAGATGCATGTCACCATGCTCGGCTAATTTAAAAAAAAAAAAGTAGAGGCCAAGCACCAGTGACTCACAGCTGTAATCCCAGCACTTTGGAAGGCCAAGGCAGGTGGATCACTTGAGGTCAGGTGTTCGAGACCAACCTGGCCAGCATGGTGAAACCCCACCTCTACTAAAAATACAAAAATTAGCCAGGCATGGTTTCAGATGTCTGTGACACCAGCTTCTGAGGATGGAGACTGAGGCATGAGAATTGCTTGAACCCGGGAGGTAAAGGTTGCAGTGATTTGAGATCGTGCCACTGCACTCCAGTCTGGGCAACACAGTGAGACTCCATCCCCACCCTCAAAAAAAAAAAACGTTGTGTAGAGGAGGGCTTTTGTCATGTTGCCCAGGTTGGTCTCAAACCCCTGGGCTGAAATGATCCTCCCACTTTGGCCTCCCAAAGTGTTGGGGTTAAAGGCATGAGTTATTGCTCCCTTCAAGAATTTTAAAATGGCATCAACCAAAGCACAATCAACTTTTTTGAAATAAAGACAGAACTGCATTTAGAGGAAAACATTCAAAGCTTCAAATTGTTCATATGAAAAAAAAAAAGGACAGGATATAGCTCTGTGCCATCGTAGGCTGTACTGTCACCACCCCAGACCGACTGACTGTAGGTCAGATGGGAGTGTCCTTACAGAAATTAGTGACTTACCAGATCTGGATGTAGTCTAGAAGGTGCTCAGTCCTCAGGAAGAACCAAGCAGGAACTCTAGGCTTGAAGACTTTGGGTCTCTCCTGTGGGTCTTTAGAAGCTTTTATTGACCTTTCTAATCACAACTCCCACCCACGCCCCTGCACATATCCGCTGCGACCTTCCAATCAAAAAATGATATCTGATTGCATTTGTGAAGCTCCACCCAGTTAATCCTGATTGGGTTTTTGGCTCTCCCCAGATTACCGGATTGAATCAGATGTCCATTCATATCACATATCTATATTCACTTCATGAAGCAAGAAATCGACAGTGTTAGGGATAGGGTAGAAGTCAAGAATACATTCATTCAAGGCCAGACGAAGTGGCTCACACCTGTAATCCCAGCACTCTGGGACGCAGAGGTAGGTGGATTATCTGAGGTCAGGAGTTTGAGACAAGCCTGGCCAACATGGTAAAACCCTACCTCTACTAAAATTACAAAAATTAGCCAGTTGCGGTGGTCTGTGCCTATAGTCCAAGCTACTAGGGAGGCTGAGACAGGAAGATCGCTTGAACCCAGGAGGCAGAGGTTGCAGTGAGCTGACAATACACCACTGAACTCCAGCCTGGGAAATAGGCTAGATTCAAAAAAAAAAAAAAAAAAAAAAAAAAAAAAAAAAAGAAAAAGAAAAAGGAGAGAGAGAGAGCTAGATTTGATTCGAATTTACCCAGTTAATCCTGATTGGATTTTTGGCTTTCTTCCAGATTTACTGATGGAATTAGATATTCACCCATCAAAGTGAAAGATTTAGGGATGGGGTGGAAGCCCAGGACTCATTCACTGATTCCCTTCACAAACAAAATGGGGTTTTATTAATATGTGTCCTTCACAGTCCTGAGTGTGAGATAGGGAAGGGTTGAATCTCTTCCTGATATTAGACAGAAAGAAAAAACTTGAAAGTATCTTTGTTGAGGGATCCTCGGCCACATCAAATTTATCAAAATATTTCAGAGTTAAAACAGTTTTCAAAGACAGAGTTGACAGTCCCCAAGAACACACAATAGAAATCTTCATGTATCCAATGATCACCTGGGTGGTATAATCTAATTTTTTTTGGTGTGGGGGAAGCTGAGTCTCACTTTGTCGCCCAGGCTGGAGTGCAGCGGCGCCATCTCAGCTCACTGTAACCTCCACCTCTGAGATTCAAGCAATTCTCATGCTTCAGCCTTCCACGTAGCTGGGATTACAGGCATGCACCCCCACACCCATGTCTCCATTCGAGTGGAAGAATTACAGTGAGGACGTGATTGGTTTAAAATTAAGGTCATAGATCCTTTTTGGTTAAGATATTGTTTTTGTTTTTTGGACAGGGTCTCTCTCTTTTGCCCAGGCTGGAGTACAGCAGTGGTGTGAGCATGGCTCACTGCAGCCTCAATCTTCTGGGCTCAAGTGATTCTCCCACACCAGCCACCCAAATAGCTGGGACTACAGATGCATGTCACCATGCTCGGCTAATTAAAATAAAAAAAAGTAGAGGCCAAGCACCAGTGACTCACAGCTGTAATCCCAGCACTTTGGGAGGCCAAGGCAGGTGGATCACTTGAGGTCAGGTGTTCGAGACCAACCTGGCCAGCATGGTGAAACCCCACCTCTACTAAAAATACAAAAATTAGCCAGGCATGGTTTCAGATGTCTGTGACACCAGCTTCTGAGGATGGAGACTGAGGCATGAGAATTGCTTGAACCCGGGAGGTAAAGGTTGCAGTGATTTGAGATCGTGCCACTGCACTCCAGTCTGGGCAACACAGTGAGACTCCATCCCCACCCTCAAAAAAAAAAAAACGTTGTGTAGAGGAGGGCTTTTGTCATGTTGCCCAGGTTGGTCTCAAACCCCTGGGCTGAAATGATCCTCCCACTTTGGCCTCCCAAAGTGTTGGGGTTAAAGACATGAGTCATTGCTCCCTTCACGAATTTTAAAATGGCATCAACCAAAGCACAATCAACTTTTTTGAAATAAAGACAGAACTGCATTTAGAGGAAAACATTCAAGCTTCAAATTGTTCATATGAAAAAAAAAAGGACAGGATATAGCTCTGTGCCATCGTAGGCTGCACTGTCACCATCCCAGACCGACTGACTGTAGGTCAGATGGGAGTGTCCTTACAGAAATTAGTGGCTTACCAGATCTGGATGTAGTCTAGAAGGTGCTCAGTCCTCAGGAAGAACCAAGCAGGAACTCCAGGCTTGAAGACTTTGGGTCTCTCCTGTGGGTCTTTAGAAGCTTTTATTGACCTTTCTAATCACAACTCCCACCCACGCCCCTGCACATATCCGCTGCTACCTTCCAATCAAAAAATGATATCTGATTGCATTTGTGAAGCTCCACCCAGTTAATCCTGATTGGGTTTTTGGCTCTCCCCAGATTACCGGATTGAATCAGATGTCCATTCATATCACATATCTATATTCACTTCATGAAGCAAGAAATCGACAGTGTTAGGGATAGGGTAGAAGTCAAGAATACATTCATTCAAGGGTGGGTGAGGTGGTTCATAGCTGTAATTCCAGCACTTTGGAAGGACAAGGTGAGTAGATCACCTGATGTCAGGGGTTCAAGACGAGCCAGGTCAAAAAGGTGAAACCCTGTCTCTACAAAAATACAAAAATACAAAAATTAGCTGGGCATGATGGCAGGTGCCTGAAACCCAGCTACTTGGGAGGCTGAGGCAGGAGAATTGCTTGAACCCAGGAGGCAATGGTTGCAGTGAGCCAGAATTGTGCCACTGCACTCCAGTCTGGGTGACAGAGGGACATTCTGTCAAAAAATAAAAAAATCATTCATTCATGAACTCCACAAACACTGATGGTATTTTACTAATATGTGAACTTCATAGTCTTGAGTGACAGGCAGGGAAGGATTTGATCTGTTCCCAACATTAGACAGAAAAATAAAATCTGAAAGTAGTGTTGTTAGGAAATCTTTGGCCACATCAAAATATAAAAATGCTTTCTACTTTAAAAAGCTTTATAAAAACAGAGGAGTCGTCCCTAGGAAATCAGAATAAAAATCTCAACGTATTGAATGGTCTTCGGGATTTTGTATAACCTAAGGTAGCAGATTACATGCTCGTTCTGGTGGAGGAGAGGTGCCACTGAGGGCGTGAGTGGTCTCAGGGCTTAGGTTAAGTCTTCTTTGGAAGAAATTGAAGCCACATCGATAAACTTTATAAATTTAATCAGTGAAGAAGGGAGGGAGAGAAACAAAAATAAACCAAGCTTGGAACACATTCAGCATTCATCAGGAGGTCTTCTTGCTCTCTGACCTGGTTCCTCATGGTTGCTGGCAACCTACTGTTCCAAAATCATATAGACCTTAGATTACAGTTCCCCTTAACTTCCCTGCAGACAACCATTTAAGCATTGTAAAACATTAACTTTTTCATCTGAGATATTCTTTCAGGTTCTGCATGTCAGTGAATCTACTGATGCCAGCTGATCTGAAGGGCCCTGCAATGCACCAACTCACCAAAGAATGCAGTTTCTACATCCTGTTGACTTCTTCCCTCTTACCGCTACCCCAACTTTCCAGCCCCTTGCTATCCAGGATCCACTGGAAACCCTCAGTACTCCTTGGGGAGATGAATTTGAGGATCTCCTCCTAGCTTCTCATTCAGCCACCTTGTGATCATTAAACTCTCTGCTGCAAACCCTGCTGTCTCAGAATATTGCTAAGCTACTGTGCAGCAGGCATAGGAACCTGATGGTCCTGTAATAAAGTCATGTCAAAATTACAAATGGAAGTGAGGGTGGAGCTGGTCAGGGTTGAGCTGGGTTTTTAATGGGAACCTGGGAGTGAAGCAAGACTTGCTGAACATGTTGGGGGTTATCGAGTGGGTGTAAGAGGAATCTATCTAACATTGCACTGATGCCCTTTTGGTTTTAATCCTCATGACCAAGTATGAGTCTTTCAAAACAATTTGTATAATCCTCCTTATTTTTCCTTTCAAAACCTTCAACTTCCTTTATCTCCCCAAATAATCTCACATCTATTCCCATTTCTTTGCTTACTACATAATAAACATTTTTTTTACAGAGTCTTCTTCTCTGTTAAGTAGACCACATATGTTGTTGCCACACAAGATGAGCAACCTGGTTCTATGGACAGAAAGGGTCAAAAGGATCCCATTCCTCAACAGCTGGGGGTGATGTAAAGGTCATGGTTATTCTTTGTCATATCTGCACCTGCATATTGCCAGTGAAAACTTGCAGGTTACATTGGGCAGGCTTCCAAATTCACCACCTGTGGAAGGTCTTTTGCTTGGCTTACATCCTGTCCCTGAGTAAAGAATCTCATGGTGAGTTCATGAGTGCCTCAAACTCTGCAAGTATTGATGAAGGCTTCCACCCACTGACAGTGAGAAGGCACTGATTTGCTTCTGATCATGAAGTTTTGCTGGTTGTCTTGCAAGGAATATGTTTTATTCTTTTATCTTGTCATCTAAAGCCAATGATTGTAACCTCTGTATTGTCTCTTCCAATGGAAAAAACGAAAACAAAAACTCAACTCTATTTGAGCCTTGTCAGGTCAATAAAACAAAAGAAAATTTAAAAAAATAATTGATAGGAGGAGTCCCATTCCCAGCCTGGGCAATAGAGTGAGACTCCATCTCAAAAGAAAAAAAAAAAAAGGCCGGGCACGGTGGTGGCTCACACCTGTTATCCCAGCACTTCAGGAGGCCAAGGCAGGTAGATCCCGATGCCAAAAAATTGAGACCATCCTAGCCAACATGGTGAAACCCTGTCTCTGCTAAAAATACAAAAATTAGCTGAGCATGGTGGCGCCCACCCATAGTCCTAGCTACTCGAGAGACTGAGGCAGGAGAGTCGCTTGATCTCAGGAGGAGGAGGTTGCAGTCAGCCAAGATTTCACCACTGTACTCCAACTTGGTGACAGAGCGAGACTCCATCTCAAAACAAACAAACAACGAAACAAACACAAATGAACAAACAAAGGAAAAAGCTGGAAAAATAAATTCTGAAAGAATTTCCATCTCTATGAATTCATCTTCAGAAGTGATAGCATTTCCTGCTTGGCATTTTTCGCCTACATTTTTGGCATAAGATCTATCAACAAAAAAGTATGAACCCAGGTTTGTGTAATGGAATATCTTAAACATCAATAGGAGGAGTCAATAGTTCTGATGCCACACACACATATATGGTCTTCTCCATCATCAGAAAATGGCAACAAAGTGGTAGAGTTATGCAGAGTGTAGCATTTGAAATGGAGATTTGAAGGTGACAAGGAAAGGATTTTGTAAGACATTAGTGTACAAGTTGAGCAATGTTGGTTCCTGTCACAGTATTTTTAGTTATTTTTTTATTTATTTTATTCATTTATTTTTTGAGATGGAGTCTCACTGTGTCACCAGGCTGGAATGCAGTGGCACGATCTCAGCTCATTTCAACCTCTGCCTCCCCGGTTCAAGCAATTTTCCTGCCTTAGCCTCCTAAATAGCCGGGACTACAGGTACATGCCACTACACCTGGCTAATTTTTTGTATTTTTAGTAAAGACGGGGTTTCACCATATTAACTAGGATGGTCTCAATCTCCTGACTTCGTGGTCTGCCTGCCTCGGCCTCCCAAAGTGCTGGATTACAGGCCTCAGCCACCATGCCTGGTCGGTTCACATCAAAATTTAAGAGGTATTCAATTGCATATGAAACTTGTAGGCAAAATTTATTTCTTTTTTCTTTAAAGCATTAATTTATTTATTTATAATGTATTTATTTATTAATTTTTTTTTGAGATGGAGTTTTATTCTTGTTTTCCAGGCTAGAGTTCAATGGTGCGATCTCAGCTCACTGCAACCTCTGCCTCCCGGTTCAAGTGATTCTCCTGCCTCAGTCTCCCAGTTAGCTGGAATTACAGGCACAGGCCACCACACACAGCTAGTTTTTGTATTTTTAGTAGAGACAGAGTTTCACCATGTTGCCCAGGCTGGTCTGGAACTCCTGACCACAGGTGATGCACCCACCTCGGCCTCTGAAAGTGCTGAGATTACAGGTGTGAACCACCGTGCCCGGCCTACACTCATCACTTTTAATACTTTCTACATCACATGAGGAAGAAGAGCAGAAACACTTGAGTACTTCATGAAGGTCAAGGTTGGTATGAGTTTGGGTTCTAATATGATCAATTTCTGCTTCTAGGGAACCAAGCAGCTCAGGTTAAGGAAGGTCAGGAAACTCTAGGGTTTTCTCTCCCTTCAAAGAAAGCTTTACGTATCACCTTAATGGAGAAAGCAAATCTCATCCCCATGTTGTCACCTAATAAAAAGCCATACTTTCCTAAAAATGGTCCAAATGTCATTTGGACTGCTTTGAACACAGGAATTTTCTGAGCTTCATGTGAAGCTTTCAGTGAATTTCATGTGAATTCACTCCTGGTCCAATGAAGCCATTTCCTGGCATGGCCAAAGATCAGGAACGGATTCCTCTGGATCTGTCCATTAGGAGTGAGCAGGGTCTCAGTATCTGGGGAGCAGTGAGGGCCCCTGAGAAGAGGGTAGGTTTCAGTGGCTCATCATCACTGCCCACACAGAATGTTCCAGGCCCCAAGTGTGCATCCTTTGTGAATGAACCCAGTGAACAGGCATGGGAGAAATTAAGGAAGAAACAGATGACTGAAAGGAAGCAAAAAATGAGTGAGAACTAATCAAAATGATCACATTTCAGTTTTGATGCCTTGATTTGCTGCAGCTGAACCTCAATCACAGATGACGTAGTACCTCTCATCAGTAACTAGAGATTTCTGATATATAAATGGCTAAAACAGGTTGATCAATCATGGAAGACACCAGAAAGTTTCCATTCAGGTTCCATTTATTTTTGACATTTTTAAATAACCATCCTTGCGAGGGTAACTCCTGCATCATTCTAGAACTTCAGGTTCCATTTCCGAGTCTAGGAAACAGGTCCCTGAAGGCTTTATTGATGCCAAGTCAGCATTTTCACCAAGTCCTGCCCCCAGCTGAGTCACCTTTGTTTTTCCACTCACAGTCAGCACGTGCCTGAAACACATGACCGTGTGCTTCCTTTAAGATGCACCTGACCGGGCCAGGCTGCTCATGCCTGTAAACCCGGCACTGTGGAAGTCCAAGGTAGTCAGATCACTTGAGGTCAGGAGTTTGAGGCCAGCCTCCTCCAACATCGTGAAACCCTGTCTCTACTAAAAATACAAAAATTACACTTTGGGAGGCCGAGGCGGGTGGATCACGAGGTCAGGAGATCGAGACCATCTTGGCTAACTTGGTGAAACCCTGACTCTACTAAAAATACCAAAAATTAGCTGGGTGTGGTGGTGGGCACCTGTAGTCCCAGCTACTCTGAAGGCTGAGGCAGGAGAATGGCGTGAACCCTGGAGGCGGAGGTTGCAGTGAGCCGAAATCGTGCCAGTGCACTCCAGCCTGGGTGACAGAGCGAGACTCTGTCTCAAAAAAAAAAGAAAAAAAATACAAAATTAGCTGGATGTGGTGGTGCATGCCAGTAACACCAGCTACTAGGGAGGCTGAGGCAGGAGAATCACTTGAACCTGGGAGGTGGAAGTTGCAGTGAGCTGAGATTGTGCCAGTGCACTTCAGCCTGAGGGACAGAGTGAGACTCCATCAAAAAAAAAAAGCACCTGTGTCCTAGATTTTAGTGCCCAAGGGTCCAGAAGAAAACGTGTCCATCCCACTAGCCAGGCCTTCCCTAAGAGCAAAGATGGAGGTCCACTTTCTCAGATGGCCATGAGCCACAGGAAGGGCAGGGGACGGGACCAAAAAAGATCCTCTTGGGCTGCCTGACTTCCCTGAGTGTACACATCAGCTCAGCCCGAATTGGGGCAAGGATCTCCCAATTGGCATGACCCCTGTTGTCAAGACTCTCCAGACGGGAAGGATACAACTCCAGGCCTAACTTGCTCAGCCCACCTGTGTGACACAGAAGGTCTTTCAGAGCATTCATGGAAGTCTCGTTTCCTTGAAAGTAGAAGGTGGTGAGCTGGGAGCAGTGGCTCAGGGCAGGCAGGAGGACCCTGAGTTGGGAGTCCTGGATCTGACAGTCCTTTAACGTGAGGGTCTCAAGAGTAGCAGCAACTTTCTCTAGCAGAGCTCCAAGGGGCTCAAGATTGGTGGTCCACATTAGGATATGAATCAGATGCAGCTCCTTTAGCTGACTGAGGCTTGGGTACTGAGACAGACACTCCATGTCCCGATCAGCTAGGTAAGCATGACAGAATATAAAGGCCCCCAAGAGGTTCTTGAGGCACCTGGGGAGAGCAAGAAATTAGTTATGGGCAATGGTGCCAGTTAGAGGAGAGGGGTGGGAAATCATCTCAATGGTAAACTTGAAGTGGGCATTGAGTAATTCTGCACCTTACTACCACACAGGTGTTATAGTAACTGCAATGGGGAAGCCTGTTTCACCCAAACACAAGTTTGTTCCCATCATCAGATGATGGTCTGTGTGCAAGGTGCTGCCTGATGAAGACTCAGATCATTCAGGGGCAGCTCCATTTTAGGCTCAGTCCTTTCAGCCTTGCTTGTGTGATTGGTTCAAGGCCACAAAATCTTTAAAGCCTCTTTACTGCATCTTTCAGCAGACAACCTCATCTCTGGGCCAGAGGAGCCCAGTGGGAGATGTGCACAAAGAACTCAACTGAGCAAGGTCTAGGGACATCAGCTAGGGCCACCTGCCTGCAAAGGTTCCCTGACGTGCCCGCGTCTGCAAACCACCTATCACTTTATACCACTCTCCTGCCTACTCCCTCACCTCTGTCCAAGAAGCATGCTTTTCTCATGTCAACTACTTTTCCTGGGGTTCAAAAGAACCTTTTACAGACAGAGAATTAGAGGCAGGATCATTGGTGTTTACTAAGCTGTGAGGACGGAGCTTCTACTGTGAAACGCACAGGTTTGATGCACTTTCCCTTCTTTCATACTCTCCTCTATATGAAGAGTAAGTTTCATCATATTAACTTCAAACGCACTTCCTAAAAAGGAATTCACAAATGCACCCTCCCTAGATCTGAACCCCTGACTAACTAGATCCCTGCATGTCTCTCTCTGTAGCATCTGGCCCGGGCCATCCCTCTGCCCTTATTTGAGCGGGTTTGTGATACCCACTTCAGGATATAGAGCACTGAACAGCATAATGAGTTGACATTCTAGCGTCCCATTCCCTGTGACATCACCAGTGGCTGGCACACAGTAGATGCCCACTAGCGTTTACTGTGAAAAAGAACAAAAGTCTGTGGTATGGTCCGCAGAGAAAGCTCACCATCCTTTCTTACCTGAGCAGGTGCTCCAGGTCTTTGATATTATTGACCTTTCTTATATAAAGCATCTGAGGGTAGGACAGGCAGAGGAATGGACAGTCCAAGTCAGGAACGAACTATTGTTGGCCGCTTACATATAACTCACTGTCATAACCGAAGGCTAAAAAGAGTTTGCGAAGATTGCTCATCTGGCTCAGGTAAGGGGCAAACTTTCCTGTTTTATTCAGAGAGCACTTTCTCCTAACTTCCAACTGCTAGATACTGTCTGGGTATACCCTTTTCAATAAATTTCTGAAACTTGAAGTGGGCATTGAGTAATTCTGCACCTTATTACAGCACAGGTGCACTAGACCTCTTCTGTAGTGGATCTACCCACAAAGGTAGCTCAGGCATTCATCCAGTGTACTTTTCTTTAGGCAGCGGTCTATGAACACCTTCAAGGGCTGGCACTCTCCCATCCTTGGACAGTCCTCCACTGTCTGCCTTTTACTCATGGCCTCTGGGGAGCAGGAGAGGACCTTGGCTCCAGACCATATGGTCCAGAAATTCCCATCAACATCCCGCAAATCCAGCACTTGAAGTTTCCACCTCCTGTGAGTAACACAGGGGAAAAGCTCAGAATGTAGGCAAGGACCCACCCCTGACCTGAGCTTTCACTCCACATCCAGGACATCAGTCAGCTGCTCCTGTCCTCAGTGCTCCTCCTTCTGTCTCTTCTCCATCCCGCTCCCCCTTGGGTTCTGCCTGGTTCTCACTTCTAGAATCTTTACGTTCCACTGGGAGAAAGCAGGTTCCTGTTTCCTCAGTGGACCCTGTATGGTGAGCAGTCCTTTCCCAGAGGATCTGGGCAATGGTCAAGGCCTCTCATGGGCACCATCAGAAGCCTCTGAGCCACCCTAGCTCCCCAACCCCACCACTCCTCCTGAGCCAGCTGTCCCTTCCCTGGATGCCTGGACCCTTCCCACCAGGCCACCTGAGTCACCTCACCTGAGGCAAACCTTCTGGGCCAGCAGTGTATCAAGTCCCTTCAGCACAGCTTGCAAGGTCTCCAGATGAGGTGTCTTCATCAGGGATCCCAGAGGGAGGTGGAGGAAGGACCAGGCCTGCACCATCAGCTTCAGGGCCTCACAGCGTCTCCTGCTGACGGCCTCCATGAACATCAGAGGGAAGACCTCCCTGGGCAGCTCGTCCAGGATGAAGATGGTCAAGAACTGGTTCCTCAGTAGGCTCTGCCCTGCCAGCTCCAGGAGTCTGGATGGGGACTGGAGGCTCATTCTGACAAATCTGCAAGGAAAAACTCTAGAGGACAATCCAGTGAAAAGGCAAGTTTCTCAGGCCAATCCCCTGCAATCCCCGCTTCTCCTAGGGCCAAAGTCATTTCTCTAGCATGTGTGAAAGAGCCCTCAGTTTACTCCAATTCCATTCTGCAATAAGTGGCCACAGAGGCATAGTTCTGCCCTTCTGGTACTAAGAAGAGTGTGTCCCAACCTCTAAAGAGCAGGCAAGATCCCTCCTATAGGGTCCATGAATTATTAGCCACTGCACTACTACACTGATAGCACTGGGAAGTGTTAGCAAGGATCTTTGAAGCTCAGATCTCCACTTTTTTGAGAAAACAAAATGTCTTCTTGGCCAGGCACGGTGGCTCATGCCTGTAATCCCAGCACTTTAGGAGCCCAAGGTGGGCGGATCATGAGGTCAGGAGATCGAGACCAGCCCGGCCAACATGGTGAAATACCATCTGTACCGATACAAAATATTAGCTGGGTGTGGTGGTCCCTGCCTGTAATCCCAGCTACTTGGGAAGCTGAGGCAGGAGAATCTCTCAACCCGAGGTCCAGAGTTTGCAGTGAGCCAAAATCTAGCCACTGCATTCCAGCCTGGGTGGCAGAGTGAGACTCTGTCTCAAAAAAAAAAAAAAAAAAAAAAAAAGTAAAGGGAAGCCAAGCATGGCGGCTTACAGCTGTAATCCCAACACTTTGGGAAGCCAAGGCAGAACAATCACTTGAGCCCAGGAGTTCCAGACCAGCCAGGGCAACATAGTGATAGCCCATGTCTACTAGACTCTACTAGAATATTAAGTAATTATCTGAGCATTGTGGCACATGCCTATAGTCTCAGCTACTCTGCACATGGAGGTGGGAGGATGGCTTGAGCCTGGGAAGCAGAGGTTTCAGTTATCTGAGATTTTGCCACCACACTCCAGCCTGGGCAACAGAGAAAGACCCTGTCTCAAGTAATAATAATAATAATAATAATAATAATAATAATAATAATAATAACAACACACTTTGGGATTGAGTCTAGGGGAAGAAATGGATCCTACATTCAAAACAAAGACTCTACTCTTGAAAATAGTGTATGGGGCCAGACATGGTGGCTCATGCCTGTAATCCCAAGACTTTAGGAGACAAGGTGGGGGGTTTGCTTGAGTCCAGGTGTTCCAGACCAGCCTGGCTAACAAAGCGAGACCCCATCATTATAAAAAAATTTAATAGAACATAGTGGAAGGAATATCTTTATAATTTTAGTAAAAAACAAAGCCTATCTTTCAAAATCACAATAGCATTCTTGGGTGGGGTGACTCTTGCCTGTAATCCCAGCACTTTGGGAGGCTAAGGGCTGGCAGATTACATGGAGTCCAGGGGTTCCAGACCAGCCTGGGCAATATGGTACAACCCCATCTCTACTAAAAATACAATTAGCCAGGCCTCATGGTGTGGGTCTGTAATCCCAGCTACTGGGAAGGCTGAGGTGAGAAGATCCCTTGAATACAGGAGACAGAGGTTGCACTGAGGCAATTATCACACCACTGCAGTACAGCTGGGTGACAGAGTGAGACTTTGTCTCAAGAAATTAAAATCATAATAACATAGTCTATAAACTGCAAATTAAGAGCACACAATCTACAAATTTTAAATGTCAAGGAATCAGACATTAATTAATTGGATTCTTTTTTTTTTTTAATTGAGACGGAGTCTATTGCCCAGGCTGGAGTGCAATGGCATGATCTCGGCTCACTGCAACCTCCACCTCGCGGGCTGAAGCAATTCACCTGCCTCAGCCTCCTCAGTAGCTTGGATTACAGACATGTGCCACCATGCCCAGTTAATTTTTGTATTTTCAGTAGAGAAGGCGTTTCACTGTGTTGGTCAGCCTGGTCTCAAATTCCTGACCTCAGGTGATGCACCCACCTTGGTCTCCCAAAGTGCTGGGATTACAGGCATGAGCTGCTGTCCCTGGCCCAGTTGGATTCTTTTTTAGTTCTTTGGTTAAGAATTTTGGAATGACATAAAACAAAGCACAAATACATTTTTTTTTCCTTTTTAAGGCAGAGTCTTGCTGGGTCACCCAGGTGTGCACCACCATGCCCGGCTAATGTTTGCATTTTAAGTAGAGATGGAGTTGGCCTCATGTGATCTGGCTGCCTTGGCCTTTCAAGGTTGCTGGAATTACAGGTGTGAGCCATCACGGGAGTCTCAGCTACTTGGAAGGCTGAGGAGGGAGGATCCGTTGAGCGTGGGGGGCAGAGGTTGCAGTGAGGTGAGGAGTTTGAGAGCAGTGTGGCCAACATGGCAAAATCTCATCTCTACTAAAAATACAAAAATTAGCTGCGCATGGTGGCAGGTGCCTTGTAATCCCAGCTACTTGGGAGGCTGAGGCGGGAGAATTGCTTGAAGCCGGGAGGCGGAGGTTGCAGTGAGCTGAGATCGCGACACTGCACTCCAACGTGGGCGACAGAGTGAGACTCCTTCTTGGAGAAAAAAAAAAAAAGAACTTTGAAATGTGGCAGGGCCCAGTAGCTCATGCCTATTATCCCAGCACTTTGGGAGGCCAAGGCAGGTTAATCACTTGAGAGGTCAGGAGTTCAAGACCAGCCTGGCCAACATGGTGAAAACTTACCTCTACTAAAAATACAAAATCAGGGCTGGGCACGGTGGCTCACACCTGTAATCCCAGCACTTTGGGAGGCCGAGGCGGGCGGATCACGAAGTCAGGAGTTTGAGACAAGCCTGGCCAACATGGTGAAATCCCATCTCTACTAAAAATACAAAAATTAGCCAGGTGTGATGGTGGTTGCCTATAATCCTAGTACTCGGGAGGCTGAGGTAGGAGAATCACTTGAACCTGGGAGGTGGAGGTTGCAGTGAGCCGAGATTGTGCCTGTCAGGTCTCTGAGCCCAAGCCAACCCATCGCATCCCCTGTGACTTGCACGTATACATCCAGATGGCCTGAAGTAACTGAAGATCCACAAAAGA
Source organism: Homo sapiens (assembly GCF_000001405.40). Classification (NCBI taxonomy): domain Eukaryota; kingdom Metazoa; phylum Chordata; class Mammalia; order Primates; family Hominidae; genus Homo; species Homo sapiens. Next base: position 140,429 of record NW_012132914.1, read on the forward strand.
AGTAAAAACAGCCTTAACTGATGACATTCCACCATTGTGATTTGTTCCTGCCCCACCCTAACTGATCAATGTACTTTGTAATCTCCCCCACCCTTAAGAAGGTACTTTGTAGTCTCCCCCACCCTTAAGAAGGTTCTTTGTAATTCTCCCCACCCTTGAGAATGTACTTTGTGAGATCCACCCCTGCCCACCAGAGAACAACCCCCTTTGACTGTAATTTTCCATTACCTTCCCAAATCCTATAAAATGGCCCCAACCCTATCTCCCTTCACTGACTCTCTTGTCGGACTCAGCCCGCCTGCACCCAGGTGAAATAAACAGCCGTATTGCTCACGCAAAGCCTGTTTGGTGGTCTCTTAACAAGGACGCGCATGAAAGTGCCATTGCCCTGCAGCCAGCGCAAGAGTGACGCTCCGTCTCAAAAAAAAAAAAAAAAAAAAAAAAAAAGAAGCTTATCAAGCCCTGAAGCAATATGGGAAAAAAAAAATACAAAATTTAGTCAGGCATAGTGGTGGGCGCCTGTCATTCCAGATAGTAGGGAGGCTGAGGCAGGAGAATCACTTGATCCGGGAGGCGGAGGTTGCAGTGAACCAGGATCGCACCACTGCACTCCAGCCTGGGTGACAGAGCAAGTTTGTCTCAAAAAAATAAAATAAAAGAGAACTTTGAGATGGCATAAACTAAAACAGAAATAAAATATTTGGAGAGTGGCTGGGCGTGGTGGTTCATGCCTGTAATCTCAGCACTTTGGGAGGCTGAGGCAGGTGAACCACGAGGTCAGGAGTTCAAGACCAGCCTGGCCAACATGGTGAAACCCTGTCTCTCTAAAAATACAAAAAAAATTAGCCAGGCGTGGTGGTGGGCGCCTGTAGTCCCAGCTACTCGGGAGGCTGAGGCAGGAGAATTGCTTGAACTCAGGAGGTGGAAGTTGCAATGAGCCGAGATCGTGCCACTGCATTCCAGCCCAGGCAACGGAGTGAGGCTCTGTCTCATAACAAACAAACAAACAAAAATATATATGTAGATATATATTTGGAGTGTAGATAAAAGTATATTAGAGGAAAAATCAAAGCCTACATCTTTTCATCTGAAAAACAGACAGGAGAATTCTCTGTGTCGTCTTGACCTCCGTGTCGTCATCCTGACTGTCTGACTGTGGGTCATAGGAGTGCCCTTTGTGGAGGTCCCTGACTTATCAGATCTGGACTCACTTTGCAGTGTGCTCGGATCTTGTGGAGAACCAAGAAGTAACTCCAGGCACCACAGCTCTGGGTCTCTTCTGGGGGTGCTCACAAGCTTTCTTGAACCTTTCTCATCACACCTCCCCTTTTCAACCACCAGCTTCCCATCAGAGAGTGATGCCTGATTGGATTTCTGAAGCTCCACCCAGTTAAGCCTGTGAATTCAGGTGTCCATTCAATCCCTTGGATATCCAATCATGAAATTGAAAGTGTTGGGATTAGAATGCAGGTCAAGAATTCATTTTGATAACGTTGATCCAGCCAAAGTTCTCTGAACCATAAAGCTTTCAGGTTTTGTTTTTGTGTCTAATCTCAGGAGCAGATTGAACCCTTCCCTGTCTCAAACTCAAAAATAGGAAGGAAGGTCACATATTAGTACAATTCATTCTCTGTGGAGGGCATTAATGAATGAATTCTTGACTTCCACCCTAATCCTAACAAACACTGATGGAATTTACTAAGGGACTGACTGATAAGGTGGATGGTGTGTGCCTGTAATCCCATTGAGCAATTCATATTGAGGAATTATTTTCTTATTTTGCTGAGAATATTTTTAAAATCCTGAATGAGTCATTGAATTTTTTCAAATGTTTTTCGTACATCAATTAAGATGATCATTTTCTGGTGCTTTTATTCTATTTATTTGTTTAAATACGTTTGTTGAATTTTTTTTTTTTTTTTTTGGGGGGGAGACAGAGTCTCGCTCTGTGGTCCTGGCTGGAGTGCAGTGGCGTGATCTCGGCTCACTGCAACCTCCATCTTCTGAGTTCAAGCAATTCTCCTGCCTCAGCCTCCTGAGTGGCTGGGATTACAAATGTGCACCATCACGCCTGGCTAATTTTTGTATTTTTACTAGAGACAGCGTTTCCCATGTTGCCCAGGCTGGTCTTGAACTTGTAATCTCTGGTGATCTGCCCACCTCGGCCTCCCAAAGTTGTTGGGAGTGCAGGCGTGAGCCACTGCACGTGGCCCAATCATGCATGTTTGGTTGATATTCAAATGTTAAAACCATTTTCATTGTCCCTTTGGTCACTTTTATAAATTGTTGGAAGACACATAGGTGGATGGGATTGGAAGGAGAAGAGTGGAGAGACAGGTGGCCCTAAAGTGGGTGGAAGGTACATATGCCTTCATTTTACTGAGGACTAAGGTCTGAATTTTTTATCTTGCCCAAATTCCTAAGGAGTCTACAGAGTCATGCCCCAAAATCATAAATTCCCATCAGATGAGTTTTTTTAGCCCTGTATATGGTGACTTACTTTCCAATCTGACTCTGGCATAACATCCTGTGACAGAGGAGAAAGTCAAGATATTTTGCCCCAAGGCATGTTTCTTTGCCATATCTTGAAATGGCCCTGCAAAGCTGTCCTTTATGGGGGAAAATCTGCATCTGTAAAGAATCTCTATTAACACAGCTAGATCTTTTTCTTGCAGGCCCTCCCAGTCCTGAAGAGATGGACTGTCTGGTAATTTTAAGGGTCTGAATAGCAAACATCTGTCATCTGTTGTCTCGAAGGGTGGCCACTATGAGATTTCAAAAGAACCTCGGTCTCCACAATCTTTTATTTCACCCTGACCATTTCCTTTCTATGGATCCCAGGTCTTTAGACAAACTCAACCAATTGTCAACCAGAAAATGTTTAAATTTACCTATAGCCTGGAAGCCCCCGACCCTTCAGTTGTCTCTCCTTTCTGAGCCAAACCAATGTAATTCTTTTCTTTTCTTTTCTTTTCTTTTCTTTTCTTTTCTTTTCTTTTCTTTTCTTCTCTTCTCTTTTCTTTTCTTCTCTCTCTCTCTCTCTCCCCCTCCCTCCCTCTCTCCCTCTCTCTTTCTTTCTTTCACACAGATTCTCACTCTGTCACCCAGGCTGAAATGCGGTGGTTTGCTCTTGGCTTACTGCGATCCCTGTCTCCCAGGTTCAAGTAATTCTCCTGTCTCAGCCTCCCGAGTAGCTGGGAATACAGGCACACACCATCACACCTGGCTAATTTTTGTATTTTTACAAAAATTAGACGGGGTTTCACTATGTTGGCCAGGCTGGTCTCTAACTCCTGACCTCAGATGATCCACCCGCCTCGGCCTCCTAAAGTGCTGGGATTACAGGCGTGAGCCACCACTCACCCAGCCATGTATTTCTTTTTTCTTTCTTTCTTTTTTTTTTTTTTTTTTGAGATGGATTCTGGCTCTGTCACCCAGTCTGGGATGCAGTGGTGTGATCTCAGCTCCCTGCAAACTCCACCTCCCAGATTCAAGCAATTCTTCTGCCTCAGCCTCCTGAGTAGCTGGGATTAAAGGTGTGTAGCACCGTGACAGGCTAATTTTTGTATTTTTAGTAGAGATGGGGTTTCAGCATGTTGGCCAGGCTGGTCTCGAACTCCTGACCTCAAATGATCCACCCACCTCAACCTCTGAAAGTGCTGGGATTACAGGCGTGAGCCACAGAACCAGGGGGACTGGCCATATATTTCTTAGATGTATTTAATTGATGTTTCATGTACCCCTAAACTGTATAAAACCAACCTGCGCCCCAAACAACCCTGGGCACGTGTTCTCCAGACCTCTTTTTTTTTTTTTTTTTTTGAGATGGAGTCTTGCTCTGTCACCCAGGCTGGAGTGCAGTGGCACGATCTCGGCTCAATGCAAGCTCTGCCTCCCGGGTTCACGCCATTCTCCTGCCTCAGCCTCCCGAGTAGCTGGGACTACAGGCGCCCACCACCATGCCCACCTAATTTTTTTTTGTATTTTTAGTAGAGACAGGGTTTCACCATTTTAGCCAGGATGGTCTCGATCTCCTGACCTCGTGATCCGCCTGCCTCGGCCTCCCAAAGTGCTGGGATTACAGGCATGAGCCACTGCGCCCAGCCTCTCCAGACCTCTTGAGGGCTGTGTCATGGGCCATGGTCATTCATATTTGGCTCAGAATAAATCTCTTCACATATATTACAGAGTTTGACTCTTTTTGTCAACATTACTATTATATTTTTCAACTGCATACATATTATATGTGTGTATTTACTATATACAGTGTTCTGTTGGTATGTATCATTTATTTTACTACTTATTTATTTTAAGTTTGGAAGGGAGAGCTTTATTTTTCATAAAAGGTGGCCATGGCCAGGCAAGGTGGCTCACAGCTGGAATTCCAGCACCTGATCCCAGTGAGTGGATACCCTGATGTCAGGAGATCGAGACCAGCCTGGCCAACATGTTGAAACCCTGTCCCTACTAAAAATACAAAAATCAACTGGGCATGGTGGCCCACGCCTGTAATCCCAGCTACTTGGGAGGTTGAGGCAGGAGAATGACTTGAACCTGGGAAGCAGAGGTTGCAGTGAGCCGAGATGGCGCCACTGCACTCCAGCCTGGGCGACAGAAGGAGACTCCGTGTCAAAAAAAAAAAAAAAAAAAAAAAAAAAGAGTGGCCAAGTGTCGGATGGCCACTCTGACAGGAGAAGCAGCATCAGGCAGTTGGTTGCTATGAGTGGTAGATTCTTAAAGAGCTGGTTTCTGTTTGACCCTTAAGGAAGAAAGGCTAATGGTGGTTAGCAAGGGAGGGGGTATAGTGAAGCTTGTGGACCCCCCCCGCCCAACATCTCGTTCTCCTTGAGAACTCAGTTTTCAAGGATAACTGGGGTTTCCTCTTGACCAACAGGGGGTCTGTTTCTTCAGTTAGGGGGCTTAGAAATTCACTGTTATTTCTCATTTTCCCCCCTGTTCATCAGGATATGCCAGAAGCAGCATCAATGGCCAAAGTTTTAATTTGTCTCATGTGGATGACAGGGTGGCGGAGCTACCTGCCTTGGTCCACCCAGCCCCTAGGTGGGACTCCTATGGACGTGAGATTCAGAGCCAAAAGACTTACAGCCAATTAAAGCATCCTAGGCCAGATGAGCGTGGCGGTGGGCAGGCATGCATCAACACTTAAAACCTTTTAGGCAACATAAGCCTAAAACCAAAGCCAAAAAGCAAGCTTACAAAAATGGACTTATCTATAAGTTCTATGCATTGAGCTACTGCAACCTTGGTTTTAGTTAGACTTGTAGCAATTAGCTATAAACATAAACATTTCCCTGAAACCACTTAAGGTAAGGAATTTAGAGACTTCTGTGTCCCACAGCATTTTTTTGTGGTTTCTTTTGTAATCTGTCCTAAAGTGGCCAAAAAAGTCTTTATCATATCTCCATTTGCATAAACCCAATAGTGAGAACAACTATACCCAAAAGGCTTTATCACCACCTGTCTTGATATCCTCTTGGTGATTCTCCTTTAATGCTCTAGAAAGCAGGAATTTTTCCATAATTGGAATGGATGGATAATGACCCAGGAGGAAAAGTCCCTCAGTTGCCAAATGTTGAGGCATCTGTGTGCCCATTCTTCTTTTTTTGGATACGGAGTCTTGCTCTGTCACCAGGCTGGAGTGCAGTGGCACGATCTCAGCTCACTGCAACCTCTGCTTCCTGGGTTCAAGGAATCTCCTGCCTCAGCCTCCCAAGTAGCTGGAACTACAGGCATCCCCCACCACACCCAGCTAATTTTCGGTAGAGACAGGGTTTTACCTTGTTGGCCAGCAATAAGGAAATGATTCAGAACAGCTGGGCTCCCAACTAAACCCACCCTCAATCCTGGAAACTCGGCCCTAAGTGAAAACAGCTAACCCCATTTTTCTGCCCAAATGATTGCCCTTTTGGCCTTCCTCACACCCTATCCTGGGCCCATAAAAAGACCAGCTGGCAGAGCAACACAAGCGGCTGCTGCAAGTGGTTGGGGATGCAAGATGCTGAGCATCGGAATACAAGTGGCTGAACGTTGGGGATACAAGCAGATGAGCATTAAAGCCTACAGAGAGATGCAGCTAACTTCAGATGGTGTGGCTTCAGGGGAAGATCACCTTCTTGCTGCACCATCCCCTTTCTTTTTTTTTTTTTTTTTGAGACGGAGTCTCACTCTGTTGCCCAGGCTGGAGTGCAGTGGCGTGATCTCAGCTCACTGCTCACTGCAAGCTCTGCCTCCTGGGCTTAAGAGATTCTCCTGCCTCAGCCTCCCAAGTAGCTGGGATTACAGTCACCCGCCACCACGCCCAGCTAATTTTTTTGCATTTTTATTTGAGATGGGGTTTCACCATGTTGGCCAGGCTGGTCTCGAGCTCCTGACCTCAGGTGATCCATCTGCCTCAGCCTCCCACAGCCTTCCAAAGTGCTGGGATTACAGGCTTGAGCCACTGCGCCTGGCAGCACCATCCCCTTTCTAACTCCCCTTTCCACTGAGAGCCACATTTATCACCCAATAAAATCCTTCACTTATGCTACTCTTTAAATAGCTAATGTGACCTGGTTCTTCCTTTACACCGAATAAGAACTTGAGTGTCAAAAAGGGCAGGTGCGGGAAGCTGTCACTCTGACCATACACTGAGCTGTTCACACTCAGCCATCCACAGACTGCAGCCGGAGTGAAACAAACCACTCTAGTTCCTGCCCATGAAGAAGGTCAAAGTCAAGGGAACAATCCTGTCTCAGGAACACACTTTACTGGACAGGTTATCAAACACTTAAAGAAGATTTTACAAATTTAGTGGCACTACCATTGCCCTTGTTTTTCTCAGCCTTCTACAAAGGTTGAATGAACAAATGGTATCTTGAAACTAAAATTAGCTAAATCAGGCTGGGCACGGTGGCTCACATCTGTAATCCCAGCACTTTGGGAGGCCGAGGCGGGTGGATCACTTGTCAAGAGTTCGAGACCAGCCTGGCCAACACGGTGAAACCCCTTCTTTTCTAAAGGTACAAAAAGAAGCTGGGCATGGTGGTGCATGCCTGTATTCCCAGCTACTAGGGAGGTTGAGGCAGGAGAATCACTTGAACCCAGGAGGCAGAGGTTGCAGTGAGCCGAGATCGCACCATTGTACTCCGGTCTGGCAGACAGAGGAAGACTCTGTCTCAATAAAAATAATAATAAAAATAAAATAAAATTAGCTACATCTACAGGGAAGACTAGATTACACTAACCGAAAGTTTTTTTTTGTTTTTTATTTTTGAGACGGAGTCTTGCTCTGTCACCGAGGCTGGAGTGCAGTGGCATGATCTTGGCTCACTGCAAGCTCTGCCTCCTGGGTTCATGCCATTCTCCCGCCTCAGCCTCCTGAGTAGCTGGGACTACAGGCACCTGCCACCACGCCTGGCTAATTTTTTTTCTATTTTTAGTAGAGATGCGGTTTCACCATGTTAGCCAGGATGGTGTCGATCTCCTGACCTCATGATCTGCCCGCCTCGGCCTCCCAAAGTGCTGGGATTACAGGCGTGAGCAGCCGTGCCCTGCTAACCAAAAGTTTTACTACTGAATTTTTTTTTTTTTTTTTTGAGATAGAGTCCCCCGGCCGGGCGCGGTGGCTCACGCCTGTAATCCCAGCACTTTGGGAGGCAGAGGCAGGTGGATCATGAGGTCAGGAGATCGAGACCATCCTGGCTAACACAGTGAAACCCCGCCTCTACTAAAAATACAAAAAATTAGCCGGGCGTGGTGGCGGGCGCCTGTAGTCCCAGCTACTTGGGAGGCTGAGGCAGGAGAATGGCGTGAACCTGGGAGGCGGAGCTTGCAGTGAGCCGAGATCGCGCCACTGCACTCCAGCCTGGGCAGCAGAGCGAGACTCCGTCTCAAAAAAAAAAAAAAAAATGAGATAAAGTCTCCCTCTGTCACCAGGCTGGAGTGCAGTGGCACCATCTCTGCTCACTGCAACCTCTGCCTCCCGGGTTCAAGCGATTCTCCTGCCTCAGCCGTCCAAGTAGCTGTAACTACTGGTTTACACCACCATGCCGGGCTAATTTTTGTATTTTTAGTAGAGACGGGGTTTCACCAAGTTGGCCAGGCTGGCCTCGAACTCCGTACCTCAAGTGATCCTCCCACCTTGGCCTTCCAAAGTGCTGGGATTACAGGTGTAAGCTACCGTGCCTGGCCTCAAACTGAACATTCTCAAAGTTCTACTGTTCAAAGTTTAGCTTCTTTCACTAAGCAAATCAATTGCTGGCTATGTAAACATTTTTTTTTTAATCTTTGTTTTTGTTTTCCTTTTTCGAGACAGGGTCTTGTTTTGCAACCCAGGCTGGAGTGAAGTGGCACGATCACGGCTTATTGCAGCCTTGACCTGCCAGTCTCAATCAATCCTCCAAATCAATCTCCTAAATAGCTAGGATTACAGGTGTGTGCCACCACACCTGGTTAGGTTTTGTGTTTTTTTATTTTTTTGTAGAGACAGGGTTTCACCATGCTGCCCTGGCTGGTCACTAACTCCTGGCCTCTGGGCTTAAGCAATCTGCCTGACTCGGCCTCCAAAAGTTCTGGGATAACAGGTGTGAGCCACCAAGCAGGGCCTGGAAATTTATTTCTGTGCATAGAAAACCTTAGTGCAACTGGGTTGATCTAGGCAGTGTTCCAGACTCCCTCTGTAATCAGACTCTTTGGTTTGACACACATTATGGAGATTGGAAGCCAATGTGTAAGGGAAATAGATATAAAATTAGAACATGACCACTACTTAGGAGGCTGCAGCAGAAGGATCACTTGAGTCCAGGAGTTCAAGGCTGCTATGAGCTATGATTATGCCACTGAACTCTAGCCTCGGCAACAGAGTGAAGAAGACCTTATCTCAAAAAACAAAACAAAATAAAACAAAAACAAAAACAAAAACAAACAAACAAAACAACAGTCAGAGGTAGTAGTTCATGCCTGTAATCCCAGCACTTTAGGAGGCTGAAGAGGGCAGATCACTTGAGATCAGGAGTTCAAGACCAGCCTGGTCAACATGGTGAAACCCCATCTCTACTAAAAGTACAAGAAAAATTAGCTGGGTGTAGTGGCAGGCCCCTGTAATCCCAGCTAATTGGGAGGCTGAGCCAGGAAAATCGCTTGAACCCAGCAGGTAGAGGTTGCAGTGAGCCGAGATGGCAACACTACACTCCAGCCTGGGCAACAGAGTGAGACTCTGTCTCAATCAAAGCAAAACAAAACAAAGCAAAACAAAACAAAACAAAACAACAAAACAAAACGAAACAATACATGAGCATGATCATGTTACCCTCTACTACGTAATCAACGTCTTACTAAAACCAGACATTGGTGGCCGGGCACAGTGGCTCTCATCTGTTATCCCAGCATTTTGGGAGGCCGAAGCAGGCAGATCACCTGAGGTCAGGAGTTCAAGACCAGCCTGGCCAACGTGGTGAAACTCCGTCTCTACAAAAAATACAAAAAAATCAGCTGGGCATTATGGCGAGTGCCTGTTATTCCAGCTACTTGGGAGGCTGAGGCAGGAGAATCGCTGGAACCTGGGAAACAGAGGTTGCAGTGAGCTGAGATGGTGCCATTGCACTCCAGCCAGGGTAACATAACAAGACTCCGTCTCAATAAAAAACCCAAAAAACAAAAAACTAAAAAACTAGACATTGGTTTAATGGAAACATGAGAGGCAAAGGGATTGTCTCTACAGTTCTACTATATGAAATAAATAATAGCTTCTTTTGTTTGTTTGTGTTGTTTTTGTTTTTTTGAGACAGAGTCTCACTCTGTTGCCCAGGCTGGAGAGCAATGGCATGATCTTGGCTCACTGGAACCTCTGCCTCCTGGGTTCAAGCAGTTCTCCTGCCTCAGCCTCCAAGTAGCTAGGATTACAGGTGCTCTCCACCACACCTGGCTAATTTTTTGTATTTTCAGTAGAGACGAGGTTTTGCCATGTTGGCCAGGCTGGTCTGAAACTCCTGAGCCCTAGTGATCCATCCACCTTGGCCTCCCAAAGTGTTGGGATTACAGGCGTGAGCCACTGCGCCCGGCCAATAGTTTGGTTTATTAGATGCATCAATAATCAGGGCATTTTGTAGAGGAACCTACTTATCCTTTAATGGAGATAGCATGCAATGGCTACTTCATCTAATTCATTAAAATACTTTTTCTTCCTACATTTATTTATTTATGTATTTATTTTATTTTATTTTTTTTGAGATGGAGTTTCACTCTTGTTGCCCAGGCTGGAGTGCATTGGTGTGATCTCAGCTCCACACCTCTGCCTCCCTGGTTCAAGCGATTCTCCTGCCTCAGCCTCCCTAGTAGCAGGGATTACAGGCATGTGCCACCACGCCCGGCTAATTTTGTATTTTTAGTAGAGATGGGGTTTCTCCATGTTGGTCAGGCTGGTCTTGAACTCCCGACCTCAGGTGATCCACCCACCTCGACCTCCCAAAGTGCTGGGATTACAGGTGTGAGCCACTGTGCCCAGCCTTATTTATTTATTTATTTATTTATTTATTCATTTATTTATAAGACAGGTTCTCACTCTGTCACCCAGGCTGGAGTGCAGTGGCAGATCTCAGCTCACTGCAACCTCTGCCTCCTGGGCTCAAGTGATCCTTCCACCTCAGCCCCCCAAGTCACTGAGAGTACAGGTGCATGCCACCATGCCCAGCTAATTTTTGTATTTTTTGTAGAGATGAGGTTTTGCCACATTGCCCAGGCTGGTCTTGAACTCCTGGACTCAACAATCTGCCCACTTTGGCTTTCCAAATGCTGGGATTACTGGTGTTAACCACCATGCTTGCTCCTCTATCCCAATTTAAACCACAATCACACAATCTGGTGTCAATGGAAATTAAGGCTGTTGAGGGAGAAATAATTTGATACAAGTTTATTGGAAGCTGAATGTGAGAATTGACCCAGGAACATACAGCAACAAAGTGGGTGTGTTCCAAAGTCTATTATAAGTTGGAATGCTTTCATGAGAGAGTGTAGAAGGCAGTGGGACTCCTCATAGCTGAGTTGTCCTTCAGTGATGGGTACAACACAGAGGTTACAATCATTGACCAAGGTTGACAATGAACAGGCCAAAATGCTTGAAGTGCAAGACAGTTAAACTTCATGATCAAAATCAAATCAGCGTCCTTCTCAATGTCAGAAGGTGAAGCCTTTGTCAGTACTTGAAGAGTTTGAGAAGCTCATGATCAGATGATTTACTCAGGGACAGGATGTAAGCCATGAATCCTAAGCCCTTCCCCAGATGGTTGGTTTGGAAGCCCGCCAACTGTGATTTGCAGGTTTTTGTTTTTGTTTTTGCTTTTTTGAGATGGAGTCTCACTCTGTCACCCAGGGTGGAGTGCAATGGTGCAGTCTTGGCTCACTGCAATGTCCACCTCCCTTGTTCAAGCAATTCTCCTGCCTCAGCCTCCCAAGCAGCTGGGATTACAGGCATGCCCCAACACACCTGGCTAATTTATATATATGTATATATTTTTTAGTAGAGATGGGGTTTCACCATGTTGGCCAGGCTGGTCTTGAACTCCTGGCCTTAGGTGATTCTCCCGACTTGGCCTCCTAAAGTGTTGGGATTACAAGTGTGAGCCACCAAGCCTGGCCGATCTGCAGGATTTCACTGGCAATGTGCAGACGTAGCTATGATGAAGAATAACCATGACCGTCCCATTACCTCCGACTGGTGGAGAATGGGATCCTTTGACCCTTTCTCACCCTAAAACTGGGTTACTCATCTGTGTGTCAACAAAAATATGGTGTACTTAACAGACAGAGAAAGAGACTCAGTAAAAAAGGATTTTTTTCTTATGAAATGAGCAAAGCAATGGGAATAGGTGTGAGACTATTCAGGGAGGTCAAGGAAGACAAGGGTTTTGAAAGGAAAAATAAGGAGGATTACATAAGTGGTTCTGAAGGCATCCTCCTTGGCCATAAGGATCACAGTTAAGGTGGCATTGGCCAATGTTGGAAAGAGTCTCCCTCATGCCCACAAAAACCCAACACATTGACCATGCCTTGGTTCAATCTCAAGGTCCCATTGGAACACTAAGCCCAACCCAGCCCAGCCCAGCCACCACCCTTACTTCTCTTTGTAATTGTTACCTGATTTCCTCCAGAGAAACCTGGAACAAAATCTTGAGACCAATCACACCCTTAGTGGTACCTCTCTTCCACACAAATGAGCATACGATTTCCTCATATGGGTAACTTAAATCCCAAATGACCAATATATACACGAACATTTAAATTCAATTTTGTAGGGATAAAACCACTGCCTTCATGAAGCTGTTTTTTGTTTTGTTTGTTTTTGTTTTTGATACAGGCTCTGTCGCTCAGCCCAGAGGGCAATAGATTGATCTAGGCTCACTGCAACCTCTGCATCGTGGGGATCAAAAAATGGATCTTCCCATTTCAGCCTCCAGAGTAGCTGGGACCACAGGTGTGTGCCACCATGCTTCACTGATTTTTTTTTTTTTTTTGAGATGGTGTCTCCCTCTGTCACCCAGGGTGTAGTGCAGTGGCATGATCTTGGCTCACTGCCACCTCCACCTCCCGGGTTCAAGTGATTCTTCTGCCTCAGACTCCTGAGTAGCTGGGACTAGAGGTGCATCCCACCATGCCCAGCTAATTATTGTATTTTTAGTAGAGACGGGGTTTCACCGTATTTGCCAGGCTGGTCTCGAACTGCTGACCTCATGATCTGCCTACCTTGTCCTCTCAAAGTGCCAGGATTACAGGCTTGAGCCACCGCACCTGGCTTATAAAGTTTAAACTCTGAAATATTTTTATTTTTATTTATTTATTTATTTATCTTGAGACTGAGTCTTGCTCTGTCACCCAGGCTGGAGTGCAGTTGTGCGATCTTGGCTCACTGCAAGCTCCGCCTCCCAGGTTCTTGCCATTCTCCTGCCTCAGCCTCTGGAGTAGCTGGGAATAAAGGCACCCACCACCATGCCTGGCTAATTTTTTGTATTTTTGGTGGAGACAGGGTTTCAGTGTTAGCCAGGATGATCTCGATCTCCTGACCTCGTGATCCACCCGCCTCAGCCTCCCAAAGTGCTGGGATTATAGGTGTGAGCCACAGTGCCTGGCTGAAACCTTTTATAATTTTGTTTTGTTTTGCTTTTTGAGGCAGAGTCTCTCTCTGTCACCTAGGCTGCAGTGCAGTGGCATGATCTTGGCTCACTGCAACCTCCGCCTCCTGGGTTCAAGTGATTCTCCTGCCTCAGCCTCCTGAGTAGCTGGGACTACAGGCGCCCACCACCACACCCGGCTAATTTTTGTATTTTTAGTAGAGACAAGGTTTCACCATGTTGGCCAGGATGGTCTCGATCTCCTGACTTCGTGATCCACCGCCTGGGCCTCCCAAAGTGCTGGGATTACAGGCATGAGCTACCGCGCCTGGCCCATTTTGATAATTTTGATGGGGCCAAAGATTTCCCCAACATTAATCTTTTTAGGTTTTGTTTTTCTCTCTAATGTCAGGAACAGAGTGAGAGTTCCCTGTCTCACACTCAGGACAAAGAAGGTCACATACTGGTAAATTCCATCAGTGTTTGTTCGGGTGGAAGTCAAGAATTCACTCATTAATGCCCTCCAGAAGCAGAGATGGAGTGGTAGTAATATGTGACCTTCCTAGTCCTGAGTGGAAGACAGGGAAGGGTTCAACCTATTCCTGAGATTAGACAGAAAAGCAAAACCGGAAAATATTATGGTTGGGAGTTCTTTGGTGACATCAAAATCATCAAAATGAGTTCTTGACTTCCACCCTAATTACAGTGCTTTCAGTTTCATGATTGGATATCTGATTCAATCCATTATTCTGCAGAAAGCCAAAACTTCAATCAGGCTTAACTGGGTGGAATTCAGAAATCCCATCAGGCATCACTTTCTGATAGGAATCTGGAAGTTGATAAAGGAGGTGGGATTAGGAAAGTCCAAGAAAGTTGCTGGGAGCCGTGGCTCATGCCTGTAATCCAGCACTTTGGGAGGCTGAGGAGGAGGGTGGGTCATGAGGTCAGGAGTTCCCAAGACCAGGCTGGCCAATATGGTGAAACACCATCTCTGCTAAAAATACAAAATTAGCTAGGTGTGGTGGCGCATGCCTGTAATTCCGGCTACTTTGGAGGCTGAGACAGGAGAATCACTTGAATCCAGGAGGTGGAGGTTGCGGTGAGCCGAGATCACGCCATTTTACTCCAAACTGGGCAACAAGAGCAAAACTCCATCTCAAAAAAACAGAAAGGTCCAAGAAAGCTTGTGAACATCCACAGAAGAAACCCCAAGCTGTGGTACCTGGAGTTATTGCTTGATTCTCCAAGAGGTCCGAGCAGACTGCAAAGTGAGTCCAGATCTGGTAAGTCAGGTACCTTCACAAGGGCACTCCTATGACCCACAGTCAGCCAGTAGAGGGCGACATGAAGGCCAAGGTGGCACAGAGAATTTTCTTGCCTGTTTTTCAGATGAACAGATGTAGGCTTTAATTTTTTCTCTAATGCAGTTTTATCTCTTCACTCCAAATATTTTATTTGTGTTTAGTTTATGTCATTTCAAATGTTTTTTTTTTTTTTTTCTGAGATGGAGTCTTGCTCTGTCACCCAGGCTGGAGTGCAATGATGAGGTCTCGGCTCACTGCAACCTCTGCCTCCTAAGTTCAAGCAATTCTCCTGCCTCAGCCTCCTGAGTAGCTGGGATTACAGGTGCCCACCACCATGCCCGGCTAATTTTTGTATTTTTAGTAGAGACAGGGTTTCACCATGTTGGCCAGGCTGGTCTCGAACACCTGACCTCGTGATCTGCCCACCTAGGCCTCTCAAAGTGCTGGGATTATAGGTGTGAGCCACCATGCCCAGCTTCAGAGTTCCAAATCAAGCAGTTGAAAAATAATGCAATTGACTGAAGTCTTTTTTTTTTTTTTCTTTGAGACATTGTCTTCCTGCGTCATTCTTGGTGGAATGCAGTATTGTGATCTCGACTCACTGCAACCTCTGCCTTCTGGGCTCAAGCCATCCTCCCTACTCAGAAGTTCTAGCCTTCTGAATAGCTGGAATTCAGGCATGCACTAGTATAACTGGCTAATTTTTTTGTTTTTGTTTTTTTCTTTTTTTTTTTTTTTGAGAGAGAGTCTCACTCTGTTGCCCAGGTTCGAGTGCAGAGGCATGATCTTGGCTCACTGCAAATTCTGCTTCCCGGGTTCGAGTGATTCTCCTGCTTCAGCCTCCCAAGTAGCTGGGACTGTGGGTGTGTGCCACCACACCTGGCTAATTTTTGTATTTTTAATAGAGATAGGGTTTCACTATGTTGGCCAGGCTGGTCTTAAACTCCCAAACTCAGGCGATCTGCCCGCCTCAGTCTCACAAAGTGCTGAGATTACAGGTGTGAGCCACCGTGCCAGGCCTATTATTATTATTTTTTATAGTGATGAGGTCTTGGTTTGTTACCTAGGCTGGTCTGGGACACCTAGATTCAAGCAAACCTCCCACTTTGCCTTCTAAAGTCTTGGGATTACAGGCATGAACCAACATGACTGGTCTCATACACCATTTTCAAGAATGAAGTCTTTGTTCTGAATGTGGGATCCATTTGTTTCTCTAGACTCCATTCCAAAGTGGGTAATATTTTATTTATTTATTTATTTTATTAAGACAGAGTCTTGCTGTTCTGCCCAGGCTAGGGGTACAGTGGCAGAGTCTCAGATCACTGTAACTTCTGCTTCCCAGACACAAGCCATCCTTCCACCTCAGCCTGCAGAGCAGCTGGGACTACAGGTGTGCGCCATCACATCCATCTATTTTTTGTATTTTTTTGGAGAGACAGGGTCTCACTATGTAGCCCAGGCTGGTCAGCAACTCCAGGGCTTAAGTGATTGTTCTGCCTTGGCTTGCCAAAGTGTTGGAATTACAGCTGTGAGCCTCCATGTGTGGCCCCTCAGTACTCTTTTGAAAGTGAACATAATGGTGTCTAACTAAAAATATCCCTTTAGTCTCTCCCAGCCAAGTTCACTGTGGGAACTGAGACTGTAGGCTGTTTGGGGCCACAGGAGACTCCCATTACCATTGTTTTATTGTTTTATTTTATTTATTTATTTTTTTGAGACTGAGCCTCGCTCTATTGCCCAGGCTGGAGTGCAGTGGCACTGTCTGAGCTCACTGCAACCTCCGCCTCCTGGGTTCCAGTGATTCTTGTGCCTCAGCCTCCCGAGTAGCTGGAGTTACAGGCACCTGCCACCATGCCTGGCTACTTTTTGTGTTTTTAGTAAAGACTGGGTTTCACCTTGTTGGCCAGGCTGGTCTCTAACTCCTGACCTCAAGTGAGCCACCCGCCTTGGCCTCCAAAGTGCTGGGACTACAGTTGTGAGCCACCAAGCCCAGCCACATGACCATTGCTTTAGATCCTTAAATTGAGAAGACATTTTTTTCTCAAAAAAGGAGCTGAGCTTTGAAGATTCTTGGTAACACTTCCCAGAGCTAATAGAGTTGGGTGGAGAAATTAATGAAAATTCATGGAGTAGGAGTGATCTTGCCCGTTCCTTGGAGGTTGGGAGACACTCTTCTTGGTACCAGAAGGGCAGAACTATGTCTGTGTGGCCAATTATTGCAGAGTCGAATTGGGGTAAACTAAGGACTTTCACACCTGCCAGAGTAGTGACTTTTGGCCCAGGAGAAGTCAGGGTGTGAGAGGACTGGCCTGATAAGTTTGTCTTCTCTGGATTTGTTTTCTTGCAGATTTATCAGGATGAGCTTCCAGGCCCCACGCAGACTCCTGGAGCTGGCAGGGCAGAGCCTGCTGAGGGACCAGGCCTTGGCCATCTCCGTCCTGGATGAGCTGCCCAGGGAGCTCTTCCCCCCACTGTTCGTGGAGGCCTTCACTAGCAGACGCTGCGAGGTTCTGAAGGTGATGGTGCAGGCCTGGCCCTTCCCCTGCCTCCCTCTGGGGTCCCTGATGAAGACGCCTGATCTGGAGATCTTACATTATGTAGTGGATGGGATTGATTGCCTGCTTGCCCAAAAGGTTCGCCCCAGGTGAGGTGACCCAGGTGGGGAGGGCCCAGGTGTCCAGGGACTAAACAGCTGGGTCAGACAAATTGGGAACCCGGGGTGGCCCAGGGGCTTCTGATGGTGCCAGTGAGAAAGCTGGGAACGTTCTTGGCTATTGCCCAGCTCCTCTGGGAAAGGACTGCTCACCATACAGGGTCCACTGAGGAAACAGGAACCTGCCTGCTCCCAGTGGAAGGTAAAGGCACTAGAAGTGGGTACCAGGCAGAATCCAAGGGGGAAAGGGATGGAGAAGAGACAGAAGGAGGGGCGCTGAGGAAAAAAGCAGCTGAGGTCCTTGATGTGGAGTGAAAGCCCAGGTCAGGGGTGGGTCCTTGTCTACGTTCTGAGCTTTTCCCCTATGTTACTCACAGGAGGTGGAAACTTCAAGTGCTGGAAATGCGGGATGTTGATGAGAATTTTTGGACCATATGGTCTGGAGCCAGGCCCCTGTCCTGCTCCCCAGAGGCCATGAGTAAGAGACAGACAGTGGAGGACTGTCCAAGGACAGGAGAGAAGCAGCCCTTGAAGGTGTTCATGGATGTTTGCCTCAAGGAAAAATTCATGGATGAAGATCTGAGCTTCTTCTCTGGGTGGGTGCAGCACAGAAGAGGTTCAGTACACCTGTGCTGTACTAAGGTGGTGAATTATTCAATGAGCATTCTAAATTTCAGAAACATATTGGAAACAGTATACCCAGACAGTATCCAAGTGTTGGAAATTTGGAACATGTGCTGGCTGTGTATGATAGTAGAGTTTAGCCGTTACCTGAGCCAGATGAGGAATCTTCGCAAACTCTTCATCTCCGATGGCTGTCGTTACCTGCTAAGCTCTGACAGCCAAGAACAGTTAGTTGCTGAATTCAGCTCTGTGCTCCTCAGGCTGGAGAACCTCCAGATGCTTTATGTAAGAAGGGTCTGCTTCTTCAGAGGCCACCTGGACCAGCTGATCAGGTGAGGAAGGATGGTGAGCTTTCTCTGGGGGCCATAGCACAGCCTTTTTTTGTTACAATAAACACCAATCAGCATCTACTGTGTGCCAGCCACTGGAGATGTCTAGGGAAGGGGACACTAGAATGCATTGTCCTGTTTGGTGCTCTATATCCTGAAGTGGGTATCACAGGATCGCTCCAGTAAGGGCAGAGGGATGACCTGGGGTAGAAGCTACAGAGAGGGACATCGTGTAGGGAGCTGGTTAGTGGAGGGTTCAGCTCTAGTGAGGGTGAATTCCTTTTAGGAATTCCTTGTTAGGAAGTGTGTTTAAAGTTAATATGATAAAAAAGAGGCAACAGAGGGGAGGGTGTAAAAGAAGAGAAAGTGCACCAAACCTGTGCGTTTCACAGAGGAAGCTCTGTCCTCACAGCTTAGTGAACATGAATGATCCTCTCTCTGATTCCCTGTCTGTAAAAGGTTGTTTTGAACTCCAGGAAAGGTAAGTGACATGGGAAATGCGTGCTTCTGGGATGGAGGTGAGGGAGTAGGCACGAGAGTGGTACAAAGTGACAGGTGGTTTGCAGATGTGGCCATGTCAGGGAGCCTCTGAAAGCAGGTAGCCCTAGCTGATGTCCCTAGACCTTGCTCAGGTCAGTTCTTTGGGCATCTCTTCCACTGGGCTCCTGTGGCCCAGAGATGAAGCTTTCTGCTGGAAGATGAAGAAAAAAGGCTTTAGAGTTTTTATGGCCTTGAACCAATCACACCAGTGATGGTGAAAGGACTGAGCCTAAAATGGGACTGCCTCTGAATGATCCAAGTCCTCATCAGGCAGCACCTTGCGGGAGGACCATGATTAGATGATGAGAACAAACTTGTGTTTGGGCAAAACAGGCTCTTCCCTTGACGTTATTTTCTACCACCGTCCTCTAACTGGTGCCATTGCCCAGTACTAACTTCTTGCTCTCCCCAGGTGCCTCAGGAGCCCGTTGGAGACATTGGCATTAACTTATGGCTTCCTAGAAGAAGAGGACTTGAAATGCCTGCCCCGGTACCCAAGTCTCAGTCAACTGAAGCAGCTGAATCTGAGTCATGGTGCACTGCGCTTCATCCGTCTTGAGCCCCTCCGAGCTCTGCTAGAGAAAGTTGCTGCCACTCTTCAGACCCTCTTCTTAGTGGACTGTGGGATTGGGTACTCCAAACTCAGGGTCATCCTGCCTGCCCTGAGCCGCTGCTCCAACCTCACCACTTTCTGTTTTCACGGCAATGACACGTCCATGGATGCTCTGAAGGACCTGCTGCGCCACACAGGCAGGCTGAGCAATTTGAGCCTGGAAACATATCCTGCCCCTCGGGAGAGTCTTGACAACAGGGGTCGTGTCATTTTGGAGCTCCTCACCCCACTTCAGGCTGAGCTGATGCGTATACTGAGGGAAGTAAGGGAGCCCAAAAGGATCTTCTTTGGTCCGGTGTCCTGCCCTTGCTGTGGCACTTCGCCCACTGAGCAACTGGAGTTCAATTTTTGCTTGTGGGGAAGGCCTGCCTAGTGGGGTGGAGGTATAAAAAGCTTTTTCTCCAGGCACTTGGAAACTAAAATCTGGGACATAGATGTCTTTTATTTTTCTTTTTCCTTATTTTACAATTTTACAGCTTTTATTTAAAAATTTGAGACAGGGTTTCCCTATGTTGTCCAGGCTGGTCTCAAACTCTTACGCTTAAGGGAGCCCCCTGCTTGGCCTCCCAAGATTCTGGGATTACAGGCATAAGCAGCTGTGCCGGGTCTATAGGTGCATTATAAAGGGAACAGAGAAACCTCTGTTTCAGGCATGTGCTTTCTGTGAGTGGAAAACAAAAAACAAAAAATCCCAGCAGGGGGCAGCACTGGGGAAAAAGTTGAATGGAGTCACTGAGACTCAGGGATCTGTGTCCTAGACAGTCAGAAATAGAAAGCTGAAGTTCTAGAGTGAGGGAGTTATCTCAGCAAGGATGGATACAAAGAAACGTCGGAAGTAGAGGGAACCTAAATGGAAACTCTCTGCTGTCCTTCATGATTGATTAGCCTGTTTCAGCAATTTATACATCAGAAATCTTTAGTTCCTGATGAATTAAAAAAAGAGGTACTAGTTCATCTGTGATTTAGTTTCATCTGCAGGAAATAAAGGAATCAAAATAAACTTCATGTTGTCGTTGTGGTTTTTTTTTCTTTTTTTTTTTGTTTTGTTTTAGACGGAGATTCGCTCTTGTTGCCCAGGCTGGAGTGAAATGGCATGATCTTGGCTCACCACAACCTCCGCCTCCTGGGTTCAAGCGATTTTCCTGCCTCAGCCTCCCGAGTAGCTGGGATCACAGGCATGCGCCACCATGCCCAGCTAATTTTGTATTTTTATTAGAAACGGCATTTCTCCATGTTGATCAGGCTGGTCTCGAACTCCTGACCTCAGGTAATCTGCCCACCTTGGCCTCCCAAAGTGCTAGGATTACAGGCATGAGCCACAGAGCCTGACCTGTTTTGTTTGTTTGTTTTGTTTATTTGATGGAGTCTTGCTTGGTCACCTAGGCTGGAGTGCAGTGGTGTGATCTTGGCTCACTGCAACCTCCAACTCCCAGGTTCAAGGGAATTTGTGTTTTTAGTAGAGACGGGGTTTCACGATGTTGGCCTGACTGGTCTCAAACTCCTAACCTCAAGTGACCTCAAGGAAGCCTCCCAAAGTGCTAGGATTACAGGCGTGAACCAACGTGCCTAGCCTAAACTTTGATTAATTTATGCCCATTCTTTACCTCTCCAGTCATCTCTTCCTTACTTTCTCCTGTGGTTATTTACTGGGTTCATCCACAAAAGATGCATGCCTGGGACCTGGAACATTCTATGTGGGCAGTGATGATGAACCATTGAGTCAACCCTCTTCTTGTCAGGGGCCCTCACTGCTCCCCAGATACCGAGACCCTGCTCACTCCTAATGGGCAGATCTGGGAGAATCTGTTCCTGATCATTGGCCATGTCAGGAAAGGGCTTCACTGCACAAGGTGCGGCCCCCTGCCTTGGGAGGGAATGGCCATACTGTGTACTAGCGGGAGCCTCATGGCATCACCAACCCTTGCCTGTCCTCATGGTGGCTAGTGGGTTTTACTGAATTAACATAATTGTGTGTAGTAAAGATGTCCAATTTCTCTTAGAAGAATAGTAAAATCATTTAGGTAGATGACACATTCTAAATATTTCTAGCCCACATCAATATGCATCCTTTTGGAAATTAACTCATTTCAATGAGACATCTTCCTGTAACACCTCCCTTCTCTCCTTATCAAAAAACGGGAAAACCAGGGCACTGACCTGTCCTCATGGTGACTAGTGGGGTTTACTGAATTAAAGTGATTGTGTCCAGTAAAGATATCCAATTTCTCTTAGAATAATGCTAAAATCATTTAGGTGGATAATACATTCTAAATATTTCCAGCCCATATTAATGGAAATATACATCCTTTTGGAAACTAACTCATTTCAATGAGAGATCTTCCTATCACACCACCCTTCTCTCCTTATCAAAAAACAGGAAAACCTGGGCTTGACCTAGCTAGCGCTCCTACACTGCCATGAGAATCCCTTTGGGACTTTCCCCATTTGGGACTGGCAGCACTCTTGTGGTTTACTAAAACTTAGGTAAACCTGGGCTTAAGCCACCACCTGGAGCCAAGAAGGAAGCAGCAACCTAGTGGTGAAGATTCACTAAGGGAATGTATTCAGTCCAAACCAAAGCAAGCCAGACAGAGAAAACTGGAGTAAATCATTCTTCCTTCAGTGCAAAAATACAGATCTATATCTACAAGAAACTAGAGCAAACAGGAAACTGTGACCTCCCCAAAATGACAAAGCAGAAATCTAGTGGGTGACTCTAATGTGATGGCTATTTGTCAGGTCTCTAACCAATCACTGAAAATCGCAGGTTTTCAAACTTGTATTTTAGTTCCAGGAATACAGATGCAGGTTTGTTCTATAGATAATAGACAAACTATCAGATAAATAATTTTGGTAGCTTTTGTTTATTTGTTTGTTTGTTTGTTTTTTGAGGTGGCGTCTCACTCTGTCACCCAGGCTGGAGTGTAGTGGCATGCTCTCAGCTCACTGCAACCTCTGCCTCCCAGAGTCAAGCAATTCTCCTGCCTCGGCCTCCCAAGTAGCTGAGACTACAGACTTGCATTACCACGCCAGGCTAAGTTTTTGCATTTTTAGTAGAGACAGGGTTTCACCATGTTGGACATGGAGAACTCCTGACCTCAAATGGTGCACTGCCTCAGTGCTGGGATTAGAGGTGTGAGCCACCATGTCCAGCCAGTTTTGGTAGTTTGTTGATACCCACTCCCCTTCCACCCTCCACTCTCCAGTAGTCCCGGGCGTCTATTGTTCCCATTATTATGTCATGTATACTTAATATTTGGCTCTCATTTATAAGTGAGAACATGTGGTGTTTGGTTTTCTGTGCCTGCTTTAGTTTGCTTAGCATAACGGCTTCTAGCTCCATCCGTGTTGCAGCAAAAGGAGGATGAGGACTTAATGAAAGGGCATTATCTTGTTCTTGTTTCAAGCTGTGTAGGTTTCCATGGTGTATCTGTACCATATTTTGTTAATCCAGTCCACCACTGATGTGCATTCCAGTGGATTCCATGTCTTTGCTGTTGTGAATAGTGCTGCGATGAGCATCCACATGTGACCACTCCCACTCAACATGTGCTAGAGTCTCACATTACTGGAGTGTCTCTATATTACCCGGGCTGGTCCAGAACGGCCAGGCTCAGGCAGGGCTCCAATCTTAGCCTTACAAAGTATTGGGATTACAGGCATGAGCCACCACACATGGCTCTATTTTATTATAACATATATTTCTAGGCCGGGTGTGGTGGCTCACGCCTGTAATCCCAGCACTTTGGGAGGCCAAGGCGGGTGGATCACGAGGTCAAGAGATGGAGACCATCCTGGCCAACATGGTGAAACCCCGTCTCTACTAAAAATACAAAAATTAGCTGGGCATGGTGGCACGTGCCTGTAATCCCAGCTACTCAGGAGGCTGAGTCAAGGAGAATCGCTTGAACCCGGGAGGCGGAGATTGCAGTGAGCCGAGATCGTGCTGCTGCACTGCAGCCTGGGCAAAGAGTGAGACTCCCTCTCAAAAAAAAAAAAAAGCTATAATTCTATAGGCCAAGCAAGGTGGCTCACGCCTGTAATTCCAGCACTTTGGGAGGCCGATGTGGGTGGATTGCTTGAACCAAGGAGTTCTAGCCTGGGCAACAAAGCAAAATCCTGTCTCTACTTAAAAAGGAAAAAAAGGATATATTTCTGTAGCTTATGGCCTGTAGGCTCGCCATGCCTCAGGCTCGAAAGTGCAGCTTTCAGAAAAGATCCTTCACTGGTATTTCCAGGGAGGAAGTGATGAGGCAGGAATTTATGCTGAGTGGGTTGGCCAAGTATACACACTCAACAGGTCATGAAATGGGCTATGAGTATTCTTGAAGGGGGCCTAACACATGCATACTGAATAAACATTCATGTGGCTTATGTCCCATGTTCACTTTGGGGTGGAGACTTCACATTTCTTTTTCTTTTTGAGACAGAGTCTTGCTATGTCACCCAGGCTGGACTGCAATGGCACCGTATCAGCTCACTGCATCCTCCACCTCCCAGGTTCAAGCGATTCTCCTGTGTCAGCCAAGTAGCTGAGACTACAGGTACATGCCACCACACCTGGCTACTTTTTTTTTTTTTTTTTTTTTTTGAGATGGAGTCTTGCTCTGTCACCCAGGCTGGAGTGCAGTGGTGCAATCTCTGCTCACTGCAAGCTCCACTTCCCGGGTTCACGCCATTCTCCTGCCTCAGCCTCCCCAGCAGCTCGGACTACAGGCACACGCCGCCACGCCCAGCTAATTTTTGTATTTTTAGTAGAGACGGGGTTTCTCTGTGTTAACCAGGATTGTCTCGATCTCCTGACCTTGTGATCCGCCCTCCTAGGCCTCCCAAAGTGCTGGGATTACAGGCGTGAGCCACCGCGCCTGGCCCACTTTTTCTATTTTTAGTAGCGATAGGGTTTCACTATGTTGGCCAGGCTGGTCTGGAACGCCTGACCTCAGGTGATCTGCCGCCTCGGTCTCCCAGAGTGTTCCAAAGTGCTGGGATTACAGGCGTGAGCCACCGTGCTGCGCCGAGACTTCATGTTTCAATGCATTGCAGCTAGACCCCCCCATATCAAATGGTTCATCAGGGACATGAAGACGCTCGCGTGCTAAGTCTCTTTCAAGTGGCCAGAAGCAGTCAATGCTCAGAGGCCTCTCATCAGCAGAAAGTTACTGGAATCAATCTCTTGTCCAATCAAAGCTGGAGTCATGGCTTGTGGAACAGGGGGTCAGTTAGTCAGAATCTGGGATGGATGAGCTGCAATCATTTCAATATTGCTTATCTTAGGGCCAGTGCTTGTTCAGCTGCTAGAGAGAGAAAAACCCTGTGGCAGTTAGAATATAGTTCATTCAGCTGGGCACAGTGGCTCTTGCCTGTAATCCCAGCACTTTGGGAGGCTGAGGCGGGTGGATAATGAGGTCAGCAGGTCAAGACCAGCCTGGCCAACATGGTGAAACCCTGTCTGTACTAAAAATACAAAAAATTAGCCAGGTGTGGTGGCATGCACCTGTAATCCCAGCTACTCGGGAGGCTGAGGCAGGAGAATTGCTTGAACCTGGGAGGCAGAGGTTGCAGTGAGCCAAGATCATGCCACTGCACTTCAGCCTGGGCTACAAAGCGAGACGCTGCCTCAAAAAAAAAAAAAAAAAAAAGTATATAGTTCATTTTTTAAGGGTAGGGGCCCTTGACTTAACCCTTGCCTGGTAAGACCTTAGGTCCTGTATATAACTTGGTATCTTATTACCCTAAATAGTCAATTCAGTCAGCCTTATAATCTCTATTTTAACATGAATGCTGGTCAGTTTTTGTGTCTCAACCATGAAAGGAAGGAAGTAAAATGAGACGTGTCTATCCTCCCATCCTGCCATGGCCAGGAACTCAGTTTTAAAGATTTCTCTGGGTACACTTGGCCGAGAGGGAATCTGTTCAGTTCATAGGGGGAGCTTAGGATTTTATTTTTAGTTTTCAGAACGAGGGATGAATAATCATGGAGGCTTCTGCTGGGAGGGAAAAAGTAGAAAAAATGCATTAATTTCACTCTTCCTGTATGCCAGGCCCTATGCCAAGCCCTTAAGTTGCCCCATCTCATTCGATTCTACCAGGGTCACACAGGTGGTGGACATCATCATCCTCATTTTTCAGGAAAACTGAGGCTCTCGCCCAAGGTTCCTGCCCAACAACACCAGGCCCTGAGTTCTCAGCATGGTCCTCACTCAGATACTCTTTGTGTAGGGTTTCTTACCTGAGTCCTCAGCAGGGTCCTCACCTGGATGCCGTTTGTGTAGGGTTTCTCATCTGAATCCTCTGCAGGGTCCTCACTCGGATGTCCTTTGTGTAGGGTTTCTCACCTGAGTCCTCAGCAGGGTCCTCACTTGGATGCCCTTTGTGTAGGGTTTCTCATCTGAGTCCTGAGCAGGGTCCTCACTCAGATGTCCTTTGTGTAGGGTTTCTCATCTGAGTCCTGAGCAGGGTCCTCACTCGGATGTCCTTTGTGTAGGGTTTCTCACCTGAGTCCTCAGCAGGGTCCTCACTTGGATGCCCTTTGTGTAGGGTTTCTCATCTGAGTCCTGAGCAGGGTCCTCACTCGGATGCCCTTTTTGTAGGGTTTCTCATCTGAGTCCTGAGCAGGGTCCTCACTCGGATGTCCTTCGTGTAGGATTTCTCACCTGAGTCCCCAGCAGGGTCCTCACTCAGATGCCCTTTGTGTAGGGTTTCTCACCATAGGGAAAGTCACTCATCACCCACAGGCACTTGACTATTATCTGCCCTCGAAGGATGTGCGATTCCAAAACACGCTTGCTCTGAGAAAAACCAGGGCCGTATCATTTTCCCCGCCAAACCGGAAAGGAGCCAAGAGATCAAAGGATGACTCAGATGAGCCCAGCTTGGCAAATAATGAGTTGATTAGGATTCACATGCAGGGCACTCCAGGGCAGCAGCAGCACAGCCCCAAAGATCTGTGCCACCTCCTGTCTCTAAACTGCTTTTAAGTGAATTTTCTGGCTCTTTGTCCACTGATTTTGAGCAATCAGCCTCTTCTGCCTGGTAGGTTCTCAGATACTGTCTGGGATGTTTGGGTTCTCGGGGACACCTGCTTCTTGGCTGGGCACAAGAGACTTGGCTTCCCACCTGGCCTTCAGGGTTCAGGCAGGGGACATGCACCCTTAAGTAACCTGATGGGACATGCCACACCAGAATTCTATACACTTGAAGTGGGGCCAGCCTCTCCACACCTGTGGTTACTTCTCATCAGGTGGGATGAGAGACTGAGGAAAGAAATAAGACACAGAGACAAAGTATAGAGAAAGAAATTGGGCCCAGGGGACCGGCGCTCAGCATACGGAGGACCTGCACTAGCACTGGTCTCTGAGTTCTCTCAGTTTTTATTGATTACTGTTTTCACTATCTCATCAAGGGGAACGTGGCAGGAGAGCAGGGTGATAGAGGGGAGAAGGTCAGCAAGAAAACATGTGAGCAAAGGAATCTGTGTCACAAATAAGTTCAAGGGAAGGTTCTATGCCTGGATGTGCACATAGGCCAGATTTATGCTTTTCTCCACCCAAACATCTCAATGGAGTAAAGAGTAACAAAGCAGCATTGCTCCCAACATGTCCCACCTCCTGCCACAAGGCGGTTTTTCTCCTATCTCAGAATGGAACAAATGTACAGTCGGGTTTTATACCAAGACATTGCATTCCCAGGGGCAGGCAGGAGACAGAGGTCTTCCTCTTATCTCAGCTGCAAGAAGCCTTCCTCTTTTACTAATCCTCCTCAGCACAGACCCTTCACGGGTGTCGGGCTTGGGGACGGTCAGGTCTTTCCCATCCCATGAGGTCATATTTCAGACTATCACATGGGGAGAAACCTTGGACAATACCTGGCTTTCCAGGGCAGAGGTCCCTGCAGCTTTCCACAGTGCATTGTGCCCCTGGTTACTTGAGAATGAAGAACGGCGATGACTTTTATCAAGCACACTGCCTGTAAATATTTTGTAAACAAGGCACATCCTGCACAGCCCTAGATCCCTTAAACCTCGATTCCATACAACACATGTTTCTGTGAGCTCAAGGTTGGGGCTAAAGTTACAAATTAACAGCATCTCAGGGCAAAGCAATTGTTCAGGGTACAGATAAAAATGAAATTTCTTATGTCTTCCTTTTCTACATAGACACAGTAACCGTCTGATCTCTCTTTCTTTTCCCTACATATCCCCCTTTTCTTTTTGAGAAAACCGCCATCATCATCATGGCCCGTTCTCACTGGTCGCTCTCTCTTTGGAGCTGCTGGATACACCTGTAGACTAACAACAGACAAAACAGATATACCAGGATTAATATGAAATTACAACAGTTGAATTTCTGATGGTTTTAACCCAAGTGACAGGGTTAAGATTTGTGAGGCCATCAGCAACTTTCATGATTGCCTCAGTTTCTGGCACCAAATTTAAATGGGCTTTTGATGCCTCAAAAACTTGTTCTTTTAATTTTAAAATATCTAAAGTAAGATTATCTTCTCTTCCTTGTAGTTGGCGTCATGTCCCAGTGATGCTCAGACTCATTATACGCTTGGGGTTTAATACAAAAATCTGACATATTCCAGTCATACTGTAACTGAAAAAGATATTCCAAGCTCATGAGCCTATCTCCCATCCAAATGACAGTTTGTCTAAGATCATTAATTTGGTTTGCCAATTTTTGATCTATTTGGGTCTGAGAATTCCACAATTTTGAGGAATTCTTTTGCCAATTATTTACATATTCTGCAGTTTGAACAGAGAAGTGTAAAGCAATTCCAGCAGCCACAGCAGTAGCTGTGACTGCAATAAGACCCAAAATCACTGCAATCAAAGTAAAAAAGAATCTTTTGGATCTAGTTAGAACTCCTTTCAATACTTCTGTTAAAATATGGACAGATGGGGAAGCCTCCCACTGTCAGTCCATGGACACAGGGATCCCCATGCCCTCTCTTGCCCTCACCAGCAGAATACGGTGCTGCCAATCAAAAGTCGAATCAATGCAAGTAAACAATCTACTGTTTTCACAGGTTATAGTTTGGGAATCTGGTTTAATAACTATGTTTCCTACAACTAGCATATAAGGGGGTTTTACACAACTTTGCAAAGGAATTGTCGGATTGGAATTTAAGTTAATAGTATAATATGGCTTACGATCTCTTGTTCCTATAGCTTGATTTTCAGACCAAATTCTAATGTGGTGTGAGGCCACAGTAAGCTTTCATAATTCTGGATGTTCAGGACCAGTAACAGGACTAACTAACTTTGGTCGAGGTGATGAAATTCGCTTTTCACCCCATTTCCATGGATAGGGTGATTGTAACTTTCTATAAACCTGATCCAGCCTTTCAGTTAAATCACTCTCATAGGCCAGATTAATGGGCCAGATGGATGGGGCTGTGAACATGAGAGAGTCTGGCCTGTACAATTATAATAAAATTGGCCTCGAGGGGCCCGGTCTATAATAGTTCTAAATTCATTGTTTTGTAATACCACCGCAGTATCAGCCACACATTCTTCCCAAACTGAAACTTTTGGACCTTTTGATTCTTTGGGAATTTTCTTGGGGCAAGGCTTCCCCTTAGGCCTAAATTTTAATGATCTTTGATAAGAAGAGTCCTGTAAATTATTTTATCTGTGGCCCGAGTGACATCCCACTTACTATGTGATAAGTAAATCTACTGGTGGCACTGACAGTAGGTACTTCTACCAACCAATTTGGGGTTGTAGGCATTAAATATCCTGGCACCTTCCCTTGGCAAATAGGAGGATAATGATACCCAGTGGAAATATTTATCATCAATTCTTTTTTAGGTTGGGCAGGGCAACGATCATCTGTGAGGCCTGGTACCCATGCACTATTATTAACATATACTTCAATAGGATTATCCATCCATGTGACTGCCTGAATTAAGGGCGGGAAAGGCACACAGTCCCGGTAAGTATGATTAGTTGTGGCTGCTCCTGCAGTCACAGGGAGACTTACCACCGTTGATACAATCATCAAAGCTGCAGGCAGCATGTTCTCTGGAGTTTGTGTTACCCTTTTTGTTCTTCAGGCTTTTTTCAGCTAACTGTGTCAGCTTCTTTAATTGGGCCCAGGTCAGTGGCCCCACTTTCTTGGTGGATGGCAGCTTCATCTGTTCTTCTGATATCACCATTTTGTTCACCCGGTGAGTCGATGATGCTCGATTGCGGGTTTTCCATCTCCGTGGTGGCGCTTCTCTTTGCATCTCCGATGGGTTCATTGTAGAACTTTAAATGTCTAGTGGGTATCCAAACAGGAAGCTGATTTTCTCCTGGTGAAACACAAGCAAAACCTCTCCCCCATGTTATCATTTTCCCTATTTCCCTTGTCTTATTTTTGTTGTCTTTCCACCAAATCAGTTTTCCTTCATGTGGGCTGTTCTTTTTACCAGTAAAATGTTGCTCTGCAGAAGTAGTGGTCTGATTTCTATAAATGTTTAAAAAATTTAAAGTATAGAGTGCTAAATTAAGTTGCATCTGGGGAGTGTTATACTGCTTAATGTCTTTTTCCTTTTTTTGTTTCACCAATTCAGCTTTGAGTGTTCTATTAGTTCTTTCAATTATGGCCTGTCCTTGGGAATTATAGGGGATTCCTGTTGTATGTGTAATTTGTCACTGATTTCACAATTTTTAAAATGTTTTACTACAGTATCCTGGCCCATTACGTGTTTTAATTTTTTTTTGGAACTCCCATGACAGCAAAACAAGATAATAAATGTCTTTTAACATGGGAAGTACTTTCTCCTGTCTGGCAGGTTGCCCATACAACATGCAGATAAGAATCAACTGTCACATGGACAAACGACGATTTTCCAAATGAAGGTACATGTGTGACATCCATTTGCCATAATGCATTAGGACATAGACCTCTGGGATTAACTCCTGCCTCCTGAGTGGGCAGGTGTAGGACTTGACACTGGGTGCAATGTTGTACAATATTTTTTGCCTGTTTCCATGTGATATCAAATTTATTTTTTAGTCCTGTTGCATTTACATGAGTCAAAGCATGAAGTTCTTGTGCTTCTATGAATGCAGATGATACTAGCAAGTCAGCTTGTTCATTTGCTTTAGTTAAAGGCCTTGGTAAATTAGTATGTGCTCATATATGAGTAATATAAAATGGGAGATTTCTTTTTCTTACAATTTGTTGTAACAAATAAAAGGACTGGTTTAACTGATCATCCATACTATATTTGGTTAGGGCTGTCTCAACATCCTTTGTAGCTGTACTACATATGCAGAATCTGATTTTCAATGACTCATTCTTTCGGCCTGGTGTAAACCACTTTTCCATTGCTGGAACCATCAGTAAACACAGTCAGAGCATTTTCTAAAGGTTTATGTCTGGTAATTTTAGGTAAAATTCAAGTAGTCAATTTTAAAAACTGGAAGATTTTTGTTTTTGGGTAATGGTTATCAATAATTCCCACAAAATCAGCAAGAGCAATCTGCCATGCAGCAGAATTGATAAAGCCTTGTCTAAACTCTTCCTTGTTTAAAGGAACAATGATTTTATCTGGGTCACTTCCACACAATTTTATTATTTGTAATCTTGCCTGACCAATTAATGTAGCCATTTGATCCAAGTACAATGTAAAAGTCTTAATCGTACTGTCAGGAAGGAAAGATCACTCCACAAGATCTGTATTTTGAACAATAATGCCTGTTGAGAATATGCAGTAGCAAAAATCAAAAGTTGGAGTGGGGCGAAGTGATCTATTCTATTTACTTGTGCTGACCGAATTTTTTCTTCAATTAATTCAATTTCTTTAGTTGCCTCTGGAGTTAATGTTCTTTTACTATTCAATTCTGGATCCCCACTCAAGATAGAGAACAAATTTGACATGGCATAAGTAAGGATGCCTAGAATTGACCAAATCCAATTAATATCTCCTAGCAATTTATGAAAGTCGTTTAATGTTTTTAATGTCTTTTCTTATTTCTATTTTTTGTTGTTTAAATTTTCTTTCCTCTACCTGCATTCCCAAGTAATGGACAGGAGTAGAGGTTTGAATCTTATCAGATGCTATTGTCAGTCCTGAGTTTGCAACCTCTGTCTGCAGAAATGTGTGACAGTCAATTAATGTGTCTCTCGTTTCTGCAGCACACAAAAGATCATCAACATAATGAAAGACGTAGTCTGAAAACTTGTCTCTAACTGGTTGAAGAGCTTCAGCTACAAAAATCTGACAAATAGTTGGACAATTAAGCATTCCCTGAGGCAACACTTTCCACTGAAACCTGGTGGCTGGTTCTTTATTATTTATGGCTGGTATAGTAAAAGCAAATTTTTCAAAATCCTGTTTTGCTAGAGGAATGGTAAAAAAGCAATCCTTCAGATCAATTATAATTAAAGGCCAATCTTTGGGGATCATGGCCAGAGAGGGCAACCCAGGTTGGAGAGCCCCCATAGGTTGAATTACAGCATTGACGGCTCTTAAGTCGGTTAACATGTGCCATCTGCTGGATTTTTTCTGAGTTACAAACACAGGAGAATTCAAGGCGAAAATGAAGGCTCAATATGTCCCTTTGCTAATTGTTCTTTTGCCCGTAAGTGTAAAGCCTCCAGCTTTTGTTTTGGTAGCAGCCACTGATTTACCC
Organism: Homo sapiens; assembly: GCF_000001405.40. Classification (NCBI taxonomy): domain Eukaryota; kingdom Metazoa; phylum Chordata; class Mammalia; order Primates; family Hominidae; genus Homo; species Homo sapiens. The sequence goes on from NW_012132914.1 coordinate 172,220, forward strand.
ATACAGGTTTTTCTGTTTTCCAAGTTAATGGAATGGGTTTTGGGGGCTCTACAGTGGCCACTCCTAAAAAGGATATCCTATTCCTTTTCTTTCTTGATTTCCCTCAGCCTCAATTGGGATTTTAATGCCATCTCCATTTTTCCCTAGTCCTTTGCCAGGGAGATACCCCATTTTAGTCTGATTTTTTGACTCGTGGGGCTGTATAAGGAGGCTGGGATAGTCATCTCTGCATGCCATTGTTGTAACAAGTCTCGGCCCCATAAATTAATTGGAATAGCAGTAATCATAGGTTGAACTGTACTTTCTTGATTATCAGGTCCTAGACAATGTAAAATCATGGTGCTTTGATACACTTTTGAGGCGCTGCCCACACCGACAAGTCCTGTAACAGGCTTTTGTTTAGGCCAATTTTTTGGCCATTGATTTAAGGCGATAATGGAAACATCAGCATCGGTATCCAATAATCCTATAAACTGCTTTCCCTGAATAGTGACTGTACACACAGGTCTATTCTCTGAGACCTGACGAGCCCAATGAGTGGCTTTTCCGGCAGAGTTGGTACTTCCAAACCCTCCTGTCCTTTCCGTTTTATTTTCCCCAATTTTAATATAAGGCAAAAGCAATAATTGAGCAATTCTATTACCTGGATTGGCACTCCAGGGAACAGTGGAGCTGATCACTAACTGAATTTCCCCTTTATAATCTGAATCAATTACCCCAGTATGAATTTGGACTCCCTTCAAATTTAGACTTCATCTCCCTAAAATGAGGCCTACTGTCCCTCCTGGCAGTGGGCCATATACCCCTGTAGGAATCTTTTGCGGGGTCTCTCCAGGGAGTAAAGAAACCTTTTGAGTGGAACATAAATCTACTGCTGTGCTGCCTGCTGTGGCGGGGGACAGCTGTTGTATTGTTGTAATTGGCTGATTCCCTGAAGTGGTGGTATTTGCTGTGGTGGTTGCTGTCCCTGAAAACCCTGAAGAACAAACGGCTGAATCGGGAATGCCCCAGTTTGTTGTTGGGACTGAGGCTGGCCCCTCACCCCTTTTTCTGACAATAGTTGCCCATTTTTATCATATTTAGAACGACATTGATTAGCCCAATGTTTTCCTTTTCCATGTCTTGGACACAGGCCAGGTGGCTCTTTATTTTTACTCTGTTTATTTAAGACTGGGCAGTTCTTTTTTAGATGACCGATTTGACCACAATTATAACATTTCCCCCCAAATGCTCTAACTATCCTCCTAAAGTGACTCCGGTCATTGCTTGAGCCATTAGCATTGCCTTACGCATAGCTCCTCCAATCCCATCACAAGCTTTCACATATTCCGTAATTACATCAACTCCTGCTGGACCTTTTCCTTTTAATGGCTTTATGGCTGGTTGAAATTCTGGATTTGACTTTTGATAAGCCATTATTTCTACAATAACTTTTTGAGCATTATCATCCGAAACAGATTTTTCAGAGGCATCTTGCAACCTTGCCACGGAGTCTGCATATGGCTCTTTGCAGCCTTGTCTAATTGAATTAGAAGAAGGGCAAGCGGTGCCTGGGCAAGTGATGCCTGGGCAAGTGGTGTGTGGGGCACCCAGGTGCCTGGGTCCTGAATTTTTTCCCAGTCCCTGAGGCAAAGAGCCCTTAGATATTCAATACCCTCATTCTGCATTACTGACTGTTGGCCAATTGTACTCCAATTTGGACCTGTTCCTAGCAATCGATCTGCATCTATATTAACAGCGGGATAAATAGCCTGACTTTTCGTGCCTGTTCTTGTACTCCATCAATCCACCAGGTTTTAAATTGTAGGAACTGAGAGGGTGAAAGGGAAGATTTAGCCAACATTTCCCAATCATAGGGAATAAGTCTATTTCCATGAGCAATGGGATCTAATAAAGTTCTCATATAAGGGGAGTTGGGTCCATATTGTTTAACTCCTTCCTTCATATCTTTTAACATTTTCATGGTGAAAGATTCATATCTAGCCTCAGTTTGGACAGACGCTCCAGCTTGCCCCCCTTTCCCAGCTGGTATTGGTTGTAAAATTACAAGGAACTGCCATGCCTCAAGATCTCCCTGTTTTCTGGCTTTATCAATGATTTCATGCAGTGTACTACCTTGTCCACTAGGTGGTGATGTAGGACTAAACACCGCTGGGTTGCTGGTGAGGTGCCGTGCTATGTGGCACGGGACACACAGCTTGAGGTCTGTATTGAACCTCCGGAGACGGCCCATACTGAAGCTTAGCTGGCGGCCAGTATTGATAAACTACCGGTGGTTGGGTCTTATTTTCTACCAGCTGATATTGTGGATACTGTATCTGAATTGGCATGGCCGGGATAGAGACTCTATCCTTTTCTACATGATATTCTCTTGGGGTTTGCACTTGTCTAACCTGCATTTGAGGTTGTAATGTTACAGGCATCTGAACCACTGGAGGAGGAGTTGATGGCCATTGTGGTTTAGGCTCTGGTAGCCCCAATAATTCTGGACCTCCTTCCACCAGTTTTGATGATTCAGGATATATTACCTCCTGTAACTGATTGTAGTCAACATTTTGCGTTGACTGAGCCATTACAGACTCTGTTACATTTTACAATGTGAACTTTCCATTAATTTCCGGGATTTTGTCTCTGCCTCTTCTTCACAATCTACTACACAGCTTTCAGGGGCATCAGAAATTGAAAGGCTATCTTTTTCTATTTGAAACGGTTCTAAAGTTGTTTTAATAATGGGCCAATCATTCCATACTGTAAGTGGGATGATTTTATCTTCCCTACTTGCTTGTTTTAATTCTTTGCCAATTTTCCCCCAATCTTTTAGATCTAAAGTCCTTGTTTTGGAAACCATGGGCAGAATTGTTCTATTGTTTGAAATAGCATAATTAGATTTTCTGTAGAAGCTCTAACTCCCCATCTTCTTAGAAGAATTTTAATGAAGCTGAGATAAGAGGCATATTTACTTTCAGTTTGTCCCATTGTTACCCTGGGTTCCTCTGAGCACACAAGCTTACCGCATGGCTGACCGTGGAAGTACTTGGGAATCTCTCGTTGACTGTCTTCAATGCTCACGTTTTTAGCGTACCTTCACCCTAGAGAAAGGCCCACGTTGGGCGCCAGGTGAAGGGGGTCAGCCACTCCACACCTGTGGGTATTTCTCATCAGGCAGGACAAGAGACTGAGAAAAGAAATAAGACACAGAGACAAAGTATAGAGAAAGAAAAATGGGCCCAGGGGACTGCTGCTCAGCATACGGAGGACCCACACCGGCACTGGTCTCTGAGTTCCCTCAGTATTTATTGATTACTATTTTCACTAACTCAGTAAGGGAAAAGTGGCAGGAGAGCAGGGTGATAGTGGGGAGAAAGTCAGCAAGAAAACATGTGAGCAGAGGAATCTGTGTCACAAATAAGTTCAAGGGATGGTACTATGCCTGGATGTGCACATAGGCCAGATTTATGCTTTTCTCCACCCAAACATCTCAATGGAGTAAAGAGTAACAAAGCAGCATTGCTGCCAACATGTCTCGCCTCCCACCACAGGCAGTTTTTCTCCTATCTCAGAATAGAACAAATGTATAATCAGGTTTTATACTGAGGCATTCAGTTCCCAGGGGCAGGCAGGAGACAGAAGCCTTCCTCTTATCTCAACTGCAAGAGGCCTTCCTCTTTTACTAATCCTCCTCAGCACAGACCCTTAATGGATGTCAAGCTGGGTGGAAGGTCAGGTCTTTCCCATCCAATGAGGTCATATTTCAGACTATCACATGGGGAGAAACCTTGGACAATACCTGGCTTTCCAGGGCAGGGGTCCCTGAGGTTTTTCACAGTGTATTGCACCCCTGGTTACTTGAGAATGGAGAATGGTGATGACTTTTATCAAGCATACTGCCTGTAAACCTTTTGCTAGCAAAGCACATCCTGCACAGCCCTGGATCCCTTAAACCTTGATTCTATACAACACATGCTGCTGTGAGCTCAAAGTTGGGGCTAAAGTTACAGATTAACAGCATCTCAGGGCAAAGTCAGGGTACAGATCAAAATGAAGTTTCTTATGTCTTCCTTTTCTACATAGACACAGTAACCGTCTGATCTCTCTTTCTTTTCCCTGCATACGCTAGTCTTCTTCTTTAGTCTGCTAGGTATGGGAAGGGTGTTAAGAAAGGATCTCTCATCAATATGACCTGGCCCCCAAAAAGCATGCTTGATTTTTGAATGTGGTAAAGAAATATTTAAACCATGTTTTATGTCTATATGATTATTAGTATTTATATGTTATTTTCTTTTGTTTTGTTTTGTTTTTGAGATGGAGTCTCACTCTGTCATGAGGCTGAAGTGTGGTGGCACAATCTCAGCTCACAGCAACCTACGCCTCCTGGGTTCAAGCAATTCTCCTGCCTCAGCCTCTCTAGTAGCTGGGAGTACAGGCATGTGACAACATGTCCAGCTAATTTTTGTAGTTTTAGTAGAGATGGGGTTTCACCATGTTGGCCAGGATGGTCTCGATCTCTTGATCTTGTGATTCTCCTGCCTCAGCCTCCCAAAGTGCTACTATTATAGGTATGAGCCAACAAACCCAGCCATATTTATATATTGTAGGCAGTATTTTGCTAAAAGGGAATTTTGATATCTTTATAAGACACAACTAGTTTAATTAAGGAAGGAGCACTGCCCACCATGACGACAGGTATGGGTTGGTGATGCCCTGAAGCTCCAGGTAATCAATGATGTGAATGTCCCCTTCCAAAGCAGGGGCCATGCCTTGTGCAGTGAATCTCTGTCCCAGCACAGCTAATGGTCAGAAATGGATTCTTCTCAATCTGCCCATTAGGACTGAACAGGGTCTCAGCATCTGGTTAGCAGGGAGGGACCTGAGAAGGGGCTTTACTTGAGTGACTCACACTCTTTGCCCACATAGAATGTTCCTGGCCCTGTGTGTGCATCTTGTGGGTATTCACCCACTGATCAGCCACAGAACAAAGTCAGGAGGTAACAGATTTGTAAAGAGAAGTAAAGAACAGGAGGGAATTGATAAAAATGAGGAAATTTCATTTGGATGCCTGACTTCCTGGGGCAGGACCTCATTAAAAACACAGCTCGGTGCTTCTGATTTTCTCTTTTTCTTGTCTCTTTTTCCTGAGACGGAGTCTTGCTCTATTTCCCAGGCTGCAGTGTAGTGGCTCTATCTCAGCTCACTTAAACCTCTGCCTCCTGGCTTCAAGTGATTCTCCTACCTCAGCCTCCCAAATAGCTCGGACTACAAGTGCCTGCCACCATGCTCAGCTAATTTTTTTTTTGGCCCCGAGTCTCGCCCTGTCGTCCAGGTTGGAGTGAAGTGGCACGATCTGGAGATCTCAAGTACATGGACCGGGGAGGCTGCAGGAATTTGTTTATCTTGGGCTGGGGGTGCATGGGAAGTAGGTAGGGCTCCTGTGACCACAAACCCAAGGCCTCTGGGATCAGAAGGCAACAACAAGGGCCAGGACCTACCCCGGGGCCTGTGCTTGCAGGGACCCTGGCTCTCATTTGTATGTGGGGTGCCTGAGTGATTTCAGATTCCTCACCCATCCCCATTGGCTCTTCTAGGGGAGATGCAACCATAACACCTGTAGGTGACCCTGTGTAGGAAAAGACTGCAGAACCCACACGGGCCCATGCTGAGTGAGGCTTTCTCCAGGTGGGCACAAAAACCCCTAGCTCCCCAGCCACTGCCAGAGCTTGGGGTTGGGGGCCTTACATGGAGGCAAATGCAGGGAGCATTGGCAGAGGCAGGGCTGAGTGAAAGGAGAAGAAGAGCACATGGAAAAGACACAGGGGTCTCTGACAGTTCCAGGGCCAGAGGCACTTGGGAGTGGGAGAGGCATGACTGGGAGATAGGTCCAGAGCTTTTTCTGAGCCCTGAGGCCCCAGCAGGTTTACTTCCCTTCGAAGATCTCTCTGGGCTATTGTGCCTGGGAGTCAGGGCTGGCTCTGCTGCAGCCCTGTGGGAAGGGCATAGATCCCTCAGGGTCTAAGGTTCAACTTTACTCTTATCCTCAAATGAGGGCTTTTACCCAGGGACCTCTTGTCCGCAGATTCCACGTCTTCTTGCTGGACTCCCAGAGGAAGTTGTCCTACCAGGGACATGGGATGTTATACTTTTCTCTTCCATGGAACCAGCTCTGTCAGGTAGAGTTGTGCCTTTCTAGGTGGCCACACACACACACACATACTTACCATGTGGACATTGCAGTGATGCCCACTGGGCTTCGGGTTCTTCCATAGCACCCAGCTGAAAAAAGCCTCACCTAAGGCTAAGAAGAGACCTGGCTTGGACAAAAAAATACTTAGTGCATTCCAGGTGCATCCTTATCAGCTCTAAGGCTGGGCCAGGGGAACCTGGGAAGGGATGGCCCCTGCGCTGGGACCTGTCCAAGGCTCTGTCATCATCCTGGCAGCCTTGGAAGACCAGAGGGGTCAGGTCTTCCTCTGCAAGCCAGGCAGTGTCACCACCCAGAAGTCCAGGGTGCCTCTTTAGGTCCAGAGCAGCAGCTGTGGAGTTTCCTGCTTTGTGCCTTGCCATGTTCACCAACATCACTCAATATAAACTGGGGAAAATTTCTTAATTACTGCTGGGTCTCTCTGCATTGTGGCCATGTTCTGAAGTCCAGGAGAGATGGGCTGATGGCCTTGGGATGCATAAAGTGACGCCGGCCCCATCAGCTCAGGCTGAGGGAGAAAACAGAGGCTCAGGAATATTCTAGAGAGCCTAAGCAAGGGCCTCATAGGAGCTTTGGAATCCCAGTGTGGATTCTGGGAGTGGAGAATAGGTCAGGTCGTTTCCTGAGATGGGTTTCGAAGGTTGCTCTGAGCTTGGCAGCAGATGAGCACCTCGAGAAGAACTGGTGACAGAACATGGTAGAAAAGACCCCAAGTGCAGGATTCTCACTGGGGTCCTGGGGGTGCTACTGCACCCCTTGAAATGGGCAGGAAGAGGGAGTCAGTTAGCCAGTTCTTTCCAATATTTAGCTTATTGAACACCTTGGGGGTTCCACTGAGCCCCTCACCTGAGGGGTTTGCCAATCATTTGCTGCCAGAACATGGGAAGATTTTTCTCTGGCCAAATCTCAGGTTTATCAGGTTAGAAATGGGGAAAATAGCAACGTGCCTTAGATTCTCCATGAAGAAGAGCTGAGGTCCGGGATGATCAGTACCAGCCGTCTGTTGTGCCTCGTGGATGCTCAGTGAACACAGATTCTCACAACCATTATTGGTGTTGAGCTCACCCTCAGCCTCAGGTTTACAAAGTGGGGCGTGGGAAGTAGAAGCCTCACTGGGCTCAGGTGATCCTCCCACCTCAACTTCTTGGGCAGCTTGGCCTACAGGTGCACACTGCCTCCCCCCAGCTAATATCTTGTATTTTTATTAGAGACAGGGTTTCATCACATTGCCCATATTCCTCACAAACTCCTGAGCTCTAGCACTCTGCCTTTCTTGGCTTCCCAAAGGGCTGGGATTAGAGGCCTGAGGTCTTTCTTTCTTTTCCTTCCTTCCTTCCTTTCTTTCTTTCTTTCTTTCTTTTTTCTTTCTTTCTTTCTTTCTTTCTTTCTTTCTTTCTTTCTTTCTTTCTCTTTCTTTCTTCTTTCTTTCCTTCCTTCCTTCCTTCCTTCCTTCCTTCCTTCCTTCCTTCCTTCCTTCCTTCCTTCTTTCTTTCTTTCTTTCTTTCTTTCTTTCTTTCTTTCTTTCTTTCTTTCTTTCTTTCTTGCATGCTTGCTTGCTTTTTCTTTTGTTCTTTTTTGACAGTGTCATGCCATCACCCAGGATGGAGGGCAGTGGCGCCATCTCAGCTCACTGCAACTTCACATCCTGGGTTTAAGCGATTCTCCTGCCTCAGCCTTCTGAGTAGCTGGGAGTGCAGACATCTGCCACTATGCTCGGCTAATTTTTTGTATTTTTAGTAGAGACGGAGTTTCACCGTGTTAGCTAGAATGGTCTTGATATACTGACCTCATGATCAGCCCACCTTGGCCTCTCAAAGTGCTGATGTTACAGGCATGAGCCACTGTGCCTGGGTCTGAGCTTTCTTTGTAGGCCTAATGTTGATGCTCTGATAAGAATCTCTATGTTCAATATTAGCGACAGGAAAGGACTCTAAGAAGGAGGAAACATGAATTATCAAATTAGAGTAGGAAGGGAGTGGGTGAGATTAAGATTTGGATGAAGGGTCCTGGAAAATGACTGGGGCCAATGGTTGCTGGGAAATGTTCCACTGTGGGAAGATCCCAGAGTCTAAAGGAAAGGTTTCCAGATGATAGAACAATGATGGACATATGGACCCTCGTTCATTTCTCTCTCACATCCTGTAGAGCCCACAGTTTCTACCTGGGTGGCTTCCAGCTTGGGAGAGCCTCCCTTCCCAGGTCTGGCCCCAATCTTCTCTCTGGCCTCTGCTCCAGTTCACATTCTTAGATTCCATCTTTGCAAGCTGGTTTTCTGAGAGGAGCCCATCAGTTTTGTGAGTAAACACCCTTTACCTTCTAGTAGGGCCAAGACTATACCTGCCCCCTGTGTTTTCAAAGTGAATGTTATGGTTTAAGTCTGCCCTATCTCTTTTGATGATTCTCCTTTTAATTTCTGAACTCAATCTAGGGTGGGTGAGATGGCTGATGCATGTTATCCCAGCCTTTTGGGAGGCCAAGGTGAGGAGATCACTTGAGGTCAGGAGTTTGAGACCAGCCGGGCCAACATGGTGAAACCCCATCTCGACTAAAATACAAAAATTAGTAGGGCTTGTTGGAGTGCACCCGTAATTCCCAGCTACTTGGGAGGCAGAAATGAGAGAATCACTTGAACCAGAAGGTTGAGGCTGCAGTGAGCTGAAATCGTGCCACTGCACTCCAGCCTGAGTGACAGATGTAGGCCCAGTCTGAAAATCAAACAAACAATCAATAAATAAACTCAATCTTGACAAAAGACTTTGAGTCCTGACATCTAGATGCCCACAAGATAACCGCCATGTTTTACATTGTCTTGTTTCCTTTGCAGGTTCCCATTAGAACACCTAGTCTCATTCCGCTCAGTCCCCACCTCACTTGGTCACTTTGTCCTGATTTCCTTCAGTGAAGCCTTGACTTAGTCTTGAGATAGATCACACTCTCAGTGGTTCCTTTCTTCTACCTGAATGTGCATATGATCTGCTATGTTAGATAGCATAAAACACAGGTGACCATTCGATATACACAGCTTTTTATTCTGTTTTCTTGGGAATGACATCACTATCTTCTTCAGGCTATTGTAGCTCTGAAACATTTTGACAATTTTGATGTGGCCAAACATCCTCCAATAAGGACACCTTAAGGTTTTTTTTTTTTTGGTCTAATATCAGGAACAGATTAATCCCTTCCCTACATCACTACGAAAGTCGTGTATTAGCCAAACTTCATCAGTATTTGGGGAATAAATGAACGAATGAGTTTTAGACTTTCACCCTATTATTTATTCTTTTACTTCCATAAATGTGTATCTAATTCAATCGATTAGTCAGAAGAAAGCTGAAAACTCAATCAGGATTAACTGGGTGTGACTGCAAGATCTAATCAGGTATCACTTTCTGATTGGAAGCTGGTGATTGAGAAGGGAAGGGTGGGGTTAGAAAGGTCTATAAAAGCTCCTGAGGGTACCCAGAAGAGACCCACAGCACTCATTCCTGGAGCTACTGCTTGGTTCCCTGAGAGGTCCCAGAACTCTGCAAAGTGAGTCCAGCGCTGGTAAGTCACCACCTGCTTAGGGTCATGCCCATCTGATCAGCAGCCAGCCAGTCAGGGACGGTGACACACATCCCAAAGTGGCACACAATATTTTTCTGTCTGTTTCGTGAGATGAACAGATTTAGGCTTTCATTTTTCCTCTAAATGTAGTTTTGTCTTCATCCATCAAATTGTGATTTGTGCTTGGTTTTTGTCATTTTAAAATTCTTATCGAAGCAGGTTTTTAAAAAATATATTAAAAATTTACAGTGACATGAATTTTTATTTCTTGACATTTGAAGTTATCTGTTTTTGTGCCCTTCAATTACAGTTCATAGACTTGGTGTTATTGTGATTCTCCAAGTATGCTTTCATTTTCATAAAATCCTTAAAGGTATCCCACACACCAATCTCAAGAGTGCAGTTTTGCTCAGATCATGGGATTTATCTTTGCCCCTAGGATCCATCAAAAAGTGGGTAATTGTGAGTATGTGGAAGTGATGTCTATAGGAACCTTCATCTCAGAGTTACAGTGCTCTAGAATAGCATGGTAGCACTTTTACAGTTTTTGAGATGGAGTTTCCCTATTGTTGCCCAGGCTGGAGTGCCATGGTGTGGTTTGGTTCACTGAAATTTCTGCCTCCTAGTTACATGCGATTCTCCTGCTTCAGCCTCCTGAGTAGCTTGGATTACAGGCACTCACCACCATGCCCAGCTAATTTTTGTATTTTTAGTAGACACAGGGTTTTGCCATGTTGGCCATGCTGGCCTCAAACTCCTGACCTCAGGAGATCTGCCCCCCTCAGACTCCCAAAGTGCTGGGATTACAGGAGTGAGCCACCGCGCCCAGGTACAGTTAGCATTTCTATACATACCTTCCAAATGCTGTGGAATACCATCACACCACTTTTACAGTTCCAGTGAATTATTTTGTTTTTTTTCTGCGATGTACTCTGAGTGTGTCACCCAGACTGGAGTGCAGGGCCCTGAGCTGGGCTCCCTGGAAACTCTGCCTCTGGGCTTCAAGTGATTCTCCTTCCTCTGCCTCCAGAGTAGCTAGGATTACAGTCATGCATGACCACACCTGGCTAACATTTTAATTAATTAATTTATCAATTTGTTTTTGTTTGAGTCGGAGTCCAACTCTGTCACCCAGGCTGGAGAGCAGTGGTGAGATCTTGGCTCTCTGCAACCTCTGCCTTCTGGAGTCAAATGATTCTTAATTTTTTTGTATTTAGTAGAGACATCGTTTCATTATGTAGGCCAGGCTGTTCTCGAACTCCTGACCTCAAGTGAACTGCCTGCCTTGGTGTCCAGCAGTGTTGGGATTACAGACATGAGCCACAGCACCTGGTCCATTTCTGGTAGAAAATTTTCAAAATAAAAAATAATGGCATCGATTTTAGGGAGTCCCTTTAGTGTTCCCCCAGCATGTTTATGGTGTAAACTGAGAATGGAGGCTGTCTGGGGCCACAGGACACTCTCATTCTCATTGCTTTAGGGTGGTAAGTGACAAGAAATTTTTCCTCAAAGAGGTAGAGCTTGGCTTTCAGGATCCTCAGTGGCACTGTCCGGTGGTTCTGGGATTCAGTGGAGCAATGGATGAAAATTAATAAACCAGTGGTCTCCTTGACCCCTCCCTCCTTGGTGTTTGGAAGACATTCTTCCTGGTACCAGTAGAAGCAGATGATTGTGTTTGCCATGAGAGTGATACATTTTCCCTGGATTTGTCTTCTAGAGATTTTCCTTGCAGATCTATCAGGATGAGCATCCAGGCCCCACCCAGACTCCTGGAGCTGGCGGGGCAGAGCCTGCTGAGAGACCAGGCCTTGTCCATCTCTGCCATGGAGGAGCTGCCCAGGGTGCTCTATCTCCCACTCTTCATGGAGGCCTTCCGCAGGAGACACTTCCAGACTGTGACGGTGATGGTGCAGGCCTGGCCCTTCACCTGCCTCCCTCTGGGATCACTGATGAAGACGCTTCATTTGGAGACCTTAAAAGCATTGCTGGAAGGGCTTCATATGCTGCTTACACAGAAGGATCGCCCCAGGTGAGGTGACCCAGGAGGGCTGGTAGATAGGGCTCAGGTGTCCAGGGAAAGAACAGCAGGGTCAGGCAGAGAAGTAGCCCAAGTGTAGCCCAGAGTCTTCTGATGGTGTTGGCGAGGAAGATCAGGGAGGCTTTGGCCATTGTCCAGATCCTCAGAGAAAGGACTGCTCACCATACAGGGTCCACTGTGGGAACAGAAACCTGCCTTTTCTCAGTGGAAGGTAAAGGGAATAGAAGTGGGGACCACTCAGAATCCAAAGGGAAAAGGGATCAAGAAAAGACAAAGAGAACAGGGAGCACTGAGGACATGAGCAGCTGATTTATGGGATGACAATGAAAGCAAAGGTCAGGGATTTGTCCTTCTAAATTCTGAGCCTCTCCCTTATTTTACCCACAGGAGGTGGAAACTTCAAGTGCTGGATTAGCGGGACGTTGACGGGAATTTCTGGGCCAGATGGCCTGGAGCCTGGGCCCTGTCCTGCTTCCCAGAGACCATGAGTAAGAGGCAGACAGCAGAGGACCGTCCAAGGATGGGAGAGCACCAGCCCTTAAAGGTGTTCATAGACATCTGCCTCAAGGAAATACCCCAGGATGAATGCCTGAGATACCTCTTCCAGTGGGTTTACCAAAGGAGAGGTTTAGTACACCTGTGCTGTAGTAAGCTGGTCAATTATCTAACGCCGATTAAACATCTCAGAAAGTCGTTGAAAATAATATACCTGAATAGTATTCAATAGCTGGAAATTCACAACATGTCCTGGCCACGTCTGATAAGAAAGCTTCGTTGTTACCTGAAGGAGATGAAGACTCTTGGCAAACTCGTTTTCTCCAGGTGCCATCATTCCACGTCAGATAATGAACTCGAAGGACGGTTAGTCACCAAATTCAGCTCTGTGTTCCTCGGGCTGGAACACCTCCAGTTGCTTAAAATAAAATTGATCACCTTCTTCAGTGGGCACCTGGAACAGCTGATCAGGTGAGGAAGGATCATGCATTTTTTATGCAGACCACAGCATAGCCTTGTTCTCTTACAGCAAACATTAGAAGGCGTGTACTGTGTGCCAGCCAGTGGCAACGTCACAGTGAAGGGGACACCAGAATGTCAACACATTGTCCCATTCAGTGTTCCATGTCCTGGAGTGGCTATCACAGGATCGCTCCAATAAGGGCAGAGGGGTCACCTGGGGTAGAAGCTAGAGAGGGACATCATGTACAAGCTAGTTAGTGGGGGTTTCAGCTCTATTGGGGGTGCACGTGTGAATTTCCTGTTACAAAGTGTGTTTCAAGTTGATATGATGTCAAAGAGATAATAGAGGAGGGTATGAAAGGAGGGAAAGTGCATCAAACCTGTCCATTTCACAATAGAACGTCTGTCCTCACCGGCTTAGTGATCACGAATGATCCTGTCTCTGATTCCCTGTTTGTAAAAGGTTGTTTTGAACTCCAGGAAAGGTAACTGACATGGGAAATGCGTGCTTCTGGGATGGAGGTGAGGGAGTAGGCGTGAGAGTGGTAAAAAGTGACAGTTGGTTTGCAGATGCAGGCATGTCAGGTAGCCCCTGCCGACATGTAGCCCTAGCTGATGTCCCTAGACCTTGCTGAGTTGAGTTCTTTGTTCACATCTCCCACCGGGTACCTGTGGCCCAGAGATAAAGTTTTCTGCTAAAAGATGAAAAAAAAAAAAGGCTTTAGAGATTTTATGGCCTTGACCCAATCACACAAGCAATGGTGAAAGGGCTGATTCTAAAATGGGACAGCCCCTGAGCGATCAGGGTCCTCATCATGCAGCAACTTCCATGAGGACCATCATCAGATGGTGGGAACAAACTTGTGTTTGTTTGACGCAGGCATTTTCCTAGATGAAGGCACTACCTTCATCTAACTGGTACCATTGCCCAGAACTAACTTCTTGATCTCCACAGGTGCCTCCAGAACCCCTTGGAGAACTTGGAATTAACTTATGGCTACCTATTGGAAGAGGATGTGAAGTGTCTCTCCCAGTACCCAAGCCTCGGTTACCTAAAGCATCTGAATCTCAGCTACGTGCTGCTGTTCCGCATCAGTCTTGAACCCCTCGGAGCTCTGCTAGAGAAAATTGCTGCCTCTCTCGAAACCCTCATCTTGGAGGGCTGTCAGATCCACTACTCCCAACTCAGTGCCATCCTGCCTGGCCTGAGCCGCTGCTCCCAGCTCACCACCTTCTACTTTGGCAGAAATTGTATGTCTATGGGTGCCCTGAAGGACCTGCTGCGCCACACCAGTGGGCTGAGCAAGTTAAGCCTGGAGACGTATCCTGCCCCTGAGGAGAGTTTGAATTCCTTGGTTCGTGTCAATTGGGAGATCTTGACCCCACTTCGGGCTGAGCTGATGTGTACACTGAGGGAAGTCAGGCAGCCCAAGAGGATCTTCATTGGCCCCACCCCCTGCCCTTCCTGTGGCTCATCACTGTCTGAGGAACTGGAGCTCCATCTTTGCTGCTAGGGAAGGCATGCCCAGTGGGGTAGAGAAATCCAAAGTTCTCTTCCAGGCACTTGGACACTAAAATCTACTATGTAGGTGCAAGCTATTTTTCTCTTTTCTTATTTATTTCATTTTTTAATAATTCCAAAATTTTTATTAAAGACAATTTGAGACAGGGTTTCTCTGTGTTGCTCTGGGATCCTCCTGCCTCAGCTGGGCTTATGGGATCCTCCTGCCTCAGCTTCCTAAAGTGCTGGGATTACTGGCATGAGTGACTGTGTCCAGGCCACATGCAACTTAAAGGAAGCACAGGGAAGTGCTCAGTGTGAGGGAGAAAACATAACAGCAGGGGGCAAGGCTGGAGGAAAATGTTGAGGTGACATCAATGAGAACTTCAGGGACCCGTGTCCTACAGAGTCGGAAAGAGAAGCTAAAGTTCTACAGTGATGAGAATGTTATCCCTGCAAGGATGGTTACCAAGGAATATCAGAAATAAAGAGCACCTGAATGAAAACTTTTAACGTGTTGTAGCAATTTATCCACCAGAAATATCTAGTTATTGAGTTACTGATGGAAAAATAATGAAATACTACTTTGTCTGTGATTGAGTTTCAGCTGTAGAACATCAAAGCAACCAAATAAAATTTGATCATTTTAAGTATTTCCCACCCATTCTTGTTCTTTGTTTTGTTTTGGAGACAAAATCTCAGTTTGTCATTTAGGCTGGAGTGCAGTGGTGCAATCTGGGCTCATTGCAATCCTTTCCTTCAGGGCTCAAGTGATTCTTGTGCCTCAACCACTCAAATAGCTGGGACTGCAGGCACGTTCCACCAAGACTGGCTGATTTTTGTATTTTTAATAGAGATGAGGTTTTTCCGTGTTGATCAGCCTGGTCTCAAGATCCTGGCTTCAAGTGATCCACTGACCTTGGCCTCCCAAAGCGCTAGGAAAACAGGCATACAGATGATCTCCACCCATTCTTTACTTCTCTTCAGTCATCAGTTTTTTTCTTACTTTTTTGCCCACGGGGAGCAGCTCGGTCAGGCGCGAAGGGACGGGCAGAGAGGGGCCCCAAGGAGAAGATAGGAATGGGGTGGTGCCACGCTCGCACAAGATGTGCGGATGCCAGGCCCAGAAGGCATAGCTGGGGCCATCCATCAGGGGGCCAGGGTGAGAAGCAGAAATGGCACCTGCTTCAAGGACCTGGCCAGCTATCTGGTCACTGTGCCCATCCTGCTAACGGTGTCAAGCTCCCAGGTCTTGAAGGGAGGTTCTATGCGGATCCACCCCAGGCTGTGTTTCCGAGATCCGCCCCCCATAGGGGTGACCAGCCCGATTGCTGGGCCTGGAACCATGAACCACTCCTGGAGGCACTCCCCTTGACTGGGTCATGAGCCAGGCCTGTGCTCCATTTCCCTGAGGCAGCCAACTGTGCCACCCACACCCTCTCATCGCAAAATGGAACCTTGTCCCAGGTCTGGAGTCTCCACCACAGCCTCTACTTCACTGCTCACTGCCTGCTGTTAGCCTGCAAGCTCCTGGATGATAGTGCAGTTGGGGCTGGTTAAACCACACCCAGGAGCATTGGGTTTGTTTGTGCGGGGTTGGTCAGAGCTGCTGTGTATCTGCTTCTCAACTGTCACTTCTGCAGGGAAACACAGAGAAAGGGCACATCCAAGGCTGCGTACACTTCAGAGCTGATGGGAGCCTGGGACAAGAGGGAGTCCTGGTCCTCCTGAGTTGGCAGGGCAGTAGCTCCAAAGACGCAACTGAAGTTGTCCAGGTCACAGTTACCAAATGAGGTCCCCCAGTACTCTCGAGGGTCCAGGAGATCCCCCCTTCTCCTGCAGCTTGGGGGTGTCCGCTCTCACTGCCTCATCTCTCATGGCACCTGCTCTAATTTTGGAGTGTGGTTGTGGTCAAGCCCAGATGCTGTCGCAGCCCAGGTGGGTCTGTGCACACTCGGGTCAGTGCTGATGCACCATCCCACTGCTGTCTTGAACCCTCTGGACTTTGGGCCTTGATGAGTGTAGGAGGGAGGCTGAGGGGTGTTGCGGACTGATCAGCACTGGTCTTTGGATGCTCCTTGGTACAAGTGACCTGGGCTCCATGGTTGGTGGTGGGAGGCAGACAGAATCCTGGACAGGAAGGTGAGGGTCACTGGTGAAGCTCCACCTTCTGATCAAGGAGGGCCTGAAGCCCATGGGCTGGGCCACCAGTCCTATGGACCAGAGTGGGAACATGTGTTGCCTTTTCTGTGCCTGCTCATGGCCACCTATGACCCAATGAGTGCATACTTTCTCCTGTCTGATGTCAAAAAAACCCCAGACTCAGGGAGAACATTAGGAAGACCAGTGGCAGAGAGGAACTACCCACTGTGGGGATGATTTTCCTGTAGAGACAAGCAACCCCCTCCGGGTCCTTTTCTCTGCTGAGAGCTGTAGAGATGATGAGATGACTTTCCTGCAGAGAGCAGCAACCCACTCCAGGGCCTTCTCTCTACTGAGAGCAGTGGTGATGATGGAATAACCTGCCAGGAGGGAGGGGTCACCCACCCAGGGCCTCCTCTCTGCTCAGTACTAAACACTCATCAGGACGCCCTGGCTGCAGAAAGAAGTTACCCACTGTGGGTCTCTGAGCTGTTCTATTGCTCAATAAAGCTCCTCTTTATCTCACTCACCCTCCACTTGTCTGCATATTTCACTCTTCCTGGTCACAGGACAAAAACTTGAGACCCGCCTAATGGTGGGGTAAAAGAGCAATAACACAAATAAAGCTGAAACATGCCCCTTGCTCACCAAATTGTAGGTGAAGAGAAAAAGAGAAGAGCGACTACTCTTCCAGGAGCCCAGATGTGGGAGCTTCCTGAGCCAGGGCTGTGACTCCCTTTTGGGGGTTCTGCAGTTCCTGGCATTTCCAAGCTTTCAGTGTTGGTGTCACTGTGTATTCCAGTGACAACCATGGAAGCTGTTTGTGCTGTGCCTGATTCATTTGCAGCCTTGCAGAAATCTGGCACACATGCTGACACCTGGAGCTGCCCAACCCACTGCTGCAGCAGCAGCAGCCGGTGACCGTCCAAAGTGGCCAGACCCCCTGCTCACTCACACACCCCTCACCACTCCAGCCCTGACCCGCCCTTAATAGGCATGTGCTCCAGGCTTGAAACATGAGCCAAGCATAGTCTACCAGGCTGCATGGGCAGAACGAACCCAGTGAACCCCATCAAAACTCTGGCAAAGGTGCCCCCAGCCACAGAGGTTTCTGGCCAGAAGAGTCACATTCTAAGTATTCCAGAAGAGAAAATTACTTAAACACAAAGAAAGACAATAAGAAAAGGATGGAAGAGAGAAGTCTCTAAACAACCAAAAAACAAGAAATGAAATGGGAGCACTAAGCCTTTATCAATAAAAACAATGAATATAATTTATCTCAATTCTGCAAGTGAAAGGCATAGGGTCTTTGAATGAGTAAAAACATAAAACCCTACTATATGCTGTTTTCCAGAAACTTAATTCACCTATAAACATACATGTAGATGGAAAGTGAATGGGTAGAATAAGATATTCCATGCAACTGGAAACCAAAAACAGCAAGAGTAGCTGTACTTATATCAGGTAAAATAGATGCCAAATCTCACAATGCACTCAGATAAAACAGAATACAAATCTGAGCTTGTAAAATAATAGACTACGCTTACACAAACTATGCCTAGAAAGAACATACATCAAAATAATAGAAGCCAAAAATGACAAATCCACATGCAACATCATATTGAATGAAGAAACGTTGAAAGTATTCCTGCTAGGAACTACAAGCAGACAAAAATCCTCACTTTATCCACTTGTAATCAACATAGGACTGAAAATTTTTGTCAGAGCAATCTGGTAAGCAAAAGGAATAAAGTATAATTAAATTGGAAAGAAGGAAGTGAAACTACCTGTGTTTGCCAATGATGTGATCATATGTGCTTAGAAAACTGGAAAGATTCCACCAAGACTCATAGATGCGATAAGTGAATTCACTTAAATCTCAGGTACAAAATCAATATGTACAAATAAGTACCACTGTTTGATACCAACAACAAGCAAGCTGAGAATCAATTCAAGAACTCCATCCCTTCACAATAGTTGCAAAACAACAACAAAAACAGTGACAATAACAAAAACAACCTAGGAATACACTTAACCATTAGGTAAAGGATCTCTATGAGATGAACTACAAGACACTGCTGAAAAAAATCATAGACAACAAAAAAGTAGAAAAACAGCCCATGCTCACGGATTGACAGACACAATATTGTGAAAATGACCACACTGCCCAAAGCAATCTAAAAACTGCAAACATCAAACATCAATCTAAAAACGTCAGTCTAAAAATTTCATACACCAAAATACAAACACCATTTTCACAAGATTAAAAAAAGAATCCTAAGATTCATATGGAGATGAAGAAGAGCCTGAAGAGCCAAAGCAATCCGAAGCAAAATGAACAAATATGGAGACATCACATTACCTGACTTCAATTTATACAGTAAGGCAATAGTAAGCAAAACTGCGTGGTGCCAGTATGAAGGTCGAGACATAGACCAATGGAATGGAATAGAGAACCCCGGAATAAAGCCGCATACTTACAACCCAGCGGTAGGACTGCTGCTTCTCAGTTTGTGCTGAGTGATGCCCCTTGGGGATATGGGGCCAAAGTTACTGGATTTTTCCCCCAAGAAAACCAGAGAGTGAATTGTGATATCCTGTGTGATTTTTAGACTGACTATTGCCATAGTGCTTAGGTCGTCTCCAGGTGCCCAGAGACTCAATCACCAACCAGTGTCCACATTCTTGTCACCGCTGCAAGAAAGAGTTTAGGAAGTAGGCAGAATGAAGCAAAAGGCAAGAAGTGTCTATTGCAAAGCAAAGGAACACACTCAAGAGAGGGCTTATTCAGGAGAGCGAGTCAGGTACAAGAGAGTTTGGGTTTCTAATTTTATAGGATCTGTAAGGAGAGGTTGAAATAATCATTAGGATTTTAAGAAAAAATGGTGAAGTTTTCTTAGAACTGAGGTGTCATTTATTTATTTATTTATTTATTTATTTATTTATTTATTTATGTTTTGAGATGGAGTTTCGCTCTTGTTGCCCAGGCTGGAGTGCAATGGCGCGATCTTGGCTCACTGCAATCTCCGCCTCCCGTGTTCAAGCAATACTCCTGCCTCAGCCTCTGGAGTAGCTGGGGTTACAGACATGCACCACCACACTCGGCTAATTTTGTATTTTTAGGAGAGACGAGATTTCTCCATGTTGGTCAGGGTGGTCTCAAACTCCCGACACCAGGTTATCCGCCTGCCTCAGTTTCCCAAAATGTTGGGATTACAGGCATGAGCCACTGCACGTGGCTAGGTGTTAACTATTTTTATACTAAATATGGGCATTCTCAGAACCGTCCTGGCGCTGGTGTGTGACTTACTGTCATAATAGGTGTATAATTAGGCCTGGGGTAGGGCAAGGGTCAAACCCAGTGCCATGTCTGACCAATTCAGTGTCAGCCAGCTTAGCCCCTTCCTGCTTGTTTGGATCTTATGGGTCAAGGCTTATCCTTATTCTTGCAGCTAATTTTACAAGCTCTTTTCTTGCTGCTATATGAAATCACTGCTTGATATTTTCATGCTTCTCCTGTGACCAGCCAGCTTTCCTATTTTATGGGTATTTCTTTTCTTCTCCCTTCCCTTCCCTTCCCTTCCCTTCACCTCCTCTCCCATCCCCTCCCCTCCACTGTCTTTTCTTTTCCTTTCTTTCTTTCTTTCTTTCTTTCTTTCTTTCTTTCTTTCTCTCTCTCTCTCTCTCTCTTTCCTTCCTTCCTTCCTTCCTTCCTTCCTTCCTTCCTTCCATCTTTCTTGCTTCATCTCTTTCTTTCTTTCTTTCTTTCTTTCTTTCTTTCTTTCTCTTTCTTTCTTTCTTTCTTTCTTTCTTTCTTTCTTTCTTTCTTTCTTTTTTTCTTTCTTTCTTTCTTTCTTTCTTTCTTTCTTTCCACTTTAAGTTCTGGGATACATGTGCAGAACGTGCAGTTTTGTTACATACGTATACACATGCCATGGTGGTTTGCTGTACCCATCAACCCGTCATCTACATTAGGTATTTCTCCTAATGCTACCCCTCTCCTAGCCCTCCACACCCCGAGAGGCCCTGATGTGTAGTGTTCCCCTACCTGTGACCATGAGTTCTCATTGTTCAACTCCCACTTATGTGGTGTTTTGGTTTACTGTTCCTGTGTTAGTTTGCTGAGAATGATGGTTTCTAGCTTCATCCATGTCCCTGCAAAGGAAATGAACTTATTTTTTATGACTGCATAGTATTCCATGATGTATATGTGCCACATTTGCTTTATCCAGTCTATCATTGATGGGCATTTGGGTTGGTTCCAAGTCTTTGCTGTTGTGAATAGTGCTGCAATAAACATACTTGTGCATGTGTCTTTATAGTAGAAGGATTTATAATCCTTTGGATATATACCCAGTAATGAGATTGCTGGATCAAATGGTATTTCTGGTTCTAGATCCTTGAGGAATTGCCACACTGTCTTCCACAATGGTTGAACTAATTTACACTCCCACCAACAGTGTCAAAGCATTCCTATTTCTCCACATCCTTTCCAGCATCTGTTGTTTCCTGACTTTTTAATGATCACCATTCTAACTGGCATGAGATGGTATCTCACTGTGGTTTTGATTTGCATTAGAGAAATGCAAATCAAATGACCAGTGGTGATGAACATTTTTTCATATGTTTGTTGGCTGGATAAATGGTTTTTTTGGAGAGTTGTCTGTTAGTATCCTTCACCCACTTTTTGACAGGGTTGTTTGTTTTTTTCTTGTAAATTTGCTTAAGTTCCTTGTAGATTCTGGATATTAGCCATTTGTCTGATGGATAGATTGCAAAAAATTTTCCCATTCTATAGGTTGCCTGTTGACTCTGATGATAGTTTCTTTTGCTGTGCAAAAGCTCTTTATTTTAATTAGATCCCATTTGTCAATTTTGGCTTTTGTTGCCATTGGTTTTAGTGTTTTAGCCATGAAGTCTTTGCCCATGCCTATGTCCTGAATGGTATCACCTAGGTTTTCTTCTAGGGTTTTTATGGCTTTAGGTCTTACATTTAAGTCTTTAATCCATCTTGAGTTAATTTTTGCATAAGGTGAAAGGAAGGGGTTCATTTGCAGTTTTCTGCATATGGCTAGCCAGTTTTCCCAACACCGTTTATTAAATAGGGAATCCTTTCCCCATTGGCTGTTTTTGTCAGGTTTGTCAAGGTTCAGATGGTTGTAGATGTGTGGCATTATTTCTGAGTCCTCTGTTCTGTTCCATTGGTCTACATATCTGTTTTGATAACTGTACCATGTTGTTTTGGTTACTGTAGCCTTGTCGTATAGTTTGAAGTCAGGTAGCGTGATGCCTCCAGCTTTGTTCTTTTTGCTTAGGATTGTGTTGTGTATACAGGTTCTTTTTTGCTTCCATATGAAGTTTTAAGTAGTTTTTTCTAATTCTGTGAAGAAACTCCATTACAGCTTGATGGGGATAGCATTGAATCTATAAATCACTTTGGGCAGTATGGCCATTTTCATGATATTGATTCTTCAGACCCATGAGCGTGGAATGTTTTTCCATGTGTTAGTGTCCTCTCTTATTTCCTTAAGCAGTGGTTTGTAGTTCTCCTTGAAGAGGTCCTTCACATCCCTTGTAAGTTGTATTCCTATGTATTTTATTTTCTTTTAGCAATTGTGAATGGGAGTTCACTCATGATTGGCTCTCCGTTTGTCTATTGTTGATGTATAGGAATGATTTTGATTTTTGCACATTGATTTTGTATCCTGAGACTTTGTTGAAGTTGCTTATCAGCTTTAGGAGATGTTGGGCTGAGATGATGGGGTTTTCTAAATATACAATCATGTCATCTGCAAACAGAGACAATTTGACTTCCTCTCTTCCTATTTGAATACTCTTTATTTCTTTCTCTTGCCTGATTGCCCTGGCCAGAACTTCCAATACTATGTTGAATAGGAGTGGTGAGAGGGGGCATCCATGCATTGTGCTGGTTTTCAGAGGGAGTGCTTCTAGCTTTTGCCCATTCAGTATGATATTGGCTGTGGTTTTGTCATAAATGGCTCTTATTATTTTTACATACGTTCCATCAATACCTAGTTTATCTAGAGTTTTTAGCCTGAAAGGGTGTTGAATTTTATCGAAGGCCATTTCTGCACATATTGAAACAATCATGTGGTTTTTGTCATTGGTTCTGTTTATGTGATGGATTACGTTTATTGATTTGCGTAAGTGGAACCAGCCTTGCGGATCAGGGATGAAGCCGACTTGATATTGGTGGATAAGCTTTTTGACGTGCTGCTGGATTCGGTTTGCCAGTATTTTATTGAGGATTTTTGCATCGATGTTAATCAGGGATATTGGTCTCAAATTCCCTTTTTTTGTTGTGTCTCTGCGAGGCTTTGGTGTCAGGATGATGCTGGCCTCATAAAATGAGTTAGGGAGGATTCCCTCTTTTTCTATTAAGTGGAATAGTTTCAGAAGGAATGGTACCAGCTCCTCCTTGTACCTCTGATAGAATTCGACTGTGAATCCATCTGGTCCTGGACTTTTTTTGGTTGGTAAGCTATTAATTATTTCCTCAATTTCAGAGCCTGTTATTGGTCTATTCAGAGATTCACCTTCTTCCTGGTTTATTCTGGGGAGGGTGTATGTGTTGAGGAATTTATCCATTTCTTCTAGATTTTCTAGTTTATTTGCATAGAGGTGTTTATAGTATTCTCTGATGGTAGTTTGTCTTTCTGTGGGATCCGTGGTGATATGCCCTTTATCATTTTTTATTGCATCTATTTGATTCTTCTATCTTTTCTTTATTAGTCTTGCTAGCAGTCTATCTATTTTGTTGATCTTTTCAAAAAACCAGCTACCGGATTCATTGATTTTTTGAAGGGGTTTTTGTGTCTCTATTTCCTTCGGGTCTGCTCTGATCTTAGCTATTTCTTGCTTTCTGCTGGCTTTTGAATATGTTTGCTCTTGCTTCTCTAGTTCTTTTAATTGTGATGTTCGGTTGTCAATTTTAGATCTTTCCTGCTTTCTCTTGTGGGCATTTAGTGCTATAAATTTCCCTCTACACACTGCTTTGAATGTGTCCCAGAGATTCTGGTATGTTGTGTCTTTTTTCTCATTGGTTTCAAAGAATGTCTTTATTTCTGTCTTCATTTCGTTATGTACCCAGTAGTCATTCAGGAGCAGGTTGTTCAATTTCCATGTAGTTGAGCGGTTTTGAGTGAGTTTCTTTTATTATTATTATTATGCTTTAAGTTTTAGGGTACATGTGAACAACGTGCAGGTTTGTTACATATGTATACGTGTGCCATGTTGGTGTGCCGCACACATTAACTCGTCTTTTAGCCTTAGGTATACCTCCTAATGCTATCCTATGCAGCCATAAAAAATGATGAGTTCATGTCCTTTGTAGGGACATGGATGAAGCTGGAAACCATCATTCTCAGCAAACTATCACAAGCACAAAAAACCAAACACTGCATGTTCTCGCTCATAGGTGGGAATTGAACAATGAGAACACATGGACACAGGAAAGGGAACATCACACACTGAGTGAGTTTCTTAATCCTGAGTTCTAGTTTGATTGCACTGTGGCCTGAGAGACAGTTTGTTATAATTTCTGTTCTCTTACATTTGCTGAGGTGTGCTTTACTTCCAACTATGTGGTCAATTTTTGGAATAAGTGCAGTGTGGTGCTGAGAAGAATGTATATTCTGTTGATTTTGGATGGTGAGTTCTGTAGATGTCTATTAGGTCCGCTTGGCGCAGAGCTGAGTTCAATTCCTGTATATCCTTGTTAACTTTCTGTCTCATTGATGTGTCTAATGTTGACAGTGGGGTGTTGAAGTCTCCCATTATTATTGTGTGGGAGTCTAAGTCTCTTTGTAGGTCTCTAAGGACTTGCTTTATGAATCTGGGTGCTCCTGTATTGGGTGCATCTATATTTAGGATAGTTAGCTCTTCTTGTTGAATGGATCCCTTTACCATGATGTAATGGCCTTCTTTGTCTCTTTTGATCTTTGTTGGTTTAAAGTCTGTTTTATCCGAGACTAGGATGGCAACTCCTGCCTTTTTGTGTTTTCCATTTGCTTGGAAGATCTTCCTCCATCCCTTTATTTTGAGCCTATGTGTGTCTCTGCATGTGAGATGGGTTTCCTGAATACAGCACACTGATGGGTCTTGACTCTTTATGAAATTTGCCAGTCTGTGTTTTTTAATTGGAGCATTTAGCCCATTTACATTTAAGGTTAATATTGTTATGTGTGAATTTGATCCTGTCATTATGATGTTAGCTGGTTATTTTGCTCTTTAGTTGATGCAGTTTCTTCCTAGTATCGATGGTCCTTCCAATTTGGCATGTTTTTGAAGTGGCTGGTACCAGTTGTTCCTTTCCATGTTTAGTGCTTCCTTCAGGAGCTCTTTTAGGGCAGGCCTGGTGGTGACAAAATCTCTCAGCATTTGCTTGTCTGTAAAGGAATTTATTTCTCCTTCACTTATGAAGCTTAGTTTGGTTGCATATGAAATTCTGGGTCAAAAATTCTTTTCTTAAGAATGTTGAATATAGGCCCCCACTCTCTTCTAGCTTGTAGAGTTTCTGCTGAGAGCTCCGCTGTCAGTCTGATGGGCTTCCCTTTGTGGGTAACCCGACCTTTCTCTCTGGTTGCCCTTAACATTTTTTCCTTCATTTCAACTTTGGCGAATCTGACAATTATGTGTCTTGGAGTCGCTCTTCTCAAGGAGTATCTTTGTGGCATTCTGTGTATTTCCTGAATTTGAATGTTTGCCTGCCTTGCTAGATTGGGGAAGTTCTGCTGGATAATATCCTGAAGAGTGTTTTCCAGCTTGGTTCCATTCTCCCCATCACTTTCAGGTACACCTGTCAGACATAGACTTGGTCTTTTCACATAGTCCCATATTTCTTGGAGGCTTTGTTCATTTCCTCTTATTCTTTTATCTCTGAACTTCTCTTCTCGCTTCATTTCATTCGTTTGATCTTCCCTCACTGATACCCTTTCTTCCAGTTGATGGAATCAGCTACTGAGGCTTGTACATTTGTCACGTGGTTCTCGTGCCATGGTTTTCAGCTCCATCAGGTCCTTCAAGGACTTCTCTGCATTGGTTATTTTAGTTAGCCATTCATCTAATTTTTTTTCAATGTTTTTGACTTCTTTGCCATGGGTTCGAACTTCCTCTTTTAGCTCAGAGTCGTTTGATCATCTGAAGCCTTCATCTCTCAACTCATCAAAGTCCTTCTCCCTCTAGCTTTGTTCCATTGCTGGTGAGGAGCTGCGTTCCTTTGGAGGAGGAGAGGAACTCTGATTTTTAGAGTTTCCCGTTTTTCTGCTCTGTTTTTTCCCCATCTTTGTGGTTTTATCTACCTTTGGTCTTTGATGATGCTGATGTACAGACTGGGTTTTGGTGTGGATGTCCTTTCTGTTTGTTAGTTTTCCTTCTAACAGTCAGGACCCTCAGCTGCAGGTCTGTTGGAGTTTGCTGGAGGTCCACTCCAGAAGCTGTTTGCCTGGGTATCAGCAGCAGAGGCTGCAGAACAGTGGATATTGGTGAACAACAAATGTTGCTGCCCGATCGTTCCTGTGGAAGTTTTGTCTCAGAGGAGTACCTGGCCATGTGAGGTGTCAGTCTGCCCCTGCTGGTGGGTGCCTCCCAGTTAGGCTACTTAGGGGTCACAGACCCACTTGAGGAGTCAGTCTGTCCATTCTCAGATCTCCAGCTGCGTGCTGGGAGAACCACTACTCTCTTCAAAGCTGTCAGACAGGGACATTTAAGTCTACAGAGGATTCTGCTGCCTTTTGTTTGGCAATGCCCTGCCCCCAGAAATGGAGTCTGTGGAGGCAGGCAGGCCTCCTTGAGCTGCAGTGGGCTCCACCCAGTTCCAGCTTCCTGGCTGCTTTGTTTACCTACTCAAGCCTCAACAATGGCAGGCTCCCCTCCCCCAGCCTTGCTGCCGCCTTGCAGTTTGATCTCAGACTGCTGTGCTAGCAATGAGTGAGGCTCCGTGGGCATAGGACCTTTTGAGCCAGACACGGGATATAATCTCCTGGTGTGCCATTTGCTAAGACTGTTGGAAAAGCGCAGTATTAGGGTGGGAGTGACCGGATTTTACAGGTGCCATCTGTCACCCCTTTCTTTGACTAGGAAAGGGAATTCCCTGACTCCTTGCACTTCCCAGGAGAGGCAATGCCTCATGCTGCTTTGGCTCATGCTCGGTGCACTGCACCCACTGTCCTACACCCACTTTCTGACACTCCCCAGTGAGAAGAACCTGGTACCTCAGTTGGAAGTGCAGAAATCACCCGTCTTCTGCACCGCTCAGGCTGGGAGCTGTAGACTGGAGCTGTTCCTATTTGGCCATCTTGGCTCAACCCCCTAGTTAATTTTTGTGTCTTTAATAGAGACAGGGTTTCATCATATTGGCCAGAGTCGTCTTGAACTCCTGACTGAAGTGATCCACCCACCTCAGTCTCTGCAAGTGCTGGGATTACAGATGTGAGCCACTGTGCCTGGTCAATTGCTGGACGTTCATGATACACCTGGAGTATCCACAGTATCACAAGGGCCATTTTTTTCCATAATCCAATTTATTTATATTATTGGTAGTGAGCTAATGTTGATGTCCCCAAGGTAGCAATTTAGTGACTATACCCATGATAAACGTTTCCATGCATCACGTGGTCAACAGCATTTGCTACCAAGTGCCACGTTCCATGCTCAGCAGTGGGAACACAGGATGATGGAGACAAAGTTCCTGACCTTTAGCAGCAATATCGAACAAGTGAGATTGTCAAGAAAGAAGAAATAATTGTAAAACATACCATACCCCTACAATTCCGTAATCATGCTCCTGGATATTTAATGAAGTGAGTAAACCCACACCTGGATGTTTACAGCAACTTACTCATAATCGCCAAAACTTGGAAGCTAGCAAGTTGCCCTTCGGTCAGTGACTGGATAAGCAAACTGATCCATCCAGTCAGTGAACTATTATAAAGCTGTAAAAAGACATGAAAAATTCCTAAATGCACGTTATTGTACAAGTGAAAGAAGGCAATCTGAAAAGACTCATCCTGTTAGACATTCCAGAAAAAGCTTTTGCATTTTTCTAAGGAGACAGTAGAAAGCCCAGTGGATGCAAGGGGTTGGGAGCACAATGGGATGAATGGGAAGAGGACAGAGGAATTTTAGGGAAAGAAAACTACTGTCCATGATGCTCTAATGGTGGATACATGTCATTATCCCTTTGTTAAAATCCATAGAATGTACAAAACCAGCAATGATCCCTCATGTGAACTATGGACATTGGGTGATAATGATGTGTCCCTGTGGCTCATTGGTTGTGATGAATGCTCTGTGCTGGTGTGGGTGCTGATCCTGTGGGGGTGCTGTGTATTGAAGGGGGAAGAAGGTAGATGAGAACTCTGCAGTTTCTGCTTAGTTTTTCTGTGAATCTAAAACTGCTGTAAAGGAAAAAATAGGCTGGGTGTGGTGGCTCACGCCTATAGTCGTAGCATTTTGGGAAGCCGAGGCAGGTGGATCACCTGAGGTCAGGGGTTCCAGACCAGCCTAGCTAAAATGACAAAACCCTGTCTCTACTAAAAAAAATAATAATAATAATACAAAAATTAATCAGGTGTGGTGTTGCATGCCTGTAATCCCAGCTACTCTGGAGGCTGAGACAGGAACATTGCTGGGACCCTGGAGGCAGAAGTTGCAGTGAACAGAGATCGTACCTCTGCACTCCAGCACGGATGACAGAAGGAGACTCCATCTCCAAAATAAATAAATAAATAAACTCAAGGCTGGGTGCGGTGGCTCATGCCTATAAGAGCTCACTCCCAGCAATTTAGGAGGCCGAGGCAGGTGGATCGCTTGAGCCCAGAATTTCAAGACCAGTCTGGGCAACATGTTGAAGCCTGGTCTTCACTAAGAATACAAAAATAAGTCAGGCATGATGGTGCATGCCTGTTGTTCCAGCTACTAGGGGGACTGAGGCAGGGAGATCACCTGAGCCTAGGAGGTCAAGGCTGCAGTAAGCCGTGATCATGCCACTGCACTCCAATCTGGACAACAGAGTGAGACTTTGTCTCCAAATAAAATAAAATAAAATAAAATAAAATAAAATAAAATAAACTCAATATTTTTTAAAACTGTAATGTTTCCTTTCAAAGCTAAAATTGTATTATTCTAAATATATTTTAAAGAAGAAATGATTATTGTTCAGTGTCTTTAAAATTAGTTTTTAAAATCTCATTTGTTTTGACATTTCAAACCAAGTTAAGTATTCTTTTTCTCACCCTCCTTGAGACGGAGTCTTCCTCTTTCACCCAGGCTGGAGTGCAGTGGTGCATTCTTGGCTCACTGCAACCTTTGCCTCGCAGGTTCAAGCGATTCTCTTGCCTCAGCCTCCTGACTATCTGGGATTACAGGCACCTGTCACCACGCCAGGCTAATTTTTTGTATTTTTCGTAGAGACCGGGTTTCATCATGTTGGCCAGGCTGGTCTGGAACTCCTGACCTCGTGATCTGCCCACCTCGGCCTCCCAAAGTGCCAGGAATACAGGCATGAACCACCACACCTGGCCATTAACCATTCTTGAAATATCACGTTGCATTCTTTAAAAGTTCTAATCTTTCATATACATAAATTACAACACAAATATTTATACTCTAATAGTATTCACATTATAGTAAATTTTTTTTCATGCTCTGTCGCCCAGGCTGGAGTGAAGTGGTGCAATCTCGTCTCATTGCAACCCTCACCTCCCGGGTTCAAGTGATTGTCCTGCCTCAGCCTCCTGAATACCTGGGATTACAGGCGAATGCCACCACTCCCAGCAAATTTTGTGTATTTTTAGTAGAGATGGGGTTTCACCATGTTGGCCAGGCTGGTCTCAAAATCCTGAGGCTGCCTTGGCCTCCCAAAGTGGTGGGATTAGAAGTGTGAGACACCATGCCCGGCCATAATAATAAATTTTATTTTATCTTTTTTTTTGAGATGGAGTTTTGCTAGGGTTGCCCAGGCTGGAGTGCAATGGCTCAGTCTGAGCTCACCACAACCTCCACCTCCAGATTCAAATGATTCTCCCGCCTCAGCCTATCGAGTAGCTGCAATTACAGACGTGCGCCACCACGCCTGGCTAATTTTTTGTATTTTAAGTAGAGAAGGGGTTTCTTCATGTTGCTCAGGCTGGTCTCAAACTCCCAACCTCAGGTGATCCACCTGCCTCAGCCTCCCAAAGTGCTGGAATTACAGGCGTGAGCCACTGCACCTGGCTCATAATAGTACATTTTTGAAAACACCATAAAATATAATCCTTGCAACACTCAATTATACCATCTGGTCGGATCTATCAGCAGATGGCACCCGAGACATACGGATTGGAAATTTTGATCTTATTATGAATGAATCCAGTCCAGAAATGCCCACCCTGCCCCCTGCTGGCTCCTGGGGCTCTGCTCTTTGGGGGAATCATGATGAAATTGTGGCAGAGAGTAGAAGTTGAGCCCCATTGCATGCCCTGAGTTCTTGTTGCCTCTCTATTATCAGGAAAAGGAGGTGAGATTGAAAGATGAAAAGTGCTGGGACTTCTGCTGAGAAGAGAAAAAAGAACAAGATGTATTGATCTTACTGTATGCCAGACCCCATGCCAAGCCCTAAACATGAACCATCTCATTGGATCCTACCAAGGTCCCATAAGCTGTTGGACATCATCATCCTCATTTTACAGGAAGCTGAGGCTCTAGGCTAACATCCCTGACAGCAACACCAGCCCCTGAGTACTCAGCAGGATCCTTCACTTGGGTGCCCATTATGCAGAATTCCTCAGCACAGGGAAGGTCACTCATCACCCACAGGCCCTTGATCGTTATCCACCCTTTGATGCTGTCAGATTCCAGAACACGCTGCACTAGTACTAGTCTCTTCCTTCATAGGGAGAGAGGGGAGGTGTTATGAGAAAATCTCTCATCAATCTGACCTAGCTCCCCAAAAAGATGTAACTTTTAAAATGTCAGATGGAAATATTTAAAAAGTGTTACATGCCTGTATAGTTTTAGTATTTTACTTAAAGGGAATGTGGCTGTCTTTACTGGCTACAACCAGTTTAATTCAAGAAGGGCTGCTGGTCATCAGGAGAACAAGCAAGGGTTGATGCTGCCCAGAGTCTCCAGCTAATACACAATATGGACATCCCCTTCCAGGGCAGTGGGAAGAGAGTGGGTCCTTGTGCAGTGAAGCTGACATCCACCAAATAAGGCTTCTGGAAGCATGTGGAGACTCACAGGGAGTGGGCAGGGTCTCAGCATCTGGCTAGCGGTGAAAGACCCTGAGAAGAAGGTGCTGTCCGTGTGGATTGGCTCACTGTTCTTGCCCAGTAATGTTCCAGGCCTTTGGTGTCCACCTAGTGTGTATTAACCCACTGAACAGCCACAGAAACTAACAAGGAGTTAACAGACATCTAAAGAAGTGAAGAACTAGAGGAGGCCAACCCAAGCGTGGTGGTCCACGCCTATACTCCCTGCATTTTGGGAGGCCAAGGCAGGAGAATCACAAGCTCAGGAGTTCCAGATCAGCCTGGGGAAGACAGCGAGGCCTTGTCTCTACTAAAAAGAAGTATCCAGGTGTGGTGGCTCACACAGCTGTAGTCCTAGCTACTCAGGAGGCTGAGGTGGGAGGATCACTTGAACCCAGGAAATTTAGGTTGCAGTGAGGTATGATTGTGCCACTGCACTCTAGCCTGAGTGACAGGAGACCTTTAAAAAACAAAAACAAAAAAAAGCCTGACACAGTGGCTCACACCTGTAACCCCAGCACTTTGGTAGGCCTACTTGCTTGAATCACCCAAAGTCAGGAGTTTGAGACCAGCCTGACCAACATAGTGAGGAAACCCTGTCTCTACTAAACATACACAAATTAGCTGGGCATGGTGGTGCATGCTTGTAATCCCAGCTACTTGGGAGGCTGAGGCAGAAGAATCATTTAAACCCCAGGTGGAGGTTGCAGTCAGCTCAGATGGCACCATTGCACTCTAAACTCCAGCCTGGGCAACAAGAGTGAAACTCTGTCTCCAATAAAAGAATGGGAGGAAACTGATTACAATAACCAAATTTCATTTAAATGCCTTGATTTTCTTGGGCTGCATCTTATTGATTGGACAACTCAGTCAGTGCCTTTTGTTTTTTCCATCAATAACTGAAGATTCCTGAGGCTTAAACTGGAAAACAGGTTACTTAATAATAGAGGGCACCAGACAGATTCTGCTCAGTTTTCCTTTATTTCTGATTGTTTCTTTACAACCATCCATGCAAGAGTAACTCCCTCATGTATTCTCAAGCCTGAACTCCACTCTAGACATTCAGATTCCCATTTTCGACTCTACAGGATACAGGTCCCCAAAGTCCCATCGAATCCATGGCAACATTTCCCCCAAGTCCTGCCCCTGCTTGATCAGCTTTCCTTTCCCACTTTCAGAGCCTATGTGTGAAATGATGGGTTCTGTGCTCCCTTTAGGATGTACCTAAGACCTAGGTTTTAGTTTCCAAGTGTCCAGAAGAAAGCGTTTGACATACCCATCCAAATAGGCAGGCATTCAACAGCAGTATTGATCTGCCTCCAGGTCATAAAATGACCTGTTGCCACAGTCAGGGCAGTTATCAATACAGAAAAAGATCCTCTTGGGGTGCCTTAAGTCCCTCACTCTGTTCATCAGCTCAGCCCTAATTTGAGCAAATCTGTTCCAGCAGAGAGTACCATCAGCACCATAACTCTCCCGCGGGGCAGGATACACCTCCACGCATAAGTTTTTGAGTATGATTGTGTGGCTCAGCAGGTTCTCCAGGGTGGCCATGGAGATGGGATTTCCACAGAAGCTGAAGGCATTGAGCTCAAAGCAGCGGCTCAGGGCAGGCAGGATGGCGTTGACTTGGGAGTCTATGATGCCACAGTCATCTAAATCCAAGTACTCAAGGGTGGCTGCAACTTTTTCTAGGAGAATTTGGAGAGGCACAAGACTGTAATTGGTCAGTCTGATGCCACTCAGGTCCAGGGTCTTTAGTTGACTGATACTCGGGCACTGGGATAGATGCTTCAAGTCTGATTCCAAAAGCACACAGTTAGTTATTGTGAGGACCTTTAACGAGGTCTTCAGACAGCTGGGGAGAGAGAGCAAGAAGTTAATTCTGGGGAATCATAGGGGTGAGTGGAGGGTGGTGGGGAATGGCTTCAAGGTAATGGATGGAGACCATTTTGCCCAAGTCCAGGGTCATTCTGATGGCCTGATGGTCAACACTTAGAATGATGTGTGATGAAGAGCTTTGCCACCGAGGTCAATTCCACCTTAGAGCCGGCCCAGTAACTCACACCTGTAATCCCAGAACTTTGGGAGGCTGAGACTGGTGGATTCCTTGAGATCAGGAGTTTGAGACCAGCCTGCTGAACATGGCAAAACCTCCTCTCTACTAAAAATCCAAAAATTAGCCAGGTGTGGTGGGGGGAGCCTGCAATTCCAGCTACTTGGGAAGCTGAGGCAGAAGAATCGTTTGAACCCAGGAGGTGTAGGTTGCAGTGAGCAGAGATCATGCCACTACACTCCAGCCTGGGTGACAGAGAGAGACTCTGTATTAAAAAAAAAGAAGGAAAAAAAATAATTCCATTTGAGGCTGAGTCATTTCACCATCATTTATAGGAATGGATCAAGTTCACAGAATCCCTAAAGCTCCCTTTCCTCATCTGTCAGGCAGAAAACCACATCCCTGGGCCACAGAAGCCCAGTGGAGATTCAGGCATAAAGGACAAACCCAGACAGGATCCTGCAACATCAGCTGGGGTGGGCGGGCTGTAGGCGTCCCTGCCATGCCTGTATCATCAGCAAACCATCTATCACTTTCACCATTCTTTGTGCCTGCTCCCTGACCCTCTGTTTCAGAATCATGCATTGCCTAGGTAATTAATTTACCTGGAGCTCAAAACACTTTTACAACAGGGAATTAGAGATGGGATCATTCATGTTCACCAAACTATGGGGCACAAAGCTGATTTTCTGACATGTGCAGGTTTGCTGAGCATTCCCCTCTTCAGTGCCCACTTCACTTCCCTACTTTACATCATCTGCTTAAAAATTATCTTGTTGGCTGGGCGTGGTAGCTCTCGCCTATAATCCCAGCACTTTGGGAGTCCAAGGTGGGCGGATCACCTGAAGTCAGGAGTTGGAGAATATCCTGGCCAACATGGTGAAACCCTGTCTCTACTTAAAATATAAAAATTAGCCAGGTGTGCTGACTCATGCCTGTAATCCCAGGCACTCAAGAGGCTGAGGCAGGAGAATCGCTTGAACCTGGGAGGCAGAAGTTGCTGCGAGCTGAGATGTCACAAGTGCACTTTACCCTGGATGATCAAAGTGAAAATTCATCTCAGAAAAAAAAAAAGTTATCTTGTTTGTTTTTACTTTTATTTCTTCACTTCTGACAGGGGTCTTGGGATGTTACCCAGACTGGTCTTAAACTCCTAGGCTCAAGCTATCCTCTTGCCTCAGACTCCCAAAGTGATAGGATTACAGGCATGAGCCACCGCCCCTGGCCTATTTTTCATCATCTTAACTTAGACACACGTCCTCAGGAAGAATTCAGAAAGGCACCCTCACTAGATCTGAACCCCCCAGTAGCTAGCTTCCTAGTATGACAACCTCTCTATAGCATCTCCCCTAGCTGATCCCTCTGCCTCTATTGGGATGGTTGCATGATACCCATTTCAGGACAGGGCCGCCAACAGGACAATGTATGGACATTCTAGTGTCCCCTTCACTGTTACATCCTCATAGGCTGGCTCACAGTAGATGCCCACTAGCGTTTAGTGAAACAGGCTCTGCTGTGGTCTGCAGAGAAAGCTCACCACCCTCCCTCACCTGAGCAGCTGGTCCAGGTGGCCTTCGAGGAAAGAAACAGAGTTCATATAAAGCTTTTGGAGGCAGTGCAGCTTGAGGAACTGAGTGGTGAACTGGGTAACAATCTCCTTCTTCTGCTCTGGGGAAACGTAGCGAGAGACATCCATGTGAGAGAGAACGAGCTTCTGAAGATTCCTCATGTGGCCCAGGTATGGGGTAAACTGTGTCAGGATGGGCAGTACCCACTTGCAATTCACTTCCACCTCCTGGATACAGTCTAGGTTCACCATTTTCAGGATGCTTCTGATATTGCGGAAGGGCATTCCCAAAATTTTCAGCTTCTTACAGCACAGGTGTAGTAAATCTTTCCTCTGCTTGACCCATAGAAGGAGGTAGGTGAGGTATTCATCCAGAGTCCTGTTCTTGAGCCAAAGTTCTACGAACACAGTCAAGGGCTGCTGTCCTCTCATCCTTGGACAGTCCTGCACTGGTGTTTTGTTCCTCTTGGCATTGAGGAAGGACCCACGGGCCATAGCTTCAGACCAAACCATCCAGAAGTTCTCACAGACATCCTGTAAATCCAGCACTTGAAGTTTCCACCTCCTGTGGGAAAATAGAGGTGAGACTGAGAATTTAAGAACTCATTTCTGAATTTAAACTCCACATCCTGGATAGCAGCTCCTCCCCTCCCTGCTTCTTGTCCCTCTCTCTGACTTTTCTTCACTCTGTTCTCCCCTTGGATCCTACCCACTTCCACATTTTTTTGTTTTTTTTTTTGAGACCAAGTCTCCCTCTGTCGCCCAGGCTAGAGTGCAGTGGTGTGATGTCACCTCACTGCAACCTCTGCTTCCTGGGTTCAAATGATTCTCCTGCCTCAACCTCACAAGTAGCTGGGATTACAGGAGCCCACCACCATGCCCAGCTAATTTTAGTATTTTTAGTAGAGTTGGGGTTTACCATGTTGGACAGGCTGGCCTCCAACTCTTGACCTCAGCCTCCCAATGTGCTGGGATTACATTGTGAGCCACCGTGCCCGGCCCAGTTCTCACTTTTCATGGTGCCTTTCAGTGCCATTAGAGGAGAGGTTCCTGTTACCTCCATGGACCTTGCGTGGTGAGCAGTGCTTTCCCTGAGGAGCTGGTGAATGGCCAAGTCCTCTCGGCTTCCTCACCACCACCATCCCCCTTGGGCCTCCTCACTTCACATGACCCAGCTGTTCCTTCAGTTGGACACCTGGGCCCTCCCCACCAGCCCACCTGGGCCACCTCACCTGGGACAAACCCCTTGGGTAAGCAGTGCATCAAGCCCATCGAGCACAGCTTGGAAGGCCTCCAGACAAGGCATCTTTATCAGAGGCCTCAGAGGGAGGCGGCGGAAGGGCCAGGCCTGCACCATCAGCTTCAGGGCCTCACAGCATCTCCTGCTGAAGGCCTCCATGAACAGTGGGGGGAAAAGTTCTGTGGGCAGCTCCTCCAGGGTGGACATGGCCAAGGCTTGGTCCCTCAGCAGGCTCCGCCCCGCAAGCTCCAGGAGTCTGGGTGGAGTCCGGATGCTCATCTTCATGAATCTGCAGGGAAAACTTCCAGAGGACAAACCCAGAGAAAAGGCATCACTCTCAGGCCAAGCCCATGCAATCTCATCTTCTCCTATGGCCAAACTCACTGCTCTGGCAATGGTGAAACAGCCCTCAGTTTACTCCAATTCTGCCCTGTACTCAGTGGCCATTAAGCCAGCATTGTGCCTCTGCTGCATCAGCATGAGCGTCTCCGAAGCAGTGAGGAAGCAGGGTCACCACGAGCCCTTCCTTTCTATCCAGTGCTCCATCCAGTGACTAGTGAGTGTGGAGGAACCTGAAAGTGAACCCCTCCTACCATTGGGGGAAATTACTGATTACTCAAGGTTCTAAAACAATGGGAATGGGAGTGTCACAAGCCTACATGCCCACATTTTCAGTTCCTACAAATAAGTTTGTTGGGAACATTCATGGGACATCCCTAGAACAGGTTCTATTTGTTTTCTTTTCATTATTTAAGCTTGCTTTCTCTTTCTCTCTCTTTCTTCTTTCCTTCTTTCCCTCTCTCCCTCCCTTCTTTCTTTCTTTCCCCCTCTCTCTCCCTTCTTTCTTTCTTGTCTTCTTTCCCTGCATCCCTTCTCTCATTCTCTCTCTCTTTCTCTCTCTCCCTCTCTCACTCTTTCTGACAGGGTCTTGCTCTGTCACCCAGCCTGGAGTGTAGTGGTGGGATCTCAGCTCAGTGCAGCCTTGACCTCCCAGCTCAAAGGATTCTTCCCCCTCAGCCTCCCAAGTAGCTGGGACCACAGTTATGCATCACCACACCCAGCTCATCTTTTATGTTTTGACTTTTTGTAAAGACAGTGGATTTCGCTATGTTGTCCAAGCTGGTCTTGAACTCCTAGTCTCAAGCAATCTACCCCTCTTGGCCTCCCAACATACTGGGATTATAGGTGTGAGCCTCTGCCCCAGCCTCGTTATTGAAAATTTCAGTGAGAAGCTTTGAAAGCTATGTGACACTGTTATGCATCATTCTCAAGATAGATGTTTCCAATGCACACCTCTTACACATATTCAAACTGAACCACTTTGGCTGGGTGCAGTGACTCACACCTGTAATCTGAGCATTTTGTGAGGCCGAGGCAGGTGGATCATCTGAGATCAGGAGTTCAAGACGAGCCTGGCCAACATGGTAAAACCCTGCCTCTACTAAGACAGCAAAAATTAGCCAGGTGCAGTGGTCTGCGCCTGTAGTCCAAGCTACTAGGGAGGCTGAGGTAGGAGGATCACTTGAACCCAGGAGGCAGAAGTTGCAGTGAGCTGACATTATACTACTCCACTCCAGCCTGGGGAATAGGCTAGATTGAACTGAGAGACAGAGAGAGCTACATTTGAC
Organism: Homo sapiens; assembly: GCF_000001405.40. NCBI lineage: Eukaryota > Metazoa > Chordata > Mammalia > Primates > Hominidae > Homo > Homo sapiens. The sequence continues at coordinate 209,343 of NW_012132914.1, forward strand.
TAGACTTCTTAATCTCTACCCAGTTAATCCTTATTGGATTTTTGGCTTTCTTAAAGAATAACTGATCGAATTAGATATTAATCCATCAAAATGAAAGATTTAGGGATAGGGTGAAAGTCCAGGACTCATTCACCGATTCCCTTCACAAACATGGACTTCCACTAATATGTGTCCTTCAAAGTCCTGAGTGTGAGACAGGGAAGGGTTGAATCTCTTCCTGATATTAGACAGAAAGAAAGAAAACTTGAAAGTATCTTTGTTGAGGGATCCTTGGCCACATCAAATTTATCAAAATATTTCAGAGTTAAAACAGTTTTCAAAGACAGAGATGACAGTCCCTAAGAAAACACAATAGAAATCTTCATGTATCCGATGATCACCTGGGTCATATAATTTTTTTTGGTGCTGAGGGAGCTGAGTCTCACTTCGTCGCCCAGGCTGGAGTGCAGTGGCACCATCTTGGCTCACTGTTACCTCCAAGATTGCCTCCAAGATTCAAGCAATTCGCATGCTTCAGCCTTCCACGTAGCTGGGACTACAGGCAGGCACCCCCCACAGCCATGTCTCCATTTGGGTGGAAGAGGATGTGATTGGTTTAAAATTAAGGTCAAAGATCCTTTTTGATTGATTTTGTTTTTGTTTTTGGACAGAGTGTCTCTCTTTTGCCCAGGCTGGAGTACAGCAGTGGTGTGAGCATAGCTCACTGCAGCCTCAATCTTCTGGACTCAAGTGATTCTCCCACACCAGCCACCCAAATAGCTGGGACTACAGATGCATGGTGACTCACAGCTGTAATCCCAGCACTTTGGGAGGCCAAGGCAGGTGGATCACTTGAGGTCAGGTGTTCGAGACCAACCTGGCCAGCGTGGTGAAACCCCACCTCTACTAAAAATACAAAAATTAGCCAGGCATGGTTTCAGATGTCTGTGACACCAGCTTCTGAGGATGGAGACTGAGGCATGAGAATTGCTTGAACCCAGGAGTTAAAGGTTGCAGGGAGTTGAGATCGTGCCACTGCACTCCAGTCTGGGCAACACAGTGAGACTCCATCTCCACCCTCAAAAAAAACGTTGTGTAGAGGAGGGTTTTTGTCATGTTGCCCAGGTTGGTCTCAAACCCCTGGGCTGAAATGATCCTCCCACTTTGGCCTCCCAAAGTGTTGGGGTTAAAGGCGTGAGTCACTGCTCCCTTCAAGAATTTTAAAATGGCATCAACCAAAGCACAATCAACTTTTTTGAAATAAAGACAGAACTGCATTTAGAGGAAAAAATTCAAAGCTTCAAATTGTTCATATATATATATAAAAAAGGACAGGATATAGCTCTGTGCCATCGTAGGCTGCACTGTCACCATCCCAGACTGACTGACTCTAGGTCAGATGGGAGTGTCCTTACAGAAATTAGTGACTTACCAGATCTGGATGTAGTTTAGAAGGTGCTCAGACCTCAGGAAGAACCAGGCAGGAACTCCAGGCTTGAAGACTTTGGGTCTCTCCTGTGGGTCTTTAGAAGCTTTTATTGACCTTTCTAATCACAACTCCCACCCACGCCCTTCCACGTGTGCACTGCTAGCTTCCAATCAAAAAGCCATATCTGATTGCATTTCTGAAGCTCCACCCAGTTAATCCTGATTGGGTTTTTGGCTCTCCCCAGATTAATGGATTGAGTCAGATATCCATTCATATCACATATCTATATTCAGTTCGTGAAGCAAGAAATTGACAGTGTTAGGGATAAGGTAGAAGTCAAGAATACATTGATTCACTGGTGGGCAAGGTGGCTCATACCTGTAATTCCAGCACTTTGGAAGGACAAGGTGAGTAGATCACCTGATGTCAGGGGTTCAAGACCAGTCAGGTCAAAAAGGTGAAACCCCGTCTCCACAAAAATACAAAAATACAAAAATTAGCCCGGCATGATGGCAGGTGCCTGAAACACAGCGACTCAGGAGGCTGAGGCAGGAGAATTGCTTGAACCCAGGAGGCAATGGTTGCAGTGAGCCAGAATTGTGCCACTGCACTCCAGTCTGGGTGACAGAGGGAGATTCTGTCAAAAAATAAAAAAATCATTCATTCATGAACTCCACAAACACTGATTTTTTTTTATTAATATGTGAACTTCATAGTCTTGAGTGTGAGGCAGGGAAGGATTTGATCTGTTTACGACATTAGACAGAAAAATAAAATCTGAAAGTAGTGTTGTTAGGAGATCTTTGGCCACATCAAAATATAAAAATGCTTTCTACTTTAAAACTTTTTAAAAACAGAGGAGTCGTCCCTACGAAATCAGAATAAAAATCTCAATGTACTGAATGGTCTTTGGGATTTTGTATAACCTAAGGTAGCAGATTACATGCTCGTTCTGGTGGAGGAGAGGTGCCACTGAGGGCGTGAGTGGTCTCAGGGCTTAGGTTAAGGCTTCTTTGGAAGAAATTGAAACCACATCTCTAAAATTTATAAATTTAATCAGTGAAGAAGGGAGGGAGAGAAACAAAAATAAACCAAGCTTGCAACACATTCAGCATTCATCAGGAGGTCTTCTTGCTCTCTGACCTGGTTCCTCATGGTTGCCGCAACCTACTGTTCCAAAATCATATAGACCTTAGATTACAGTTCCCCTTAACTTCCCTGCAGACAACCATTTAAGCATTGTAAAACATTAACTTTTTCATCTGAGATATTCTTTCAGGTTCTGCATGTCAGTGAAACTGCTGATGCCAGCTGATCTGAAGGGCCATGCAATGCACCAACTCACCAAAGAATGCAGTTTCTACATCCTGTTGACTTCTTCCCTCTTACCGCTACCCCAACTTTCTGGCCCCTTGCTATCCAGGATCCACTGGAAACCTTCAGTACTCCTTGGGGAGATGAATTTGAGGATCTCCTCCTAGCTTCTCATTCAGCCACCTTGTGATCATTAAACTCTCTGCTGCAAACCCTGCTGTCTCAGAATATTGCTAAACTACTGTGCAGCAGGCATAGGAACCTGATGGTCCTTTAATAAAGTCATGTCAAAATTACAAATGGAAGTGAGGGTGGAGCTGGTCAGGGTTGAGCTGGGTTTTTAATGGGAACCTGGGAGTGAAGCAAGACTTGCAGGTCACATTGGGCAGGCTTCCAAATTCACCACCTATGGAAGGTCTTTCGCTTGGCTTACATCCTGTCCCTGAGTAAAGAGTCTGATCATGAGTTCATGAGTGCTTCAAACTCTACAAGTATTGATGAAGGCTTCCACCCACTGACAGTGAGAAGGCACTGATTTGATGCTGATCATGAAGTTCTGCTGGTTGTCTTGCAAGGAATATGTTTTATTCTTTTATCTTGTCATCTAAAGCCAATGATTGTAACCTCTGTTTGTCCCTTCCAATGGAAAAAACAAAAACAAAAAGTCAACTCTATTTGAGCCTTGTCAGGTCTATAAAACAAAAGAAAATTTAAAAAAATAATTGATAGGAGGAGTCCCATTCCCAGCCTGGGCAATAGAGTGAGACTCCATCTCAAAAGGAAAAAAAAAAAAAAAGGCCGGGCACGGTGGTGGCTCACACCTCTAATCCCAGCACTTCAGGAGGCCAAGGCAGGTAGATCACGATGCCAAAAAATTGAGACCATCCTAGCCGACATGGTGAAACCCTGTCTCTGCTAAAAATACAAAAATTAGCTGAGCATGGTGGCGCCCACCCATAGTACTAGCTACTCGAGAGACTGAGGCATGAGAGTCGCTTGAACTCAGGAGGAGGAGGTTGCAGTCAGCCAAGATTTCACCACTGCACTCCAACTTGGTGACAGAGCGAGACTCCGTCTCAAAACAAACAAACACAAACGAACAAACAAACAAAGAAAAAAGCTGGAAAAATAAATTCTGAAAGAATTTCCATCTCTATGAATTCATCTTCAGAAGTGATAGCATTTCCTGCTTGGCATTTTTTGCCTACATTTTTGGCATAAGATCTAACAACAAAAAGTATGAGCCCAGGTTTGTGTAATGGAATATCTTAAACATCAATAGGAGGAGTCAATAGTTCTGATGCCACACACACACACGTATGGTCTTCTCCATCATCAGAAAATGGCAACAAAGTGGTAGAGTTATGCAGAGTGTAGCATTTGAAATGGAGATTTGAAGGTGACAAGGAAAGGATTTTGTAAGACATTAGTGTACAAGTTGAGCAATGTTGGTTCCTGTCACAATATTTTTATTGATTTATTTATTTTATTCATTTATTTTTTGAGATGGAGTCTCGCTCCGTCACCAGGCTGGAATGCAGTGGCACGATCTCAGCTCACTTCGACCTCTGCCTCCCCGGTTCAAGCAATTTTCCTGCCTTAGCCTCCTAAATAGCCGGGACTACAGGTGCATGCCACTACACCTGGCTAATTTTTTGTATTTTTAGTAAAGACGGGGTTTCACCATGTTAACTAGGATGGTCTCAATCTCCTGACTTCGTGGTCTGCCCGCCTCGGCCTCCCAAAGTGCTGGGATTACAGGCCTCAGCCACCATGCCTGGTCGGTTCACATCAAAATTTAAGAGGTATTCAATTGCATATGAAATTTGTAGGCAAAGTTTATTTCTTTTTTCTTTAAAGCATTAATTAATTTATTTATTTATAATGTATTTATTTATTAATTTTTTTTTGAGATGGAGTTTCACTCTTGCTTTCCAGGCTGGAGTGCAATGGTGCGATCTCGCCTCACTGCAACCTCTGCCTCCCGGTTCAAGTGATTCTCCTGCCTCAGTCTCCCAGTTAGCTGGAATTACAGGCACAGGCCACCACACACAACTAGTTTTTGTATTTTTAGTAGAGACAGAGTTTCACCATGTTGCCCAGGCTGGTCTGGAACTCCTGACCACAGGTGATGCACCCACCTCGGCCTCTGAAAGTGCTGAGATTACAGGCGTGAACCACCGTGCCCGGCCTAAACTCATCACTTTTAATACTTTCTACATCACATGAGGAAGAAGAGCAGAAACACTTGAGTACTTCATGAAGGTCAAGGTTGGTATGAGTTTGGGTTCTAATATGATCAATTTCTGCTTCTAGGGAACCAAGCAGTTCAGGTTAAGGAAGGTCAGGAAGCTATTTTAACTATAAAGCATTTTTAAAATATTGATGTGGCCAAAGATCTCCCAACAACACTATTCTCAGGTTTTATTTTTCTGTCTAATGTCCAGAACAGATCAACCCCTTCCCTGCCTCACACCCAGGGCTATGAAGGTGACATATCAGTAAAATTCCATCAGTGCTTGTGGAGTTCGTGAATGAAGGCATTCTGTTGTTGTTGTTGTTGTTGTTGTTGTTGTTGACAGAGTCTCCCTCTGTCACCCAGTCTGGAGGGCAGTGTGCAATCTCGGTTCACTGCAACCTCAGCCTCCTGGGTTCAAGCAATTCTCCCACCTCAGCCTCCCAAGTATCCGGATTACAGGCAGCCGCCATCATGCCCGGCTAATTTTGTATTTTTGTAGAGACAGGGTTTCACCATATTGGTCAAGCTTGTCTTGAACTCCTGACCTCAGGTGATCCGCCTGTCTTGGCCTCCCAAAGTGCTGGGATTACAGGCATGAGCCAACTCAGCTGGCCTTAAATGAATGAATTCTTGATTTCCACTCTATCCCTAATGCTGTCAATTTCTTGATTCATGAAATGAATATGGGTATGTGATATGAATGGATATTTGGTTCAATCCATTAATCTGGGGAAAGCCAAAAACCCAATCAGGATTAGCTGGGTGGAACTTCAGAAATGCAATGAGATATTGCTTTTTGATTGGAAGCTAGCAGTGCATACATGGAAGGGCGTGGGTGGGAGTTGTGATTAGAAAGGTCAATAAAAGCTTCTAAAGACCCACAGGAGAGACCCAAAGTCTTCAAGCCTGGAGTTCCTGCTTGGTTCTTCCTGAGGTCTGAACACCCTGCAAACTGAGCCCAGATCTGGTAAGTCACTAATTTCTGTAAGGACACTCCCATGGGACCTACAGTCAGCCGATGTAGCATGGTGACAGTGCAGCCTACGACAGAGCAGAGCTATATCCTGTCTTTTTTTTCTTTTTTTCATATGAACACTTTGAAGCTTTGATTTTTTTTTCTAAATGCAGTTTTGTCTTTATTTCAAAAATGTTGATTGTGCTTTTCTTTACGTCATTTCAGAATTCTTGTTGGGAGCCATTTTGTGAAGAGACGAAGACTGAGCTGGTTTGGCTGCATTTCTGGCCTCGAGCCGCAGTCAGCTTCTCCACGTAGAACCCGGCAGTAGGAGACTTAGAATCGAATCTCTTCTCCCTCCCGCCTCCTGTTTTTGGCTTTTTGAGAAACCTTATCATCCAACACAATGGCCAGCAACGTTACCAACAAGATGGATCCTCACTCCATGAACTCCCGTGTGTTCATTGGGAATCTCAACACTCTTGTTGTCAAGAAATCGGATGTGGAGGCGATCTTTTCCAAGTATGGCAAAATTGCGGGCTGCTCTGTTCATAAGGGCTTTGCCTTCGTTCAATATGATAAGGAGAAAAATGCCCGGGCTGCTGTAGCAGGAGAGGATGGCAGAATGATTGCTAGCCAGGTTGTAGATATTAACCTGGCTGCAGAGCCAAAAGTGAACCGAGGAAACGCAGGTGTGAAACGATCAGCAGCAGAGATGTACGGCTCCTCTTTTGACTTGGACTATAACTTGCAACGGGATTATTATGGTGGGATGTACAGTTTCCCAGCACGTGTACCTCCTCCTCCTCCCATTGCTCTGGCTGTAGTGCCCTCGAAACGCCAGCGCATATCAGGAAACACCTCACGAAGGGGCAAAAGTGGCTTCAATTCTAAGAGTGGAAAGCGGGGATCTTCCAAGTCTGGAAAGCTGAAAGGAGATGACCTTCAGGCCATTAAGCAGGAGTTGACCCAGATAAAACAGAAAGTGGATTCTCTCCTGGAAAACCTGGAAAAAATTGAAAAGGAACATTGCAAGCAAGGAGTAGAGGTAAAGAATGCTAAGTCTGAAGAGGAGCAGACCAGCAGCTCCTCGAAGAAGGATAAGACTCACGTGAAGATGGAGTCTGAGGGGGGTGCAGATGACTCTGTTGAGGAGGGGGACCTACTGTGTGATGATGATAATGAAGATCAGGGGGACAACCAGCTGGAGTTGATCAAGGATGATGAAAAAGGGGCTGAGGAAGGAGAGGATGACAGAGACAGGGCGAATGGCCAGGATGACTCTTAAGCACATAGTGGGGTTGAGAAATCTTATCCCATTGTTTCTTTACCTAGGTGCTTGTCTAACATCAAATTTTTCACCAGATCCTCTCCCTTAGCATCTTCAGCACATGCTTACTGTTCTCCCCATCCTTGTCCTTCCCACATTCATTAATTCATATTGCCCTGCACCTAGTTCCATTTTCACTTCCCTTGATGCTCCTAGAAGTTTTCTTAAGTCTTACCCTGCAATTTTTGCTTTTAATTTAGATACCTCCTTATGACTTAACAGTAAAAAGGATGTATGGTTTTTATCAACTGTCTCCAAAATAATCTCTTGTTATGCAGGGAATACAGTTCTTTTCATTTATACATAAGTTCAATAGTTGCTTCCCTAACTGCAAAGGCAATCTCATTGAGTTGAGTAGCTCCTGAAAGCAGCTTGGAGTTAGAAGTATGTGTGTTACACCCCATGTCAGTGTGCTGTGTGGGGCAGTTCAACAAAAATCTAACAATGTATTTTTGTGAATGAGAGTTGGCATGTCAAATGCATCCTCAGAAAAATAATTAGTGTTATACTCTTAAAATGTGTTTTCTAAAGTTGATACTGTGGGTTATTTTTGTGAACAGCTCCATGTTTGGGACCTTTTTTCCTCAAAATAAACAAGTCCTTATTAAACCAGGAATTTAAAGAAAAAAATTCTTGGTGGGAGCAGTGACTCATGCCTACAATTCCAACACTTTGGGAGGCCAAGGCAGGAGGATCATTTGAGCCCAGGGGCTCGAGACCAACCTGGGCAACATGGCAAAACCCTATCTCTACAAAACATTTGTTTTGAGGGGTGGGGATGGTATCTGGCTCTGTTACCCAGGCTGGAGTGCAGTGGCATGATCTCAACTCACTCCAACCTCTGCCTCCCAGGCTCAAGCGATTCTCATGCCTCAGCCTCCTGAGTAGCTGCGATTATAGCCACCCGCCACCATGCCTGGCTAATTTTTATATTTTTGGTAGAAACAGGGTTTCACCATGTTGGCCAGGCTGGTCTTGAACTCCTAACCTCAAGTGATCCACCTGCCTTGGCCTCCCAATGTGCTGGGATTACACCAGTGAGCCACCAACGCCCTGCTTCTTTTTTAAAAAATTAGCCGGGCATGGTGGCATGGATCTGTAGTCCCAGCTACTTGGGTGGCTGAGGTGGGAGAATCCCTTGAGCTCAGAAGATTGAGGCTGCAGTGAGCCATGTTCACACCACTGCTGTACTCCAGCCTGGGCAACAGAGTGAGACCTTGTCAAAAAAAAAAATCTTAACCAAACAGTTTTTTAAGAAAACCAATTAATTGTAATCAGTAGGCAGATCCCAAATTCCCCAAAAAAAGAAGAGAAAGAGAGTTTAGAAGGCTCTACGTGCTAGCATCCCATTCAGACTGTTTAATCCTACAATTGTGGTTTTGTAAGAAAAACAGTCTTAAAGATTTCCAATAATTCCCACAATGGCCATAAATTATCCTGGGTGTCATTTTCCCATCAATTTAAAAAGGCACATGAGAGGCCGAGTGCAGTGGCTCAGGCCTGTATTCCCAGCACTTTGGGAGGCTGAGGCGGGTGGATCAGCTGAGGTCAGGAGTTCAAGACAAGCCTGGCCAACATGGAGAAACTCCATTCCTACTAAAAATACAAAAAAGAGCCAGGCGTGGTGGCGGGCACCTGTAATCCCAGGTACTCAGGAGGCCGAGGCAGGAGAGGCACTTGAACCCAAGAGGTAGAGGTTGCAGTGAGCCGAGATCATGCCATTGCACTCCAGCCTGGCCACAGAGCCAGACACTATCTCCAAAAATAATAATAATTATTATAACAGCATGTCTATTCTCTCCAAAGTGTCTGGGACTGGACAATTAATTGTGAGGTCCTCTTCTGTAGCACCATACGCTATAACATATATGTGGATTTAAATAAATACACATACAAAATGCAAGTATATAGTCTATATGCTTTCCATATACTTATGTTCCATGAGGTCACAAGCAAATTCAAGGCTAGGTCAAAGAGTAGAGTGGCTGTCTATGGAAAGGAGAGTGGAAGTGAATCATGGTAATAAATGGAAATAGATACAGATATGAATAGGTAGACATACACACATATAGCTGCAAGAAACGGGGTTGTCGTGGACCAATGATGTCAGTGAGCCATGTAAAAAGGCTACAATTCTTGTGATTGTGTGTCCGTTTTCAGGATGGGTTGTAGATTACCTTTTTAGAAAGGCTGATGCCACAGTCATAGTCAAAAAAAATGATTATAAAATTTGCTTCCTTTCTGGAGCATCTCTGGAGAAATCTCCAATGGGAGGAGAACTCAGTTACTGGGCAGGTTATCACACAGGTAAGATTTTACTGATCCAATGGCACTAATATTAACTTCATTATCCTTCGTATTCTACAAAGGTTGAGTGAACAAACTGTATCTTGAAACTAAAATTAGCTGAACCAATAAAGGAGACTGCATTCTTTTTATTTTTTGTTTAGAGACAGAGTCTCTGTTGCCCAGGCTGGAGTACAATGGTGCTACCTTGGCTCACTGCAACTTCTGCATCCTGGGTTCAAGTGGTTCTCCTGCCTCAGCCTCCTGAGTAGCTGGGATTACAGGCACATGTCACCACACTGAGCTAACTTTTGTATTTTTAGCAGAAAGGGGGTTTCTCCATGTTGGCCAGGTTGGTCTCAAACCTCTGACCTTGGGATCTGCCTGCCTCAGCCTCCTAAAGTGCTGGGATTATAGGCGTGAGCCACCATGCCTGGTTGAATCTTTTTTACTTTTCTCAAGCATGGTGTCATAGTATTGGGTTCTATGCACTTAGAAGAGTGAGCCCATCGTTCAGTAACAATATGAATCAATACTGCAAGACCTTGATGCAGTATTTGAAAGACTATTTCCACTAGGTGAAGGAGGCTTTCAGTGATGCTTAGACCTTCATGCCCTAGCATTTGGAGATTGCATCCTTTAGAAATGACACCAAGGGAAATCTGCCCATGAACAGCATTGGATGGGACTGTACCAGATGACTTAAACTTAAGGATATCTGAGGAAAAGCCTTCCCTAGAAGCACACATCATCACCTGGTAGACAGCTTTTCCAAGACAATGGAACAAGACTCCATTTGATCTTCTTCCATTGACTGAGACTTGGTTTTGTTTTGTATTAACACAAAATTATCAAACCTATATTTTATGTTGTTAGGTACTTTCACCACTCAAACCAAACACTTTCTAAGATCTTCTGTTCAAAATGTAGCCACTCTCACTAACCAAAGCAATTGCTGGCTATGGAGTCATTTAGATGAAAGGGAAGGATCACACTTAATACTACAACCTGCTTTCGTACACAGTTGGGTAGCAATTGAGGATGCTAAATTCATGATAAGATTTGTTATCCTTCCTTTGGTAGGTTGGTTAATATTGATAATTAAATGACTTGGCATTGAGAAGAAGCTATAGGTGCAAATGAGTGGTCTATGACTATTATTGATTTCATTACTGGTAACTTATCTCTATGCATAGAAAACATTAGTGTAACTGGGTCTAATCTAGATGGTGTGCCAGACTCACACTAGAATAAACTCTGGTTTGATGCATATTATGAAGGCTGGAACGCTATAGTTATCGACATAGACACAGAATCAGAACATGACCATGTTACCCTCTGCCATATAATCAGAGAAACTTACTGAAACTAGATATTGGTTCATTGGAGATTCTAGAGGGAAATAGAATGCATCTATAGCTCTAGTATATGAAATAAATATTAGTTTTGTTTATTGGGTGCATCAATACTCAGGACATATTTGGAGAGGAACCTACTCATTCTTCTATGGAGATGACATGCAAGGATTACTTTATAAAAGACATAGAAATATTTTTTCTTCCCACCCCAATTCAAACCATTACCATACAACCTTGTGTCAATAGAAGATAAGGCTGTTGAGGTAGAAATAATTAACGAAAGCTTCACTGGAAGCTAAATGTGAGGATTGACCTGGAAGACACACACTGACAAAGTGGGTGTTTTCCAAAGTCTGTTACAAGTTGGAATGCTTTTGTAAGAAAGGTTAAAAGAAGGGAATGGGACTCCTCCTATCAGTTTGTTTTTAAATTTTCTTTTGTCTTATTGACCTGGCAAGGCTCAAATAGAATTGAGTTTTTGTTTTTGTTTTTTTCCATTGGACGGGACAAGACAGAGGTTACAATCATTGGCTTTAGATGACAACATAACAGGATAAAACGTATTCCTTGCAAGACAACCAGCAAAACTTCATGATCAGAATCAAATCAGCGTCCTTCTCACTGTCAGTGGGTGAAGCCTTCATCAGTAGTTGTGGGGTTTGAGGCACTCATGAACTCATGATCAGACACTTTGCTCAGGGACAGGATGTAAGCCAATCGAAAGACCTTCCCACAGGTGGTTAATTTGGAAGCCTGCCCAATGTGCCCTGCAAGTTTTCACTGGCAATATGCAGGTGCAGATATGACAAGGAATAACCATGGCCTTTACATCACCCCCAGCTGTTGAGGAATGGGATCCTTTTGACCCTTTCTGTCCATAGAACCAGGTTACTCATCTTGTGTGGCAACAAAATATATGGTCTACTTAACAGAGAAGAGGACTCTGTAAAAAAAAAAAAAAAAATGTATTATGAAGTAAGCAAAGAAATGGGAATAGATGTGAGATTATTCGGGGAGATAAAGGAAGTTGAAGGTTTTGAAAGGAAATATAAGGAGGATTATATAAATTGTTTTGAAAGACTCATACTTGGTCATAAGGATCAAAACCAAAGGGGCATCCATGCAATGTTGGATAGATTCATCCTCCACCCACTCAATAACCCCCAACATGTTCAGCAAGTCTTGGTTCACTCCCAGGTTCCCATTAAAAACCCAGCTCAACCCTGACCAGCTCCACCCTCACTTCCATTTGTAATTTTGACATGACTTTATTACAGGACCATCAGGTTCCTATGCCTGCTGCACAGTAGCTTAGCAATATTGTGAGACAGCAGGGTTTGCAGCAGAGAGTTTAATGATCACAGGGTGGCTGAATGAGAAGTTAGGAGGAGATCCTCAAATTCATCACCCCAAGGAGTACTGAGCATTTTCAGTGGATCCTGGATAGCAAGGGACTGGAAAGTTGGGGTAGCGGTAAGAGGGAAGAAGTCAACAGGATCTAGAAACTGCATTCTTTGCGTTAGTGCCTTGCAGGGCCCATTTAGATGAGCTGGCATCAGTAGTTTCACTGACATGCAGAATCTGAAAGAATATGTCAAATGAAAAAAGTTAATGTTTCACAATGCTTAAATTGTTGTCTGCAGGGAAGTTAAGGGGAACTGTAATCTAAGGTCTATATGATTTTGGAACAGTAGGCTGCCAGCAACCATAAGGAACCAGGTCAGAGAGCAAGCTGACCTCCTGATGAATGCTGAATGTGTTGCAAGCTTGGTTTATTTTTGTTTCTCCCCCTCCCTTCTTCACTGATTAAATTGATGAAGTTTATAGTTGTGGTTTCAATTTCTTCCAAAGAAGCCTTAACCTAAGCCCTGAGACCACTCACGCCCTCAGTGGCACCTCTCCTCCACCAGAACGAGCATATAATCTGCTACCTTAGGTTATATAAAATCCCCAAGACCATTCGATAAATTGAGATTTTTATTCTGATTTTGTAGGGATGACTCCTCTGTTTTTATAAAGCTTTTTAAAGTATAAAGCATTTTCATATTTTGATGTGGCCAAAGATCTCCTAACAACACTGCTTTCAGATTTTATTTTTCTGTCTAATGTCGGGAACAGATCAAATCCTTCCCTGCCTCACACTCAAGACTATGAAGTTCACATATTAGTAAAGTTCCATCAGTGTTTGTGGAGTTCATGAATGAATTAATTTTTTTATTGTTTGACAGAATCTCCCTCTGTCACCCAGACTGGAGTGCAGTGGCACAATTTTGGCTCACTGCAACCATTGCCTCCTGGGTTCAAGCAATTCTCCTGCCTCAGCCTCCTGAGTCGCTGTGTTTCAGGCACCTGCCATCATGCCGGGCTAATTTTTGTATTTTTGTATTTTTGTAGAGACAGGGTTTCACCTTTTTGTCCTGGCTGGTCTTGAACCCCTGACATCAGGTGATCTACTCACCTTGTCCTTCCAAAGTGCTGGGATTACAGGTATGAGCCACCTCACCTGGCCTTGAATGAATGTATTCTTGACTTCTACCCTATCCCTAACACTGACAATTTCTTGCTTCATGAACTGAATATAGATATGTGATATGAATGGACATCTGATTCAATCCATTAATCTGGGGAGAGCCAAAAACCCAATCAGGATTAACTGGCTGGAGCTTCAGAAATGCAATCAGATATCACTTTTTGATTGGAAGCTAGCAGCGGATACGTGGAGGGGCGTGGGTGGGAGTTGTGATTAGAAAGGTCAATAAAAGCTTCTAAAGACCCACAGGAGAGACCCAAAGTCTTCAAGCCTGGAGTACCTGCCTGGTTCTTCCTGAGGTCTGAGCACCTTCTAGACTACATCCAGATCTGGTAAGTCACTAATTTCTGTAAGGACACTCCCATCTGACCTACAGTCAGCTGGTCTGGGATGTTGACACTGCAGCCTACGATGGCACAGAAGTGTATCCTGTCTTTTTTTTTTTATATGAACAATTTAAAGCTTGAATGTTTTCTTCTAAATACAGCTCTGTCTTTATTTCAAAAAAGTTGATCGTTCTTTGGTTGATGTCGTTTCAAAATTCTTGAAGGGAGCAGTGACTCATGCCTTTAACCCCAACACTTTGGGAGGCCAAAGTGGGAGGATCATTTCAGCCCAGGGGTTTGAGACCAACCTGGGCAACATGACAGAAACCCTCCTCTACACAACGTTATTTTTTTTGTGAGGACGGGGATGGAGTCTCACTGTGTTGCCCAGACTGGAGTGCAGTGGCACGATCTCAACTCACTGCAACCTTTACCTTCCAGGTTCAAGCAATTCTCATGCCTCAGTCTCCATCCTCAGAAGCTGGTGTCAGCCATCTGCCACCATGCCTGGCTAATTTTTGCATTTTTAGTAGAGCGGGTGTTTCACCATGCTGGCCAGGTTGGTCTCCAACACCTGACCTCAAGTGATCCACCTGCCTTGGCCTCCCAAACTGCTGGGATTAGAGCCGTGAGCCACTGGTGCTCGGCCTCTACTTTTTTTTTTTTTTAATTAGCCGGGCATGGTGGCATGCATCTGTAGTCCCAGCTATTTGGGTGACTGGTGTGGGAGAATCACTTTAGCCCAGAAGATTGAGGCTGCAGTGAGCCATGCTCACACCACTGCTGTACTCCAGCCTGGGCAAAAGAGAGAGACCCTGTCCAAAAAACAAAAACAAAATCTTAACAAAAAAGGATCTTCGACCTTAATTTTAAACCAATCACATCCTCTCGGTAATTCTTCCACCTGAATGGAGACATGGGTGTGGGGTGCATGCCTGTAATCCCAGCTACGTGGAAGCCTGAAGCATGAGAATTGCTTGAATCTCAGAGGCGGAGGTTACAATGAGCTGAGATGGCGCCGCTGCACTCCAGCATGGGGCAAAAAGTTAGACTCAGCTTCCCCCACACCAAAAAAATTAGATTATACCACCCAGGTGATCACTGGATACATGAAGATTTCTATTGTGTTTTCTTGGGGACTGTCATCTCTGTCTTTGTAAAACGTTTTAACTCTGAAATATTTCGATAAATTTGATGTGGCCAAGGATCCCTCAACAAAGGTACTTTCAAGTTTTTTCTTTTCTCTAATGTCAGGAAGAGATTCAACCCTTCCCTCTCTCACACTCAGGACTTTGAAGGACACATATTAGTAAAACTCCATGTTTATGGAGTGAATCACTGAATGAGTCCTGGACTTTCACCCTATCCCTAATTCTTTCACTTCGATGGATGAATATCTAACTCAATCAGTAAATCTGGAAGAAAGCCAAAAATCCAATCAGGATTAACTGGGTAGAGTTTAAGAAGTCAAATCAAATGTACAAATGTAGTTCTCTCTCTCTCTTTTTTCTTTTTTTTTTTTTTTTTTTTTGAATCTTGCCTATTTCCCAGGCTGGAGTGCAGTGGTGTATTGTCAATTCACTGCAACCTCTGCCTCCTGGGTTCAAGCGATCCTCCTGCCTCAACCTCCCTGGTAGCTTGGACTATAGGCACAGACCACCGCACCTGGCTAATTTTTGTAATTTTGGTAGAGGTAGGGTTTTACCATGTCGGCCAGGCTTTTCTCAAACTCCTGACCTCAGATAATCCACCTGCCTCTGCCTCCCAAAGTGCTGGGATTACAGGAGTGAGCCACCTCACCTGGCCTTGAATGAATGTATTCTTGACTTCTACCCTATCCCTAACACTGTCAATTTCTTGCTTCATGAAGTGAATATAGATATGTGATATGAATGGACATCTGATTCAATCCATTAATCTGGGGAGAGCCAAAAACCCAATCAGGATTAACTGGCTGGAGCTTCAGAAATGCAATCAGATATCACTTTTTGATTGGAAGCTAGCAGCGGATACGTGGAGGGGCGTGGGTGGGAGTTGTGACTAGAAACGTCAATAAAAGCTTCTAAAGACCCACAGGAGAGACCCAAAGTCTTCAAGCCTGGAGTTCCTGCCTGGTTCTTCCTGAGGTCTGAGCACCTTCTAAACTACATCCAGATCTGGTAAGTCATTAATTTCTGTAAGGACACTCCCATCTGACCTACAGTCAGCTGGTCTGGGATGGTGACAGTGCAGCCTACGATGGCACAGAGCTATATCCTGTCCTTTTTTTTTTTCATATGAACAATTTGAAGCTTTGAATGTTTTCCTCTAAATACAGTTCTGTCTTTATTTCAAAAAAGTTGATTGTGCTTTGGTTTAGGTCATTTCAAAATTCTTGAAGGGAGCAGTGACTCATGCCTTTAACCCCAACACTTTGGGAGGCCAAAGTGGGAGGATCATTTCAGCCCAGGGGTTTGATACCAACCTGGGCAACATGACAAAAACCCTCCTCTACACAACGTTTTTTTTTTTTTGAGGATGGGGATGGAGTCTCGCTGTGTTGCCCAGACTGGAGTGCAGTGGCACGATCTCAACTCACTGTAACCTTTACCTCCCAGGTTCAAGCAATTCTCATGCATCAGTCTCCATACAGAGAAGCTGGTATAACAGTCATCTGAAACCATGCCTGGCTAATTTTTGTATTTTTAGTAGGGGCGGGGGTTTCACCATGCTGGCCAGTTTGGTCTCAAACGCCTGACCTCAAGTGATCCACCTGCCTTGGCCTCCCAAAATGCTGGGATTAGAGCCATGAGCCACTGGTGCTCGGCCTCTACTTTTTTTTTTTTAATTAGCTAGGCATGGTGGCATGCATCTGTAGCCCCAGCTATTTGGGTGGCTGGTGTGGGAGAATCACTTTAGCCCAGAAGATTGAGGATGCAGTGAGCCATGCTCACACCACTGCTGTACTCCAGCCTGGGCAAAAGAGAGAGACCCTGTCCAAAAAACAAAAGCAACATCTTAACAAAAAAGGATCTTTGACCTTAATTTTAAAGCAATCACATCCTCTTCCACCCAAATGGAGACATGAGTGTGGGGGTGCATGCCTGTAATCCCAGCTACGTGGAAGACTGAAGCATGAGAATTGCTTGAATCTTGGAGGCTGAGGTAACAGTGAGCCGAGATGGCACCACTGCACTCCAGCCTGGGCAACGAAGTGAGACTCAGCTCCCTCAACACCAAGAAGAATTATGCCACCCAGGTAATCACTGGATATATGAAGATTACTATTGTGTTTTCTTAGGAACTGTCATCTCTGTCTTTGTAAAACTGTTTTAACTCTGAAATATTTTGAGAAATTTGATGTGGCCAAGGATCCCTCTACAGATACTTTCAAGTTTTCTTTCTTTCTGTCTAATATCAGGAAGAGATTCAACCCTTCCCTGTCTCACACTCAGGACTGTGAAGGACACATATTAGTAAAACTCCACGTTTGTGGAGTGAATCAGTGAATGAGTCTTGGACTTTCACCCTATCCCTAAATCTTTCATTTTGATGGATGAATATCTAATTCAATCAGTTAATCTGGAAGAAAGCCAAAAATCCAATCAGGATTAACTGGGTAGAGATTAAGAAGTCTAATCAAATGTAGCTCTCTCTGTCTCTCTTTTGAATCTAGCCTATTTCCCAGGCTGGAGTGGAGTGGTATAATGTCAGCTCACCGCAACTTCTGCCTCCTGGGTTCAAGTGATCCTCCTGCCTCAGCCTCCCTAGTAGCTTGGACTACAGGCGCAGACCACTGCACCTGGCTAATTTTTGCTGGCTTAGTAGAGGTAGGGTTTTACCATGTTGGCCAGGCTCGTCTTGAACTCCTGATCTCAGATGATCCACCTGCCTTGGCCTCACAAAATGCTCAGATTACGGGTGAGTCACTGCACCCAGCCAAAGTGGTTGATTTTGAATATGTGCGAGAGGTGTGTATTGGAATCATCTATCTTGCGAATGATGCATAACAGTGTCACATAGCTTTCAAAGCTTCTCACTGAAATATTCGATAATAAGGCTGGAGTGGAGGCTCACAACTATAATCCCGGTACTTTGGGAGGCCAAGGGGGGTGGATTGCTTGAGACTAGGAGTTCAAGACCAGCTTGGACAACATAGTGAAATCCACTGTCTTTACAAAAAGTCAAAACATAAAAGATGAGCTGGGTGTGGTGATGCATAACTGTGGTCCCAGCTACTTGGGAGGCTGAGGAGGCTTGGGAGGCTGGGAAGTCAAGGCTGCAGTGAGCCAAGATCCCACCACTGCACTCCAGGCTGGGTAACAGAGCAAGACCCTGTCAGAAAGAGTGAGGGAGAGAGGGAGGGAGAGAGAGAATGAGAGAAGGGATGCAGGGAAAGAAGACAAGAAAGAAAGAAGGGAGAGAGAGGGGGGAAGAAAGAAAGAAGGGAGGGAGAGAGGGAAAGAAGGAAAGAAGAGAGAGAAAGAGAAGGAAACCTTAAATAAAGAAAAGAAAACAAATAGAACCTGTTCTAGGGATGCCCCATGAATGTTCCCAACAAGCTTATTTGTAGGAACTGAAATTGTGGGCATGTAGGCTTGTGACACTCCCTTTCCCATTGTTTTAGAACCTTGAGTAATTAGTAATTTCCCCCAATGGTCGGAGGGGTTTGCTTTCAGGTTCCTCCACACTCACTAGTCACTGGATGGAGCACTGGATAGAAAGGAAGGGCTAGTTGTGGCCCTGCCTCCTCACTGCTTCGGAGACGCTCATGCTGATGCAGCAGAGGCAGAATGCTGGCTTAATGGCCACTGAGTACTGAGTAGAATTGGAGTAAACTGAGGGCTGTTTCACCATTGCCAAAGCAGTGACTTTGGCCCTGGGAGAAGATGAGATTGCATGGGCTTGTCCTGAGAGTGATGCCTTTTCTCTGGGTTTGTCCTCTGGAAGTTTTCCCTGCAGATTCATGAAGATGAGCATCCGGACTCCACCCAGACTCCTGGAGCTGGCGGGGCGGAGCGTGCTGAGGGACCAAGCCTTGGCCATGTCCACCCTGGAGGAGCTGCCCACAGAACTTTTCCCCCCACTGTTCATGGAGGCCTTCAGCAGGAGACGCTGTGAGGCCCTGAAGCTGATGGTACAGGCCTGGCCCTTCCGCCGCCTCCCTCTGAGGCCTCTGATAAAGATGCCTTGTCTGGAGACCTTCCAAGCTGTGCTCAATGGGCTTGATGCACTGCTTACCCACGGGGTTCGTCCCAGGTGAGGTGGGCCAGGTGGGCTGGTGGGGAGGGCCCAGGTGTCCAACCGAAGGAACAGCTGGGTCATGAGAAGTGAGGAGGCCCAAGGGGCGATGGTGGTGGTGAGGAAGCTGAGAGGCCTTGGCCATTCACCAGCTCCTCAGGGAAAGCACTGCTGACCATGCCAGGTCCATGGAGGTAACAGGAACCTCTCCCCTAATGGCACTGAAAGCCAGCATGAAAAGTGAGAACTGGGCCGGGCACGGTGGCTCACAATGTATTCCCAGCACATTGGGAGGCCGAGGTCAAGAGTTGGAGGCCAGCCTGTCCAACATGGTAAACCCCAACTCTACTAAAAATACTAAAATTAGCTGGGCATGGTGCTGGGCTCCTGTAATCCCAGCTACTTGCAAGGTTGAGGCAGGAGAATCCTTTGAACCGGGGAAGCAGAGGTTGCAGTGAGGTGACATCACACCACTGCACTCCAGCCTGGGTGACAGAAGGAGACTTGGTCTCAAAAAAAAAAAAAAAAAAAAAAATGTGAAAGTGGGCAGGATCCAAGGGGAAAACAGGGTGGAGAAATGTCAGAGACAGGGACAAGAAGCAGGGAGGGGAGGAGCTGCTATCCAGGATGTGGAGTTTAAGTTCAGAAATGAGTTCTGAAATTCTCAGTCTCACCTCTATTTTCCCACAGGAGGTGGAAACTTCAAGTGCTGGATTTACAGGATGTCTGTGAGAACTTCTGGATGGTTTGGTCTGAAGCTATGGCCCGTGGGTGCTTCCTCAATGCCAAGAGGAACAAAAAACCAGTGCAGGACTGTCCAAGGATGAGAGGACGGCAGCCCTTGACTGTGTTCGTAGAACTTTGGCTCAAGAACAGGACTCTGGATGAACACCTCACCTGCCTCCTTCTATGGGTCAAGCAGAGGAAAGATTTACTACACCTGTGCTGTAAGAAGCTGAAAATTTTGGGAATGCCCTTCCGCAATATCAGAAGCATCCTGAAAATGGTGAACCTAGACTGTATCCAGGAGGTGGAAGTGAATTGCAAGTGGGTACTGCCCATCCTGACACAGTTTACCCCATACCTGGGCCACATGAGGAATCTTCAGAAGCTCGTTCTCTCCCACATGGATGTCTCTCGCTACGTTTCCCCAGAGCAGAAGAAGGAGATTGTTACCCAGTTCACCACTCAGTTCCTCAAGCTGCACTGCCTCCAAAAGCTTTATATGAACTCTGTTTCTTTCCTCGAAGGCCACCTGGACCAGCTGCTCAGGTGAGGGAGGGTGGTGAGCTTTCTCTGCAGACCACAGCAGAGCCTGTTTCACTAAACGCTAGTGGGCATCTACTGTGAGCCAGCCTATGAGGATGAAACAGTGAAGGGGACACTAGAATGTCCATACATTGTCCTGTTGGCGGCCCTGTCCTGAAATGGGTATCATGCAACCATCCCAATAGAGGCAGAGGGATCAGCTAGGGGAGATGCTATAGAGAGGTTGCCATACTAGGAAGCTAGCTACTGGGGGGTTCAGATCTAGTGAGGGTGCCTTTCTGAATTCTTCCTGAGGACGTGTGTCTAAGTTAAGATGATGAAAAATAGGCCAGGGACGGTGGCTCATGCCTGTAATCCTATCACTTTGGGAGTCTGAGGCAAGAGGATAGCTTGAGCCTAGGAGTTTAAGACCAGTCTGGGTAACATCCCAAGACCCCTGTCAGAAATGAAGAAATAAAAGTAAAAACAAACAAGATAACTTTTTTTTTTTCTGAGATGGATTTTCACTATGATCGTCCAGGCTAGAGTGCAGTTGTGACATCTCAGCTCGCAGCAACTTCTGCCTCCCAGGTTCAAGCGATTCTCCTGCCTCAGCCTCCTCAGTGCCTGGGATTACAGGCGTGGGCCACCACACCTGGCTAATTTTTATATTTTAAGTAGAGACAGGGTTTCACCATGTTGGCCAGGATATTCTCCAACTCCTGACTTCAGGTGATCCGCCCACCTTGGACTCCCAAAGTGCTGGGATTATAGGCGAGAGCTACCACGCCCAGCCAACAAGATAATTTTTAAGAAGATGATGGGAAGTAGGGAAGTGAAGTGGTCACTGAAGAGGGGAATGCTCAGCAAATCTGCACATGTCAGAAAATCAGCTTTGTGCCCCACAGTTCCGTGAACATGAATGATCCCATCTCTAATTCCCTGTTGTAAAAGTTTCTTTTGAGCTCCAGGTAAATTAATTACCTAGGAAATGTATGATTCTGAAACAGAGGGTCAGGGAGCAGGCACAAAGAATGGTGAAAGTGATAGATGGTTTGCTGATGATACAGGCGTGTCAGGGACGCCTGCAGCCCGCCCACCCCAGCTGATGTTGCAGGATCCTGTCTGGGTTTGTCCTTTATGCCTGCATCTCCACTGGGCTTCTGTGGCCCAGGGATGTGGTTTTCTGCCTGACAGATGAGGAAAGGGAGCTTTAGGGATTCTGTGAACTTGATCCATTCCTATAAATGATGGTGAAATGACTCAGCCTCAAATGGAATTATTTTTTCTCCTTTTTTTTTTTTAATGCGGAGTCTCTCTCTGTCACCCAGGCTGGAGTGTAGTGGCATGATCTCTGCTCACTGCAACCTACACCTCCTGGGTTCAAGCGATTCTTCTGCCTCAGCTTCCCAAGTAGCTGGAATTGCAGGCTCCCGCCACCACAGCTGGCTAATTTTTGGATTTTTAGTAGAGAGGAGGTTTTGCCATGTTCAGCAGGCTGGTCTCAAACTCCTGATCTCAAGGAATCCACCAGTCTCAGCCTCCCAAAGTTCTGGGATTACAGGTGTGAGTTACTGGGCCGGGCCTAAAGTGGAATTGACCTCGGTGGCAAAGCTCTTCATCACACATCATCCGAAGTGTTGACCATCCGGCCATGAGAATGATCCTGGACTTGGGCAAAATGGTCTCCATCCATTACCTTGAAGCCATTCCCCACCACCCTCCACTCACCCCTATGATTCCCCAGAATTAACTTCTTGCTCTCTCTCCCCAGCTGTCTGAAGACCTCGTTAAAGGTCCTCACAATAACTAACTGTGTGCTTTTGGAATCAGACTTGAAGCATCTATCCCAGTGCCCGAGTATCAGTCAACTAAAGACCCTGGACCTGAGTGGCATCAGACTGACCAATTACAGTCTTGTGCCTCTCCAAATTCTCCTAGAAAAAGTTGCAGCCACCCTTGAGTACCTGGATTTAGATGACTGTGGCATCATAGACTCCCAAGTCAACGCCATCCTGCCTGCCCTGAGCCGCTGCTTTGAGCTCAACACCTTCAGCTTCTGTGGAAATCCCATCTCCATGGCCACCCTGGAGAACCTGCTGAGCCACACAATCATACTCAAAAACTTATGCCTGGAGCTGTATCCTGCCCCACGGGAGAGTTATGGTGCTGATGGTACTCTCTGCTGGAGCAGATTTACTCAGATTAGGGCTGAGCTGATGAAGAGAGTTAGGGACTTAAGGCACCCCAAGAGGATCTTGTTCGGTACTGACTACTGCCCTGACTGTGGCAACAGGTCATTTTATGACCTGGAGGCAGATCAATACTGCTGTTGAATGCCTGCCTATTTGGATGGGTATGTCAAACGCTTTCTTCTGGACACTTGGAAACTAAAACCTAGGTCTTAGGTACATCCTAAAGGGAGCACAGAACCCATCGTTTCACACATGGGCTCTGAAAGTGGGAAAGGAATGCTGATCAAGCAGGGGCAGGACTTGGGGGAAATGTTGCCATGGATTCGATGGGACTTTGGGAACGTGTATCCTGTAGAGTCGAAAATGGGAATCTGAATGTCTAGAGTGGAATTCAGGCTTGAGAATACATGAGGGAGTTACTCTTGCATGGATGGTTGTAAAGAAACAATCAGAAATAAAGGAAAACTGAGCAGAATCTGTCTGGTGCCCTCTATTATTAAGTAACCTGTTTTCCAGTTTAAGCCTCAGGAATCTTCAGTTATTGATGGAAAAAACAAAAGGCACTGACTGAGTTGTCCAATCAATAAGATGCAGCCCAAGAAAATCAAGGCATTTAAATGAAATTTGGTTATTGTAATCAGTTTCCTCCCATTCTTTTATTGGAGACAGAGTTTCACTCTTGTTGCCCAGGCTGGAGTTTAGAGTGCAATGGTGCCATCTCAGCTGACTGCAACCTCCACCTGGGGTTTAAATGATTCTCCTGCCTCAGCCTCCCAAGTAGCTGGGATTACTGGCATGCACCACCGTGCCCAGCTAATTTGTGTATGTTTAGTAGAGACAGGGTTTCCTCACTATGTTGGTCAGGCTGGTCTCAAACTCCTGACTTTGGGTGATTCATGCAAGTAGGCCTACCAAAATGCTGGGATTACAGGTGTGAGCCACTGTGTCAGGCTTTTGCTTTTGTTTTTGTTTTTTAAAGGTCTTCTGTCACTCAGGCTACAGTGCAGTGGCACAATCATACCTCACTGCAGCCTCAATTTCCTGGGTTCAGGCGATCTTCCCACCTCAGCCTCCTGAGTAGCTAGGACTACAGCTGTGTGAGCCACCACACCTGGATACTTTTTTTTAGTAGAAACAAGGCCTCGCTGTCTTCCCCAGGCTGATCTGGAACTCCTGAGCTTGTGATTCTCCTGCCTTGGCCTCCCAAAATGCAGGGAGTATAGGCGTGGACCACCACGCTTGGCTTGGCCTCCTCCAGTTCTTCACTTCTTTAGATGTCTGTTAAATCCTTGTTAGTTTCTGTGGCTGTTCAGTGGGTTAATACACACCAGGTGGACACCAAAGGCCTGGAACATTACTGGGCAAGAACAGTGAGCCAATCCACACGGAAAGCACCTTCTTCTCAGGGTCTTTCACCGCTAGCCAGATGCTGAGACCCTGCCCACTCCCTGTGAGTCTCCACATGCTTCCAGAAGCCTTAGTTGGTGGATGTCAGCTGCACTGCACAAGGACCCACTCTCTTCTCGCTGCCCTGGAAGGGTATGTCCATATTGTGTATTAGCTGGAGACTCTGGGCAGCACCAAACCTTGCTTGTTCCCCTGATGACCAGCAGCCCTTCTTGAATTAAACTGGTTGTAGCCAGTAAAGACAGCCACATTCCCTTTAAGTAAAATACTAAAACTATACAGGCATGTAACACTTTTTAAATATTTCCATCTGACATTTTAAAAGTTACATCTTTTTGGGGAGCTAGGTCAGATTGATGAGAGATTTTCTCATAACACTTTCCCTCTCTCCCTATGAAGGAAGAGACTAGTGCAGCGTGTTCTGGAATCTGACAGCATCAAAGGGTGGATAACGATCAAGGGCCTGTGGGTGATGAGTGACCTTCCCTGTGCTGAGGAAGCCTGCATAGCGGGCATCCAAGTGAAGGATCCTGCTGAGTACTCAGGGGCTGGTGTTGCTGTCAGGGATGTTAGCCAAGAGCCTCAGCTTCCTGTAAAATGAGGATGATGATGTCCAACAGCTTATGGGACCTAGGTAGGATCCAATGAGATGGTTCATGTTTAGGGCTTGGCATGGGGTCTGGCATACAGTAAGATCAATACATCTTGTTCTTTTTTCTCTTCTCAGCAGAAGTCCCAGCATTTTTCATCTTTCAATCTCACCTCCTTTTCCTGATAATAGAGAGGCAACAAGAACTCAGGGCATGCAATGGGGCTCAACTTCTACTCTCTGCCACAATTTCATCATGATTCCCCCAAAGAGCAGAGCCCCAGGAGCCAGCAGGGGGCAGGGTGGGCATTTCTGGACTGGATTCATTCATAATAAGATCAAAATTTCCAATCCGTATGTCTCGGGTGCCATCTGCTGATAGATCCGACCAGATGGTATAATTGAGTGTTGCAAGGATTATATTTTATGGTGTTTTTAAAAATGTACTATTATGAGCCAGGTGCAGTGGCTCACGCCTGTAATTCCAGCACTTTGGGAGGCTGAGGCAGGTGGATCACCTGAGGTTGGGAGTTTGAGACCAGCCTGAGCAACATGAAGAAACCCCTTCTCTACTTAAAATACAAAAAATTAGCCAGGCGTGGTGGCGCACGTCTGTAATTGCAGCTACTCGATAGGCTGAGGCGGGAGAATCGTTTGAACCTGGGAGGTGGAGGTTGCGGTGAGCTCAGACTGAGCCATTGCACTCCAGCCTGGGCAACAGTAGCAAAAGTCCGTCTCAAAAAAAAAAAGATAAAATAAAATTTATTATTATGGCCGGGCATGGTGTCTCACACTTCTAATCCCAGCACTTTGGGAGGCCAAGGCAGCCTCGGGATTTTGAGACCAGCCTTGCCAACATGGTGAAACCCCGTCTCTACTAAAAATACACAAAATTTGCTGGGAGTGGTGGCATTCGCCTGTAATCCCAGGTATTCAGGAGGCTGGGGCAGGACAATCACTTGAACCCGGGAGGCGAAGGTTGCAATGAGACAAGATCGCGCCACTGCACTCCAGCCTGGGTGACAGAGCATGAAAAAAAATTTACTATAATGTGAATACTATTAGAGTACAAATATTTGTGTTGTAATTTATGTACATGAAAGATTAGAACTTTTAAAGAATGCAACGTGATATGTTAAGAATGGTTAATGGCCAGGTGTGGTGGTTCATGCCTGTATTCCTGGCACTTTGGGAGGCCGAGGTGGGCAGATCACGAGGTCAGGAGTTCCAGACCAGCCTGGCCAACATGATGAAACCCCGTCTCTACGAAAAATACAAAAAATTAGCCTGGCGTGGTGACAGGCGCCTGTAATCCCAGATAGTCAGGAGGCTGAGGCAAGAGAATCGCTTGAACCTGGGAGGCAAAGGTTGCAGTGAGCCGAGAATGCACCACTGCACTCCAGCCTGGGTGAAAGAGGAAGACTCCGTCTCAAGGAGGGTGAGAAAAAGAATACTTAACTTGGTTTGAAATGTCAAAACAAATGAGATTTTAAAAACTAATTTTAAAGACACTGAACAATAATCATTTCTTCTTTAAAATATATTTAGAATAATACAATTTTAGCTTTGAAAGGAAACATTACAGTTTTTAAAAATATTGAGTTTATTTTATTTTATTTTATTTTATTTGGAGACAAAGTCTCACTCTGTCGTCCAGATTGGAGTGCAGTGGCATGATCACGGCTTACTGCAGCCTTGACCTCCTAGGCTCAGGTGATCTCCCTGCCTCAGTCCCCCTAGTAGCTGGAACAACAGGCATGCACCATCATGCCTGGCTTATTTTTGTATTCTTAGTGAAGACCAGGCTTCACCACGTTGCCCAGACTGGTCTTGAAATTCTGGGCTCAAGCGATCCACCTGCCTCGGCCTCCTAAATTGCTGGGAGTGAGCTCTTATAGGTATGAGCCACCGCACCCAGCCTTGAGTTTATTTATTTATTTATTTTGGAGATGGAGTCTCACTCTTTCACCCAGGCTGGAGTGCAGTGGTACGATCTCAGCTCACTGCAACCTCTGCCTCCAGGGTTCAAACAATTCTCCTGTCTCAGCCTCCAGAGTAGCTGGGATTACAGGCATGCACCACCACACCTGATTAATTTTTGTATTATTATTATTATTATTTTTTAGTAGAGACAGGGTTTTGTCATTTTAGCCAGGCTGGTCTCGAACCCCTGACCTCAGGTGATCCACCCGCCTCGGCTTCCCAAAATGCTACGACTATAGATGTGAGCCACCACGCCCAGCCTATTTTTTTCTTTATAGCAGTTTTAGATTCACAGAAAAACTAAGCAGAAACTGCAGAGTTCTCATCTACCTTCTTCCCCCTTCAATACACAGCACCCCCACAGGATCAGCACCCACACCAGCACAGAGCATTCGTCACAACCAATGAGCCACAGGGACACATCATTATCACCCAATGTCCATAGTTCACATGAAGGATCATTGCTGGTTTTGTATATTCTATGGATTTTAACAAAGGGATAATGACATGTATCCACCATTAGAGCATCATGGAGAGTAGTTTTGTTTCCTTAAAAGTCCTCTGTCCTCTTTCCATTCATCCCATTGTACTCCAAATCCCTTGCAACCACTGGGTTTTCTACCATCTCCATAGAAAAAGGCAGAAGGCTCTTCTGGAATGTCTAACAGGATGAGTCTTTTCACATTGCCTTCTTTCACTTGTACAATAACGTGCATTTAGGAATCTTTCATGTCTTTTTATGGCTTCGTAATAGTTCACTGACCAGATGGATCACAGTTTCTTTATCCAGTCACCCACTGAAGGGCATCTTTCTTGCTTCCAAGTTTTGGCGATTATGAATAAAGCTGCTATAAACATCCAGGTGTGGGTTTACTCCCTTCGTTAAATACCTGGGAGCATGATGACTGAATCGTAGGGGTATGGTATGTTTTACAAGGATTTTTTCTTTCTTGACAATCTCACTTGTTCGATATTGCTGCTAAAGGTCAGGAACTTTGTCTCGCTCATCCTGTGGTCCCACTGCTGAGCATGGAACGTGGCACTTGGTAGCAAATGCTGTTGACCACATGATGCATGGAAATGCTTATCATCAGTATAGCCACTAAATTGCTAACGTGGGGACGTCAACAGTAGCTCACTACCAATAATACAAATAAGTTGGATTATGGAAAAAATAGCCCTTGTGATACTGTGGATACTCCATGTGTATCATGAAAGTACAGCAATTGGCCAGGTGCAGTGGCTCACATCTGTAATCCCAGCATCTGGGAGGCCGAAGTGGGTGGGTCACTTTAGGTCGGAAGTTTGAGACAAGCATGGCCAACATGATTGAAATCCTGTCTCTATTAAAAATACAAAAATTGACTGGGCGTGGTGGTGCATAGGTGTAGTCCCCACTACTGGGGAGACTGAGGGAGGAGAATTGCTTGAACGCAGGAGGTGGAGGTTGCAGTGATCGAAGATCATGCCATTGCACCCCAGCCTAGGCAACAGAGTGAGATACCGTATCAAAAAAAGAAAAAGAAAGAAAGAAAGAGAGAGAGAGAGAGAGAGAGAAAGAAAGAAAGAAAAACAAAATGAAACAAAACAAGAAAGTCCAGCATGGTAGGAGGTACATAGAGGTACATGAGGGCGAGCTTCATTTGTTTTTCATCATTTTTCCCTTCTCTGGACAGTATTCTGAATGCAAAACATTCCAAAACCACAGAGCAAACATCTCCTATAATCTTCCCCTTATCCCAGACTTCTCTTCACAGTGTATGTGCTAGTGTCTTCCAGACTTTTGTATGACTTGCTATACAGAAGATCAGATCAAATGGGCATGTCCCTAAAAAGTGGTGACTTGCCAGTTCTGGACTCACTTTGCAGGGTGCCGGGACCTCTGTGAGAATCAAGCAGTAGCTCCAGGAGCCAGGGCTTTGGGTCTCTTCTGTGCACCTTCAGGAGCTTTTATTGACCTTTCTCACTACAACCCCCTTCTTGACTACCAACTTCCAATTCGAAAACGACATCCAACTGGATCGTGAACTTCCACCCAGTTAACCCTGATTGAGTTTTCAATTTTCTTCTCATGAAGTGATTAAATTAGATAGGCATTTATGAAAGTGAAAGAAGTAATAACAGGATGAAGGTCTAAAACTCATTTATTCACTTATTCCACAAACACTGGTAAAGTTTGACTAATATGTGACCTTCATAGTGATACAGGGAAGGATTTAATCTGTTTCTGACATTAGAATATATATATATCTTTATTGGAGAATCTTTGGCCACATCAAAAGTATCAAAACATTTCAGCATTAAAGCAGCTTTAAGAAGACAGGGATGTCATCCCTAAAAAACACAATAAAAATCTCTGTGTATCCACTGGGCACCTGGGTTTTATGCTACCTAACATGGTAGATCATATGCCCATTCAGGTGGAAGACAGGAACTACTGAGGGTGTAATTTTTCTCAAGGTTAAGGTCAAGGTTTCACTGAAAGAAATCAGGCCTACATTACAAAGTAAGGTGAGGGCTGGGCTGGATGGGACTAAGTGTTCTAATGGGACCCTAGGAGGGAACCAAGACAACATAAAACATGGCAGGTATTTTGTGGGCATCTGGACAAAAGGATTGAAAGACTTTTTTTTTTTTTAGATTGGGTGTCACCCAGGGTGGTGTGCAGTGTTGCAATCTTGACCTACTGCAACCTCTGCCTCCCAGGCTCAAGCAATCATCCCCTCTCAGCCTTCTGAGTAGCTGGAACTTCCAGCATGTGGCAGCATACCTGGCTAATATTTTGTATTTCATGCAGAGAAAAGATTTTACCACATTTCCTGGGCTAGTCTCAGAATTCCTGGACTCAAGTGAACCATGGTGCCCAGCAATGTTATTGTGATTTTAAATGACAGATTTTGCTTTGTTTTTAAGAAAACCACAGAGATATTCCATATGCTATTTTCTTTTCTTTTTTTTTTTTAATTTTGAAATGAAGTCTCACTCTGTCACTCAGGCTGGGGTGCAATGGCATGATCTCAGCTCACTGCAACCTCCACCTCCCAAATTCAAGTGATTCTTCTGCCTCAGCCTCCTGCGTAGCTGAGATTACAGGTGCGAGCCAACACACCCAGCTAATTTTTGTATTTTTAGTAGGGTTGGGGTTTCACCATATTGGCCTCACTGGTCACGAACTCCTAACCTCAGATGATCCACCTGCCTTGGCCTCCCAAAGTGCTGGGATTACAGGCATGAACCACCATGCCCCATCATATATGCTATTTTCTATTAATTTTTTTAATAGTGATGGGGTCTTGCTTTACTACGTAGTCTGGTCTTGAGGCAGAAATTTAAACACAATAATAACAATAAATACTACATTCATTTACTCCAAGAAAAGTTACAGACAAAGCTATAAGAAGGTCATAGTGACCTAGTCTGAGAAGTAAAAGCCAAGGCCCAGAATGTGTCAGGCAAAGGTAAAACAAACAAACAAACAAACAAAAAACAAGTTTTCCTCTGCCTAGCAAGCTCATTTCAAGGACAGTTATAAGATAATGCTGTTGGAGAAGTTGAAAGAAAGGAATAGGCTCCAGACACCCACTGCTCCAGAGCAAGGGTGATTAAAAAAAAGAAAGAAAAATGGCAAATGTCTGTATTTAGCCAGTTCTTCTTTTTTCTTTTGATGCAGCTACAAGGCCACCAGCTATGCAAGGCCACAGTTATGTAATAGATTACATTACCTGTCATTGTATGATTAACTGCCATTGTTTTGCTTCTGTAAGCCTGCTTATAAAAATCCTGCTCAGTCTTTGTTCAATGCTCAGCTTTTTGGATATGAATCCACTGAGCCAGTGTGTACCTTAAAAAAAAAAATCCTCCTGTTTTCCCATATCAGTCTCTCTGGTCCTCAGTTTCTCAGAACTTTTTGGTGAGCCAGACAGGAGGAGTGGAGATGACAGGTTTACTTTCTCCTTTTCTTGTGGGGCTGGAGCCCAGGGTCAAGGGAAAGAAACCTGTGACCCCAGGCGCTGCTGGAAGAACTTCAGCCCAGAGGGGAGATCGGCTCTCCTGTGACCTGGTGCCCCCACCCAGCAGCACAACAGAACCTGAGGGGCTACAGGATGATTCCAGGAGCAGTGTGATTTCTTCAGGACTGCAGTAAAGTTTTGGGACCAAAGACAGGATCCGTCCCATAAGGACGGAAGGGGAGCCTGATCACCTCCAAGGGTGTAACTAGTAATCTGACCCAGAGAGGCTGGAGGT
The DNA here is from genome assembly GCF_000001405.40 of Homo sapiens. Lineage (NCBI taxonomy): Eukaryota > Metazoa > Chordata > Mammalia > Primates > Hominidae > Homo > Homo sapiens. The sequence continues at coordinate 239,976 of NW_012132914.1, forward strand.
GGTGACAGAGGCTCGCCAATTCAGATGAATCTCACACCCTACCTGGCACACAATGCAAGAGTGGCTCCCCAAGTCGGTTAGGAAAAGAAAACTGGAGGTGGTGAGAGTGGCTCACAACCCCAATTAGGAACACACGAACTGGGAGTGGGGAGGTGTGTGAAAGTGTGTGAAAGATACAGTTCAGGGAGGAACCAATGTGGGAGTGGCATGGGGAGTCACAGATCTCTTAGCATGGTCTGTGTGCTCCAAGCCAAGTGTGGGGCCAACCTGCACTAGTGGCGAACCGCATACAGCTAATAGGAGCTGCCCCACATCTCAGAGTTATGGTGGGAATAAAACCCTTTCTTAAGCCAAGTGGCATCTGAAAACTCCCATAATAGGAGATGATCTGGTGGGTCTGAGGCAAAAGGAAGAGTGGGTGTGCTGCATCGTAAAGCGAGGAAATAGGAGGAAAGTCATCAAAACACACTCCATTGGGTGCATGTTAGAGAACTTTAATAAAGGTTTTGCAGGAGATTATGGAGTTACGCTAACCTCCTAGAGGTTGAGAACTCTCTGTGAATTCAAATGGCCTTCTTTTGGTGTTGGATGGCCAACCAAAGGAACTATAGATAGGGAAATAATTGACCGTGTATTTAAGGTGGTGACAGGGGTTGGAGGACAGCCTGGGCACCCAGATCAATTTCCTTATATTGACTTATGGTTAAATATAGCACAGACAAGACCAGCATGGTCCAGCTCTGTTTAGCCAGTTAGTGCAAAACACTTGTGGCCAGAGCCGTGCCAAAAATGAAAGTAAGAACAGCTTCACCGGCAGACACAGAGTTAAAGGCAAAGTCCCAGAGGGAGCAAAAAAGCCAGTTTTGCAGGATCCACCAGAGGGAATAGAGATTCCTACTCCATATGTCCCAGCCTAGCCTTCTTTACCGAGGCCAACAGTCCCCCAGGAACCAGATTCAGGAGCTAGCACACCCAAAGTCTCACCCCAAAGGAAGGATCAGAGGCTTGAGAGGCCAGGGAAGGAAGTCAAGATGGTTAAGCCGGCCATCTCAGATCTAGCCATGCTTGAGTTATGCAAATGCATCTCAGGGAGATGGGAGGACCCATTTATTATGATGACCAAGGCCAAGTCAGGTGGGGGGAATGGACTTTCATCTATCATCCCTTTTCAACCATTGATCTCTTGAACTGGAAACACCATACTCCCTCCTATATGGCAAAGCCCCAAGCTCTTATAGATCTGATGCAATCCATCTTTCTGACACACAATCCAACCTGGCCAGACTGCAGGCAGTTTTTTCTCCCACTGTTTAACACTGAGGAGTGTCGGAGAGTAACACAGGCAACTCTCTGCTGGCTAGAAGCCCGCTGTTCTCTCTCTACACTTTGTCTCTGTGTCTTATTTCTTTTCTCAGTCTCTCACCCCACTTGATGAGGTATACCCACAGGTGTGGAGGGGCTGGCCCCCTTCCTTTAGGGGCAGCAGGATTCTGCCACATCTGGATTCCAAATTTTTCAGTGATGGCTAAGACATTATATGAAGCCACAAAATCGGAGAAAAAGAGCCCCTCCTTTGGGAAACTAATCAGGAAATAGCATTCAAACAGCTCAAGGAAGCTTTAGGTCAGGCCCAACCTTAGGACTACCAGATATAATTAAGCCTCTCTTTCTATGTATTCATGAATGAAAAGGAATGGTTATAGGGGTTCTGACTCAAATTATAGCATCATGGCATTGCCCAGTGGCGTATTTATACAAACAACTGGACTCTGTGGTGCTAGGATGGTCTCCTTGCCTTAAGGCATTAGCTGCCACCATCTTGTTAACACAAGAAGCTAGCAAATTAACTCTGGGACAGCAGCTAACTGTGCGGGTGCCACACTCAGTTATAACTTTGATGGACCAAAGAGGGCATCTTTGGTTATCAAACCCAAAAATGACTCAGGTCTTCCTTGTGAGAACCCTTACATTATTTTAGAAACAGTGAACACCTTAAACCTGGCTCCTCTGCTCCCAGTCTAACCGGGGGCTCCCCTCCATGACTGTGTTGCAACAGTAGATGAGGTGTTCTCCAGTCGGAAAGATCTTGCAGACAGACCTCAGAGACCCGGCTTTTGAATACTTCACAGATGGAAGTAGTTTTGTGCTAGAAGGGGTTCAAGATGCCAGGTATGCAGTAATAACATTGGACTTAGTAGTAGATGCTCTGCCTCTGCCTACTGGAACATGAGCTCAAAAGGCAGAATTAATAGCCCTGACAAGAGCACTGTTTCTAGCAAAAGAGAAGAAGGTCAATATTTACACTGATTCTAAGTATGCTTTTACTACATTGCATGTACATGAAGTTATAGACAAAGAGAAAGGGCTTTTAACAGCTGGAGGCAAAGAAATCAAGTACAAAGAAGAGATTCTACAGCTCTTAGAGGCTGTATGGCCTCCAGGAAAAGTAGCTTTAATGCACTGCAGATGGCACCAAAAGTCAGGGACACCAAAAACCAAAAGAAACAGAAAGGCAGACAGAGAGGCAAAGAGGGGAGCAATGATTGCATCACATTTTAAAGAGGAAGCCTTAGCTATGCTTCTCCTCCCAGAAGCTCCTCTCCAAGAAGATCCAAGTTCTACTCCAAATGAAAGAGCCTGGTTTGCTCAAGAAGCTGGAAAATATATTAAAGGAGGGTGGTGGAAATTCTTCAATGGGACATTAGCCATTCCAGAAATGTTAGCTCCTACGTTTCTGAAGCAAATTTATCTAGGAACTCATATGGGAAAAAATGGCACTGGAAACATTACTGAAATGCTGTTTCTATGTGCCGTGGCCATCATTTGAGCTGTTTGTAAACAATGTTTAACCTGTGCTCAGAACAACCCGTGACAGGGGCCCACTCAACCCCCAAGAATTCAGGAAGTAGGAACCATGCCTTGTGAAAACTTTCTTGTAGACTTTACCAAACTACCCCATGCCGGAGGCTATCAGTATATGCTGGTGCTTATTTACACCTTTTCAGGATGGGTTGAAGCTTTCCCCACCAGAACAGAAAAAGCATGAGAAGTGACTAAAGTACTGCTAAGAGACATCATCCCCAGGCTTGGACTGCCTCTAACTTTAGGGTCCGTTAATTGCACGGCATTTGTAGCTGAAATAGTGCAAGATTTAACAAGACTGTTAAAAATAAAATGGAAGTTACACACAGCCTATCAGCCGCAAAGTTCAGAAAAAGTGGAATGCATGAACCAGACACTCAAGGAGCTTCTGAAGAAATATTTCCAGGAAACCTATCTGAGATGGGATCAGGTCTTGCCTATGGTCCTCCTCTGAGTCAGGTGCACCCTCACCAAACAAACTGGGTATTTGCCCTATGAGATTTTGTTCAGTCAGCCTCCCCCAATCATAAGTCAAATTAAAGGTTATCTCCTTGAACTAAGAGAATTAACCTTAAGAAAGCAAATGCAGGCATTAGGGACAGACTTGCAAAGTGTCCATGGGTGGGTACAGGAAAGAATGCCTGTAAGCCTGACAGACCAGACACACCCCTTTAAACCTAGTGACTCTGAGTTAAAAAGTTGAATTAAATTCTCTAGGACCCATATGGGATGGGCCCTATACTGTAACCTTTTTTTTTTTTTTTTTTTTTTTTTTTGTTGATGCAGAGTCTTGCTCTGTCCCCCAGGCTGGAGTGCAGTGGTATGATCTCAGCTCACTGCAAGCTCTGCCTCCTGGGGGTCGCACCATTCTCTTGCCTCAGCCTCCCAGGTAGCTGGGACTACAGGTGCCCGCCACCATGCGTGGGTAATTTTTGTATTTTTTTTTTTAATAGAGATGAGGTTTCACCGTGTTAGCCAGGATGCTCTCCATCTCCCAACCTCGTGATCCACCCGCCTCGGGCTCTGAAAGTGCTGGGATTACAGGCATGAGCCAACACACCCAGCCCTATACTGTAATCTTGTGTACTCCCTCTGCTGTTAAAGTTGCAGGTGTTGTGCCTTGGATCCACCACAGCTGGCTGAAACCGAAGCTCAGGACAAGTGGACCAGCCAGCAGGACCCAGATCACCCACCTGATCCTGAGATGAGACACAGCTGATCCTGAGATGAGACCAAGCTGATGCTAAAGATGACTGCCCTGCTCTGGTCACTCCAGAAGCTGACCAGTCTACGTACAGCTGAAGGTTGAGGAGACAACAAGCCCTGCTCTAGTCACACACTGGAAGCTGACTAGTCTACGCACGGCCGAAGCTTGAGGACTCATCAAGCAAATAAACATAGTTAGAAATCTTAGGACTAGTAGTTTTCCTTGTAATACTGTTTTCCTATTGTTCACTGAAACCTCTGCTTCCTCAGTTCAAGCAATTCTCCTGCCTCAGCCTCCCAAGTAGCTGGGACTACAGGCACAACACCACACCCAGCTAATTTTTCTATTTTTACTAGAGATGAGGTTTCACCATATTGGCCAGGCTGGTCTCAAATTCCTAACCTCATGATCCACATGCCTCAGCCTCCCAAAGTCCTGGGATTACAGGTGTGAGCCACTGCGCCCAGCTGTCCTGCTTCTTTCTCAGTGGGGATCTGCTCCCCACACATTCTCCTCTGTGTTCCTCAGACCACGAATATCTCTGAGGTCCATCAGTGTGAGGTCTCTTGCAGGTGCCATTCCTTCCTTTCTCTCAGGACTTTTTTTATTGGTGTGTCTCTGTGCCATAAGGAATGTGTGCCTGTGAAGAACAGGCTAGACTCTGCAGCAGGACACAGAGGCCCTGGAGAGGCAGACAGTGGAGCAAGCAGGGGCTGAAGTTACCTCGTTTTTACCCAAAGGAGGCTCCTAACCACTGTCGCCACTGACACAGTGGCTCCAATAAAAAGAAAATAGGGGATGACTCCACACATTTCCTTGAGCAGCTAGAAAAAAAAATCCCTGTTGATATTCATATTAGTACAGTACTTTTGGTAGTGTTAGCACTTGTATTAGTAGTAGTACTAGTATTAGTGTCAATACCTACATTAGTATTAGTAGTGGTCTTGTTTAGCTGATGAAAGCTTGTTTCTCTCTCCTTCTGGGATAAAAACTCAAGACACCCTGGGGATCTCGAGTGCATGGACCAGGGAGTCTGAAGGAGTTTGTTCTTTGGATGTGAACCCATGGGAAGTGGGTGTGTATTCTGTGGCCAAAGTCGCTGACCTCTTTGATTAGAGGAGACACAGGGGGCTAGCACCCACCCCCAGGCCTGTGCTTCCAGGAACACTTCTCTCTCTTTCCATGTGTGTGCCTGAGAGGGTTCCTGGTCCTCACCCATCCCCATTGGCTCTTCTACAGGTGATGTGTCTACTGTACACCTACAGGTGACCTTGTGTAGAAAGAAATCCAAGAACACACATGGGGCCACATAGAGTGAGACTGCCTCCAGGCAGGCACAGGGACCCCGAGCTTCTGAGGCACTGTGAGCGCCTGAGACTGGGGCACTCTCATGGAGACAAATGCATGGGGCTTTAGAAAAGGCTGGGTTGGAGGGAGCAGAGGAGGGCATGGATGGAATGCAGGGGTCCCTGGAAGCTTCAGGCCAGAGGCACTTGGGAGTGGGGAAGGCATCATGGAGAAAAAGGTCAGGGCTCCTTCCATGCCCTGAGGTCACAGCGGGTCTCCCTCTCTCCCAGCTTCTCCCTGGGCTCTTGTGTCTGGGAGTCAGGGCTGGCTCAGCTGGGGTTCTTTGGTGAGTGGGAAGGACATAGGGCACTCAGCGTCTCAAGTGCAAATTTTAACATAATCCTCAATGAGAGGTTTCGCCCAGTAGCCTCCTGTCCACAGATCCCATGTCTCCTTGCTGCACTCCTGAGGGGGTTGCCCAGCCAGGGACACGAGGCGTTTTACTTTTCCCTGCCAAGTGAAAAACCATGTTAATCTGTGAGGCCAGCTCTGTCCTGGAGAGTTGTCACTTTCTAGGTGCTCACACCACACACATGTATATATATATATATACACATACCATGAGGTCATTGACACTTACCAAGGGGGCGAACCAGGGATGTCAGGATCCACGGGGCCCCACCCAGGGGCTGCTGGGAAGGCACTTTTGTCCAAGGAGGTACCCCGGCCTGAACCTCCGCTGTTCCCTTTTTTTTTTCCTTCCACAGGTGCCTCTACCTCCCCTTTCAAGCCTTATCATCCTTTCTGGGCCTTCTTGCCCCATTGGGGTAAAACCGCGAGTGTGACATGCACCGTGGGTGAGCACCAGGGACGCCAGGATCACCAGGGCCCTGTGCAGGGTCTGCTGGGAGGGCACTTTCATCTGTGGGGGGACCCAGGCACCCCTTCTCTGCCTCGCCATTTTTTTTCTTCCACAGGTGTCTCTACCTCCCCTTTCTAGCCTTATCTTCCATCCTGGGACTTCTTACCACTTTGGGGTGCCCCCCATGGGTGTGACATGCACCTTGGGTGTGAATCAGGGATGGAACTAACCCCGGAGCCCTGTGCAAGTGCTGCTGGGAAGGCACTTTAGTCCATGTGGGGACACAGGCCCCCCTCCTCTGCCGCACGTATTTTTTACCTTCCACTAGTGCCTGTTGCTGCTTTGGGTTTCCCCCCAGTGGGAGGGACAGGCATCGTTGGGGCGAACCAGGGACACCAGTATCCCCAGGACCAAGCTCAGGAGCTGCTGGGAAGTCACTTTCATCCATGGGGGGACCCATGCCCACCTCCTCTGCCGTGCCGTTTTTTATTCCTTCCACAGGTGCTTCTACTTTAAGCTTCAAGCCTTCTCTTCCATTCTGGGCCTTCTTGATGCTTTGGGGTGCCTCCCGCAGGTGCAACACGCACTGTGGGTGTGAACCAGGGATGCCAGGATCCCCCGGGCCCTGTGCAGGGTCTGCTGGGAGGGCACTTTCATCCGTGGGTTGACCCAGGCCCCCCTTCTCGACTGCGCCATTTTTTTCCTTCCACAGGTGCCTCTACCTCCCCTTTCAAACCTTATCTTCCCTTCTGGGCTTTCTTGCCCCTTCCGGGTGCCCCCACCACCATGACAGGCAACGTGGGTGTGATCCAGGGATGCCAGAAATCCCGGGGACTCCGTAGGGGCTGCTGGGAAGGCACATTCTTCTGTGGGGGGACCCAAGCACCCCTCCTCTACGGTGCCCATTTTTTTCCTCCACAGGTGCCTCTACCTCCCCTTTCAAGTCTTGTCTTCCTTTCTGGGCTTGCTAGAAGCTTTGGGGTGCCCCCCATAGGTGCGATATGCAGCGTGGGTGTGAACCAGGGACGCCAGGATCCCCGGGGCCCAGTGCAGGGTCTGCTAGGAAGGGACTTTCGTCTGTGGGTGGACCCAGGCCCTCCATCTCAGCCCCACCATTTTTTTTTTTCCTTCCACAGGTTCCTCTACCTCCCCTTTCTAGCATTAACTGCCATTATGGGCCTTCTTGGAAGTGCTGGGAACTGCAGAACCACAAAAAGGGAATCACAGCCCTGGCTCAGGAAGCTCCCACGTCTGGGCTCCTGAAAAGAGTAGTAGCTCTTCTCTTTTTCTCTTCACCTACAACTTGGTGAGCAAGGGGCGTGTTTCAGCTTTGTTTGTGTTACTGCTTTTAGCCCCACCATTAGGCGGGTCTTGTCCTGCAACCAGGAAGAATGAAATATGCAGACAAGTGGAGAGTGAGCAAGATAAAGAGGACCTTTATTGAGCAATAGAATGGGGAAGGGGGGACCTCCTGGGCCCTCGAGAGCACTAGGGGACCTTGTTTGGTAACTGCAACCTGGGCAGCTTCAGTTGTGCCTTTGGAGCTACTGCCCTGCCAACTTGGGAGGACCAGGACTCCCTCTTGTCCCAGGATCCCATCAGCTCCAAAGTGTGCACAGCCTCAGCTTTGCCCTCTCTCTGTTTCCGTGCAGAGGTGACAGGTGAGATGCAGGTTCACAGCAGCTCTGGTCAACCCCACAGAAACAAATCTGAAGCTCCTGGGTCCGGTTTAATGAGCCCCAACTGCGCTCTGATCCAGGAGTTTGCAGGCTAACAGCACAAAGTGGGGAGTGAGGTCGAGGCTGTGGTGGAGACTGCGGACCTAGGGGCAAGTCCCGTTTAGCCGTGAGAGGGTATGGGTGGCACAGTTGGCTGCCTCAGGGACATGGGGCACAGGCCTGGCTGACAACCCAGCCAAGAGGTGGTGCCTTTAGGAGTGGATCGTGGTCCACAGGCCCAGCAATCGGAAGCATCAGGCTCTGTGTTCACCCCTCTTGGGGGCAGATCTTGGAAATGCAGCCTCAGGAAGATTCACACAGAACTCCTTTTTAGACCTAGGAACTTGATACTATTAGCAGGGTGGGCACACAGTTGATGCATAGCTGGCCAGGTCATTGAACTTGGTGCCATTTCTGCTTCCCAACTCGGGGCCCTGGAGCATGGCCCCAGCTCTGCCTTTGGAACCTGACAACCACACTTCATGTGCAAGCACGGCACCACCCCAAGCCCATCTTCTCCTCATGGCCCCTTTCTGCCTGTGCCTTTGTGCCCGACCGAGCTGCTCCCCACAGTCGAAAAAGTATGAAAAAACAGATGACTAAAGAGAAGTAAAGGATGGGTGCAGACCATTCGCACACCTGTAATCCCAGCACTTTGGGAGGCCAAGGTTGGCGGATCACTCAAAGCCAGGAACTCAAGACCAGCCTGGTGAACAGGGTAAAACCCTGTCTCTACGAAAAATACAAAAATTAGCAGGCTTGGTGGCACGTGCCTGTACTCCCAGCTACTTGAGTGGTTGAGGCACGAGAATCACTTGAGCCCCACAGGAAAGGATTCCAGTGATCCCAGATTGCACCACTACACTCCAGCCTGAATGACAAAGCAATATTTTTGTCTCCAAAAATAAAAAAATAAATAATGAAATAAAAGAACAAGAATGGGTGGGAATTACTCAAAATGGTCTAATTTTATTTGGCTGCTATGATGTTCCGCAGCTGAACCTCAATCACAGACAAACTAGTGCCTCGTTATTTTTCCATCAGTAACTCAATAACTAGAGATTTCTGATGTATAAATCCCTAAAACAAGTAAATCAATTACAGAGGACACCAGAAAGTTTTCACTGAGGTTCTCTATTTCTGATATTTCTTGGTAATCATCCTTGCAGGGATAACATTCTCATCACTGAAGAATTTTAGTTTCTCTTTCTGACTCTGTAGCTCTCATTGACTCCACCTCAATATTTTCCTCAAGTCTTGCCCCCTGCTCTTAGGATTTTTTCCCTCGCACTGAGCACCTGTCTGAAACAGAGCTCTGTGCTTCCTTTAAGTTGCACATGTGGCCTGGGCACAGTCGCTCATGCCTGTAATCCCAGCACTTTAGAAGGCCGAGGCAGGAGAATCCCATGCGACCAGCAGTTTGAGACCTGCTGGGGCAACATAGTGAAACACTTTCTCAATTTTTTTGTAATAAAAATATTGGAATTATTAAAAAAGGAAATAAGAAAAGAGGAAAATAACTTGCACCTACATACTAGATTTTAGTGTCCAAGGGCCTAGAAGAGAACATTGGATTTCTCTACCCCGCTAGGCACGCCTTCCCTAGCAGCAAAGATGGAGCTCCAGTTCCTCAGACGGTGATGAGCCACAGGACGGGCAGGGGGCGGGGCCAATGAAGATCCTCTTGGGCTGCCTGACTTCCCTTAGTGTACACATCAACTAAGCCCGAAGTGGGGTGAAGATCTCCCAATCGACATGAACCAAGGAATTCAAACTCTCCTCGGGGGCAGGATACATCTCCAGGCTTAACTTGCTCAGCCCACTGGTGTGGCACAGCAGGTCCTTCAGGGCTTCCATAGACATGCAATTTCTGCCAAAGTAGAAGGTGGTGAGCTGGGAGCAGCGGCTCAGGCCAGGCAGGATGGCACTGAGTTGGGAGTAGTGGATCTGACAGCCCTCCAAGATGAGGGTCTTAAGAGTAATTGCTGCCTCTCTCGAGACCCTCGTGTTGGCAGAAACTTTCTCCAGCAGAGCTCCGAGGGGTTCAAGACTGATACAGAACTGCAGCATGTAGCTGAGATTCAGATGCTTTGGGTAAGCGAGGCTTGGGTACTGGTAGAGACACTTCAAGTCCTCTTCCAATAGGTAGCCGCAAGTTAATTCCAAGTTCTCCAAGGGGTTCTAGAGGCACCTGTGGAGATCAAGAAGTTAGTTCTGGGCAATGGTACCAGTTAGATGAAGGTAGTGGGGAATGAACTCAAGGAAAATACCTGCTTCAACCAAACACAAGTTTGTTCCCACCATCTGATGATGGTCCTCATGCAAGTTGCTGCATGTTGAGGACCCTGATCATTCAGGGGCTGTCCCATTTTAGCCTCAGCCCTTTCACCATTTCTTGTGTGATTGGGTCAAGGCCACAAAATCTCTAAAGCCTTTTATCTTCATCTTTTAGCAGAAAACCTCATCTCTGGGCCACAGGTACCCGGTGGGAGATGTGCACAAAGAACTCAACTCAGCAAGGTCTAGGGACATTAGCTGGGGCTACCTGCCGGCAGGGGCTCCCTGGCCTGCCTGCATCTGCAAACCAACTGTCACTTTTTACCACTCTCACTCCTACTCCTTCACCCTCCATCCCAGAAGCATGCATGTCCCATGTCAATTGACTTTCCTGGAGTTCAAAACAACCTTCTACAGACAGGGAATCAGAGACAGGATCATTCATGATCACTAAGCTGGTGAGGACAGAGCTTCTACTGTGAAATGCACAAGTTTGATGCACTGTCCCTCCTTTCATACCCTCCTTTGTTACCTCTTTTACATCATATCAACTTGAAACACACTTTGTAACAAGAAATTCACACGTGCACATGCAGTAGAGACAAAACGCCCACTAAGTACCTTGTACATGATGTCCCTCTCTAGCCTCTACCCTAGGTGACCCCTCTGCCTTTATTGAAGTGATCCTGTGATAGCCACTCCAGGACATGGAGCACTGAACGGGACAATGTGTTGACATTCTGGTGTCCCCTGCACTGTGCCGTCGCCACTGGCTGGCACACAGTACACGTCTTCTAGTGTTTACTGTAACAAAAAAAAAGGCTGCGCTGTGGTCTGCAGAGAAAGGGCACGATCCTTTCTCACCTGATCAGCTGTCCCAGGTGCCCTCTGTGGAAGGTGACCATATTCATTTTAAGCAGCTGGAGGTGTTTCAGCCTGAGGAACATAGAGCTGATTTTGGCGACTGAGCATTCCTCGCGGTAATTGACGTGTAAGGATGGCACCTGGAGAAAAATGAGTTTGCGAAGATTCTTCATCTCCTTCAGGTAACAATGAAGCTTTCTTATCAGATGTGGCCAGGACACATAGCAAATTTCCAGCTCCTGAATACTATTCAGGTGGATTATTTTCAATGATCTTCTGAGATATTCAATCGACGTTAGATAATTCACCAACTTACTACAGCACAGGTGTACTAAACCTCTCCTTTGGTAAACCCACCGGAAGAGGTATCTCAGGCATTCATCCTGGGGTATTTCCTTGAGGCAGATGTCTATGAACACCTTCAAGGGCTGGTGCTCTCCCATCCTTGGACAGTCCTCTGCTGTCTGCCTCTTACTCATGGCCTCTGGGGAGGAGGACAGGGCCCTGGATTCAGACCATATGGCCCAGAAATTCTCATCAACATCCCGCAAATCCAGCACTTGAAGTTTCCACCTCCTGTGGGTAAAGTAAGGCAGAGGCTCAGAACTTTGAAGGACAAATCCCTGACCTTTGCTTTCATTCTCATCCAATAAATCAGCTGCTCCTGTCCTCGCTGCTCCCTGTTCTCTCTGAGTTTTCTTGGTCCCTTTTCTCTTTCAATTCTGACTGGTCCCCACTTCTATTCCATTTACCTTCCACTGGGAATAGGCAAGTTTCTGTTCCCACAGTGGACCCTATATTGTGGGCAGTTCTTTCCCTGAGGATCTGGGCAATGGCCAAGGCATGCCTGAGCTTCGTCACCAGCACCACCAGAAGACACTGGGCCATCCTTGGGATACTTCTTTGCCTGACCCTGCTGTTCTTTCCCTGGACACCTGAGCCCCATCTACCAGCCTTCCTGGGTCACCTCACCTGGGGCGATCCTTCTGTGTAAGCAGCATGTGAAGCCCTTCCAGCAATGCTTTTAAGGTCTCCAGATGAAGCGTCTTCATCAGCGATCCCAGAGGGAGGCGGGTGAAGGGCCAGGCCTGCACCATCACTGTCAGAGTCTGGAAGTGTCTCCTGCTGAAGGCCTCCAGGAAGAGTGGGAGGTAGAGCTCCCTGGGCAGCTCCTCCAGGGCAGAGATGGCCAAGGGCTTGTCTCTCAGCAGACTCTGCCCCGCCAGCTCCAGGAGTCTGGGTGGGGCCTGGATGCTCATCCTGATGAATCTGTAAGGAAAAACTCTAGAAGACAAATCCAGAGAAAAGGCATCACTTTCAGGCCAAACACAATCACCTCATCTTCTCCTAAGGCCAGTAGCATTGCTCTGGTAGAGGTAGAAAAATTACCACTTTACCCCAATTCCACTCTGCACTTGGTGGCCACAAATCTATATTTCTGCTTCTGCTGGTACCAGGAAGAATGTCTTCCAAACACCAAGGAGGGAGGGGTCAAAGAGACCACTGGCCCATTAATTTTCATCCATGGCTCCACTGAATCCCAGTACCACTGGAAAGTGTCACTGAGGATCCTGAAAGCCAAGCTCTACCTCTTTGAGGAAAATTTTCTTGTCACTTACCGCCCTAAAGCAATGAGAATGAGAGTGTCCTGTGGCCCCAGACAGCCTCCATTCTCAGTTTTCACCATGAACATGCTGGGGGAACACTAAAGGGACTCCCTAAAGTCAATGCCATTATTTTTTATTTTGAAAAATTTCAACCAGAAACTGACCGGGTGCTGTGGCTCATGTCTGTAATCCCAGCACTGTGGGAGGCCAAAACAGGCAGATCACTTGAGGTTAGGAGTTCGAGAACAGCCTGGCTTACGTAATGAACTCTGTCTCTACTAAATATAAAAAAATTAAAAATCATTTGACTCCAAAAGGCAGAGGTTGCAGTGAGCCGAGATCCCACCACTGCACTCCAGTCTGGACAAAAGAGTTAGACTCTGTCTCAAATAATAATAATAATAATAATAATAATAATAATTAATTAATTAAAATGTTAGCCAGGTGTGGTGGTGCAGTCCTATAATCCTAGCTACTCTGGAGGCAGAGGAAGAAGAATCACTTGAATCCCGGAGGCAGTGTTTTCAGTGAGCTGAACTCAACACCCTGCCCTTCAGCCTGGGTGACAGAGTGAGACTCCATCTCAGAACAAGAGAAAAGAATTAACCAGAAACTAAAAGCGACGTGATGGTATTCTAGAGCATTTGGAAGGTAGGGATAGAAATACTAACTCTAGATGAGGCACAGTGGCTCACTCCTGTAATCCCAGCACTTTGGGAGTCCAAGGTGTGTGTTTTTATTTTGAAAAACTGTAAGAGAAATTATAAAAGCAGTGTTGCAGTAGTCTAGAGCACTTGGAAGGTAGAAATGGAAACACTAAGTCTGAGGAGAAGGATCCAATACACATCCCTTCCACATACTCACAATCACACACTTAGGGACAGAGTCTAAGGGAAGAGATAAATCCCAGGTTCGGAACAAGTCTCTTGAGAATGGTGTACGGGAGATCTAAGATTTCTGTAAAATGAAAGCCTGACTAATAAAATCACAATACCGCTAAGTGTGTGAACTATAGCTGACAGGCACAGAAACCAACAACTTCACATGTCAAGACATAAACATCCATCCAACTGTAAATTTTTAATATTTTTTTTTTAAAAACTGCTTCAATAAGAATTTTGAAATGAGGAAAATGAAGCACAAATCAAAATTTGAGGGATGAAGTCAAAACTATATTTGGAGGAAAAATCAAAACCTACATCTGTTTAATCTGAAAAAACAGACAGGAAATTCTCTGTGCCATTTTGGGCTGTGTGTCACCATCCCTGACTGGCTGGCTGCAGATTAGACGGGCATGTTCCTAAGAAGGTGGTGACTTACCAGATCTGGACTCAGTTTGCAGGGTGCTGGGACCTCTCAGAGAACCAAGCAGTAGCTCCAGGCACCAGGGCTTTGGGTCTGTCCTGTGCAAACTCAGGAGCTTTTGTTGATGTTTCTAACCACACCCTCCCCTTCTCAATCACCAGCTTCCAATCAGAAAGTGATACCTGATTAGATCCTGAAGTTCCACCCAGTTAATCCTGATTGAGTTTCACACTTTCTTCTGATTCATTGATTAAATTAGATGTGCATTTATGAAAGTGAAAGAATAAATAACAGGGTGAAAGTCCAAAAGTCATTAATTCATTTATTCCCCAAACACTGATGAAGTTTGACTAACATGTGACCTTCATAGTGACATGGAAGGTTTAATCTGTTCCTGGCATTAGAAAGAAAAAACAAAACCTGATGATATCTTTATGGGAGAATATTTGGCCACATTGAAATTATCCAAACGTTTCAGAGCTAAGACAGCTTTAAAAAGACGGTGATGTCAACCCTAAGAAAACAGAATACAAAGCTCTGTTATCCAACAGTTACCTGGGTTTTATGCTTCCTAACGGGGCAGGTCATATGTGGGTTCAGGTTGAAGAGGGGAACCACTGAGGGTGTTATTGATCACAAGACTAAGGTCAAGGCTTCACTGCAGGAAATCAGGACAGAATGACAAAGTGAGGTGGGGGCTGGGCAGGATGGGACCGGGTGTTCTAGTAGAACCCTGGGAAGGAACCAAGACAGCATAAAACATGGTGGGTATTTTGTGGGCATCTCCACAGAAGGATTGAAAGACTCTGTCTGGATTGAGTTTAAAAATTAAAAAGGGAATAGTTACAGAAGAGACAGTGCAGACTCTTCAAACACAACATTGTCTTTGAGGGCAGAGAAGGCAGAAACAGTCTTGGCCCCTACTAGAAGGGAAAGCGTGTTTACTCCCAAAAATGATGGGCTCGCCTCAGAAAATCAGCCTGGGAAGATGGAATCTGAGAATCTGAGCTGGGGCAGATGCCAGAGAGAAGCAGTGTGGCCAGACCTGGGAAGGGAGACTTTCCCAACCTGGAAGCCATCGAAGGTGGGAGCTGTGGGTTTTGCAGGATGTGGGAGAAAGTGAACAAGGGTCCAAGTCTCTGTCATGGTGCTATGGTCTGGAAACCTTTCTTTTAGACTCAGGGATCTTCCCACAGTGGGACATTTCCCAGCAACCCTCACCCACAGGTGTTTCCCAGGGCCCCTCATCCTCATCAATACCCTCGTGCCATTCCCCAGCATATTTTGATAATTAATGTTCTGCCATCCTTAAAGTCCTCCCTTGTCCCTGATATTGAACAGAGAGATTCTGATTAAAGTGATACCATTAGGTATACAAAGAAAACTCAGGCCATGTGTGGTGGCTCATATCTCTAATTTCAGCACTTTGGGAGGCCAAGGCAGATAGATTACTTGAGCGCAGGAGTTTGAGACCTGCCTGGGCAACATGGAAAATTCTGTCTATAAAAACTATATACGAAAAATTAGCCAGGCATGGTGGTGTGCACCTGTAGTCCCAGCTGCCCAAGAAGTTTAGATGCGAGGATCACCTGAGCCCAGGAGGTTGAGACTGCAGTGAGCCATCATTGTGCCACTGCACTCCAGCCTGCTCAACAGAATGAAACCTTGCCTCAAAAAAAAGGAAGGAAAGAAGGAAGGAAGGGAGGGAGGGAGGGAGGGAGGGGAGAGAAAAAGACAGAAGGAAACAGAAAGAAAGGTGGAAAGAAAGAAAAAGAAAGAAGAAAGAAAGTAAGAAAAAGAAAGAAAGAAAGAAAAAGAAGGAAAGAAGGAAGGAAAGAAAAAGAAAGAAGAAAGAAAGAAAGAAAGAAAGAAAGAAAGAAAGAAAGAAAGAAAGAAAGAAAGAAAGAAAGAAAAAGAGCGAGCCTTCTTGTCTTTAAGAGCAGCGCATATATACTGTTATATTGGGTGCACACCTAAAATACATTTCCCCCACAAAACCTGGAAGCTCTATTTCATGTTGAAATATCTGCTAAGTTCACGGATGGCTCCCATCCTAAGAGGGATCACACAGTGATTCTTCCGATGTTTTAGGGCACAAAGTAGCAAGAACCTCCCCTGCCTCCAGAAAGTCCTCCAGGCCTTTCTCTCCCATTCTATATGAAAACCAAACAGCTCTGAGATGCCACTGGCCTCCAAAACTGGAGTACTTTGAAGGGTGTTCTCTATCTTGAAATGTTTCTGTAAATGTTCTTTCTCCACATTTCTGACCTCACTGTCAATGCCCTGCTATGTGTGCAATTGAGTTAAACTGAAATGTGTTCAGTGGGGCTTCTACTTTGCCTGCCCTCACTTTGTGAGCCTGAGGCTGAGGTTGAGCTCAGCACCAAGGGTGATCGTGAGTGTCTCTGGTGACTGAGCATCCACGAGGCACAGCAGGGGCTGGTATCATTCATCCAAGATCTCAGCTCTCCCTCACAAATAATCTAAAGCATGTTGGTGACCCTGAGATTTGGCTAGCAAGAGGAATCTGCCCATGTTCAGACAACAAATGATTGGCAGACCCCTCAGGTGAGAGGCTCAGAGGATCCCCTAAGCAGTTCAACAACCTAAATGTTGGAAAAAACTGGCTGACAGACTTTCCATTCTTTCCCAATTCAGAAGGTCCAGCAAGTAGTGGTTGGTCTCAGGAAGATGGAAAATCACAAACAACAGTTAAAAAAAGAAACTAAGCAAAGGAACACTGGCAAGACACTGTGCCAGTGCCCCCCCCTTTCACCAAGAAGGAAGGCCTCCCACTCCTGAGCCCACTGCGCCCAAGCTTCCACAAGGCCTACATACCCCTAGGCTGCCCAGAGTAGAGAAGAAAGGGTGCAAGACCTCAGGATGCAAGACCCTCCCTTGGCTGCCCGTATGAGGCCTAGAACTGGGATACAAATGTCCCTGAGAGAGCAACAGTATACTGGAGTAGACGAGGATGGGCTTATGGTGGAAAGACGTGCCTTTGTGTACCAACCCTTCACCTCTGCCCATCTCCTCCATTGGAAAACAATACCCCATCCTATACCGAAAAGCCTCAAGCTATAATTTATTTGCTCCAAACTGTTATCCAGACCCACAACCCCACCTGGGCTGATTGCCACCAGGTGCTCATGCACCTCTTTAACACAGATGAAAGGTGGAGAGTGCTCCAAGTGGCAACTAAGTGGCTGGAAGAACATGTTCCAGCTGATTACAAAATCCCCGAGGGTATGTGAGGATCCAACTAGCAGGAACAGACCCCCAGTGGGACCCAAATGAAAGACAGGGTATGCAAAGCCTAAACCAGTACAGGGAAGTCCTTCTGGAAGGATTACAGGCGTGAGCTGCCTCACCCGGCCTTGAATGAGTGAATTCTTGACTTCTACCCTATCCCTAACACTGTCAATTTCCTGATTCATGCAATTAATATGGATATCTGATATGAATGGATATCTGATTCAATCCATTAATCTGGGGAGAGCCAAAAACCCAATCAGGATTAACTGGGTGGAGCTTCAGAAATGCAATCAGATATCACTTTTTGATTGGAAGCTAGTGATCCGCCTGCCTTAGTCTCCCAAAGTGCTAGGATTGCAGGCATGAGCCACTGCACCTGGCCGGTATTTTCTGTTTTGTACAAGATGTTCCAGAAAGAAAGGCAAATATGGAAAGTTGTCTAATTCATTTCATAAGAGAGCAGTAACCCATATTTTAAAAATGGCTAAGGATATTAGAAGGAAAGTAAATTTAAACTTATTTGGCAAAAGTTTTTTTTCTTTTTTCTTTCTTTTTTTTTTTTTTTGAGACAGAGACTCACTCTGTCATGCAGGCTGGAGTGCAGTGGCACAATCTCACCTCACTGCAACCTCTTACTCCCAGATTCGAGCAATTCTCCTGCCTCAGCCTCTCTAGTAGCTGGGATTAGAGCCACATGCCACCACATCCAGCTAATTTATGTAGTTTTAGAAGAGGCAGAATTTCTCTGTGTTGGCTAGAACTCCTGACCTCAGGTGATCCACTTGCCTCGGCCTCCCAAAGTGCTGGGATTACAGGCATGAGCCACCACGGTCAGCCAGAAAAAAGTACTTAATAAATTATCAGTTAACTAAATGCAACACTGCATTAGAAAGTGATAGACAGGCCAGGCTCCGTGGCTCATGCCTGCAATCCCAGCACTTTGAGAGGCCGAGGCAGGTGGATCACCTCAGGTCTGGAGTTCGAGACCAGCCTGACCAACATGGAGAAACCCCATCCCTACTAAAAATACAAAATTAGCCAGGTGTGGTGGCGCATGCCTGTAATCCCAGCAACTCAGGAGGCTGAGGCTGGAGATTTGCTTGAACCAAGAAGGTGGAAGTTGCAGTGAGTCGAGATCATGCCATTGCACTTCAGCTTGTGCAAAAAGAGTGAAACTCCACCTTAAAAAGAAAAAAAAAAGAAAAAAAGAAAGCAATATAGTGATATATAATGGCCATTCCAGGAATGCCAGCCAATCACAGGAAAATCTAAGTGTAATTCAGCATACTGACAAACTAAAGGGGGAAAAGCAAGGTTCCTACAAAATGCAGAAAAGAATTGCAGAAAAATCAAATTAAATTTATCATAACATAACTGAACAGCTTAATGAGTTGACATTCTAGCATCCCATTCCCTGTGACATCCCCAGTGGATGGCACACAGTAGATGCCCACTAACGTTTACTGTGAAAAAGAACAAAACTATGTGTTATGGTCTGCAGAGAAAGCCCACCATCGTTTCCTACCTGAGCAGGTGCTCCAGGTGCTCTTTGATATTACTGACCTTTCTTATATAATGCATCTGGGGGTAGTACAGGCACAGGAATGGCCAATCCAAGTCAGGAATGAACTGCCATTGGCCGCTCACGTATAATTCAGGCTCATAACCGAAGGCTAAAAAGTTTGCGAAGATTGCTCATCTGGCTCAGGTAAGGGGCAAACTTTCCCGTTTTATTGAGAGAGCACTTTTTCCAGACTTCCAACTCCTGGATACTGTCTGGGTATATCCTTTCCAATAGATTTCTGAAACTTGAAGTGGGCATTGAGTAATTCTGCACCTTACTACAACACAGGTGCACTAGGCCTCTTCTGTAGTGGATCCACCTTCAGAGGTAGCTCAGGCATTCATCCAGTGTACTTTCCTTCAGGCAGAGGTCTATGAACACCTTCAAGGGCTGGCACTCTCCCATCCTTGGACAGTCCTCCACTGTCTGCCTCTTACTCATGGCCTCTGGGGAGCAGGGGAGGACCCTGACTCCAGACCATATGGTCCAGAAATTCTCATCAACATCCCTCAAATCCAGCACTTGAAGTTTCCACCTCCTGTGAGTAACATAAGGGAAAAGCTCAGAATGTAGGCGAGGACCGACCCTTGACCTGAACTTTCACTCCACATCCAGGACATGAGTCAGCTGCTCCTGTCCCAGTGCTCCTCCTTCTGTCTTTTCTCCATCCTGTTCCCCCTTGGATTCTGCATGGTACCCACTTCTAGTACCTTTACCTTCCACTGGGAGGAAGCAGGTTCCTGTTTCCTCAGTGGACTCTGTATGGTGAGCAGTCCTTTTCCAGAGGATCTGGGCAATGGCCAAGGCCTCTCATGGGTACCATCAGAAGCCTCTGAGCCACCCTAGCTCCCACACACTGCCACTCCTCCTGAGCCAGCTGTCCCTTCCCTGGATGCCTGGACCCTTCCCACCAGGCCACCTGAGTCACCTCAACTGGGGCAAACCTTCTGGGACACTAGTGTATCAAGTCCCTTCAGCACAGCTTGCAAGGTCTCCAGATGAGTTGTCTTCATCAGGGATCCCAGAGGGAGGTGAAGGGAGGACCAGGCCTGCACCATCAGCTTCAGGGCCTCACAACATCTCATGCTGAAGGCCTCCATGAACGTCAGAGGGGAGACCTCCCTGGGCAGCTAGTCCAGGGTGAAGATAGTCAAGAACTGCTTCCTCATCAGGCTCTGCCCTGCCAGCTCCAGGAGTCTGGATGGGGTCTGGAGGCTCATTCTGACAAATCTACAAGGAAAAACTCTACAGCACAATCCAGCAAAAAGGCAAGTTCCTCCGACCAATCCCCTGCAACCCCCAATTCTCCCAGGGCCCAAGTCATTTCTCTAGCATGTGTGAAAGAGCCCTCAGTTTACTCCAGTTCCTTTCTGCAATAAGTGGCCACAGAGACATAGTTCTACCCTTCTGGTACCATGAAGAATGTGTCCCAACTTCTAAAGAGCAGGCAAGATCCCTCGTAGTCCATGAATTATTAGCCACTGATCCACTAAACTCATAGCACTGGCAAATGTTACCGAGGATCTCTGAAGCTCAGATCTCGTACCCAGCTAATCTTTTATTTTTTGACTTTTTGTAAAGACAGTGGGTTTCACTATGTTGTCCAGGCTGGTCTTGAACTCCTAGACTCAAACAATCCACCCACTTTGGCCTCCCAAAGTGCTGGGATTGCAGGCATGAGCCTCTGCCTGGTCTCATTATTGAAAATTTCAGCAAGAAGCTTTGAAAGCTATGTGACAGTGTTATGCATCATTGGCAAGACACAGATGTTTCCAATACACACCTCTCACACATATTCAAAATGAACCACTTTGGCTGTGTGCAGTGACTCACACCTGTAATCCCAGCCCTCTGGGAGGCAGAGGCAGGTGGATTATCTGAGGTCAGGAGTTTGAGACCAGCCTGGCCAACATGGTAAAACCCTACCTCTACCAAAATTAGAAAAATTAGCCAGGTGCGGTGGTCTGCGCCTATAGTCCAAGCTACTAGGGAGGCTGAGGCAGGAGGATCACTTGAACCCAGGAGGCAGAGGTTGCAGTGAGCTGACAATACACCACTGCACTCCAGCCTGTGAAATAGGCTAGATTCAAAAAAAAAAAAAAAAAAAAGAAAAGAAAAGAGAGAGAGAGAGAGAGAGAACTACATTTGATTCGACTTCTTAAACTCTACCCAGTTAATCCTGATTGGATTTTTGGCTTTCTTCCAGATTAACTGATTGAATTAGATATTCATCCATGAAAGTGAAAGATTTAGGGATAGGGTGAAAGTCCAGGACTCATTCACTGATTCCCTCCACAAACATGGAGGTTTACTAATATGTGTCCTTCATAGTCCTGAGTGTGAGATAGGGAAGTGTTGAATCTCTTCCTGATATTAGACAGAAAGAAAGAAAACTTGAAAGTATCTTTGTTGAGGGATCCTTGGCCACATCAAATTTATCAAAATATTTCAGAGTTAAAACAGTTTTCAAAGACGGAGTTGACAGTCCCCAATAACACACAATAGAAATCTTCATGTATCCAGTGATCACCTGGGTGGTATAATCTAATTTTTTTTGGTGTGGGTGAAGCTGAGTCTCACTTTGTCGCCCAGGCTGGAGTGCAGCGGCTCCATCTCAGCTCACTGTAACTTCCGCCTCTGAGATTCAAGCAATTCTCATGCTTCAGCCTTCCATGTAGCTGGGATTACAGGCATGCACCCTCACACCCATGTCTCCATTCGGGAGGAAGAATTACAGTGAGGATGTGATTGGTTTAAAATTAAGGTCAAAGATTCTCTTTGGTTAAGGTTTTTTGTTTGTTTGTTTTCGTTTTTGTTTTTAGCAGGGTCTTACTCTGTTGCCCAGGCTGGAGTACAGCAGTGGTGTGAGCATGGCTCACTGCAGCCTCAATCTTCTGGGCTCAAGTGATTCTCCCATGTCAGCAAACCAAATAGCTGGGAATACAGATGCATGCTACCATGCCTGGCAAATTAAAAGATATATATATTTTGTAGAGGCTGACCACCATTGGCTCACGGCCGTCATTCCAGCACTTTTGGGGGCCTAGGCAGGAGGATCACTTGATGTCAGGAGTTTGAGACCAACCTGGCCAGCATGGTGAAACCCCACCACTACTAAAAATACAAAAATTAAGCAGACATGGTGGCAGAGGGATGTAATACCAGCTACTCAGGAAGCTGAGACATGAAAATTGTTTGAGCCTGGGAGGAAGAGGTTGCAGTGAGTTGAGCTCTTGCCACTGCACTCCAGCCTTGGCAACAGGGTGAGACTCCATCCCTGCTTCAAAAAAAGAATGTTTTGTAGAGCTGCATTTTTGCCATGTTGCCCAGGTTGGTCTCAAACCCCTGGGCTCAAATGATCCTCCCGCTTTGGCCTCCCAAGGTGTTGAGGTTATGGGCATGAGTCATTGCTCCCATCAAGAATTTTGAAATGACATAAACCAAAGCACAATCCAATTTTTTGAAATAAAGACAAAACTGCATATAGAGGAAAAAATTCAAATCTTCAAATTGTTCATATATATATATATAAAAGACAGATATAGCTCGGTGCCATCATAGGCTGCATTGCCCCCGTCCCAGACCGGCTGACTATAGGTCAGATGGGAGTGTCCTTCCAGAAATGAGTGACTTACTAGATCTGGACTGAGTTTGCAGAGTGCTTAGACCTCAGGAAGAACCAAGCAGGAACTCCAGACTTGAAGACTTTGGGTCTCTCCTGTGGGCCTTCAGAAACTTTTATCGATCTTTCTAATCACAACTCCCACCCACACCCCTCCATCTATCCAGTGCTTGCTTCCAATCAAAAAGTGCTATCTGATTGCATTTCTGAAGCTCCACCCAGTTAATCTTGATTGGGTTTTTGGCTGTCCCCAGATTACTGGATTGAATCAGATATCCATTCATATCAGCTATCCATATTAAGTTCATGAATCAAGAAATTGACAGTGTTAGGAATAGGGTGGAAATCAAGAATTCACTCATTAAAGGCCAGGTGAGGTGGCTCACACCTGTAATCCCTGCACTTTGAGAGTCCAAGTTGGCTGGATCACCTGAGGTCAGGCGATCAAGACCTGCAAGGCCAACATGATGAAACCCCATTTCTACAAAAACACAAAAATTAGCCTGGCATGATGGCAGGTGCCTGTAATCCAGCTACTCAGGAGGCTGAGGTGGGAGAATCGCTTGAATCCAGGGGGCAATGGTTGCAGTGAGCCAAGATTGCACCATTGCACACCGTTCTGGGTGACAGAGGTAGACTTTGTCACAAAAAAAAAAAAAAAAAAAAAAAAAAAGAATTCATTCATTCATGAACTCCGCAAACACTGATGGAATTTTACTGATATATGACCTATATAGTCCTGAGTTTGAGGCAGGGAAGGGTTTGATCTGTTCTGGATAGTAGACAGAAAAATAAAACCTGAAAGTAGTGTTGGGAGATCTTTGGCCACATCAAAATTATAAAATTGTTTTATAGTTAAAACAGCTTTATAGAAACAAAGAAGTCATCCCTACAAAATCAGAAAAAAAACTCCATGTATCGAATCGTCTTGTGGGTTTTATATCACCTAAGGTAGCAATTTATTTGCTCATGCTGGTGGAAGAGAGGTGCCACTGAGGGCTTGAGTGGTCTCAGGGCTTAGGTTAAGGCTTGTCTGGAAGAAATTGAAACCGTATTTCTAAACTTTATAAATTTAATCGGTGAAAAAGAGAGGGGGAGGAACAAAAACAAACCAAGCTTGAAACGCATTCAGCATTCACCAGGAGGTCAGCTTGCCCTCTGACCTGCTTCCTCATGGTTGCTGGCAGCCTACTGTCCCAAAATCGTGTAGAACTTAGACTACAATTCCCCTTAACTACGCTGCAGACAACAATTTAAGCATTGTGAAACATTAAGTTTTTCATTTGAGATATTCTTTCAGGTTCTGCATGTCAGTGAAACTACTGATGCCAGCTGATCTGAAGGGCCCTGCAAGGCATCAACTCACCAAAGAATGCCGTTCTGACATCGTGATAACTTCATACCTCTTATTGCCATCAAACTACACCAACTTTCCAGCCCCTTGCTATCCAGGATCCACTGGAAACCCTCAGTACTCCTTGGGGAGATGAATTTGAGGATCTCCTCCCAGCTTCTCATTCAGCCACCCTGTGATCATTAAACTTTCTGCTGCAAATCCTGCTGTCTCAGAATATTGGTAAGCTACTGTGCAGCCGGCATAGGAACCTGATGGTCCTGTAACAAATTTATGTCAAAATTACAAAGGGAAGTGAAGGTGGAGGCTGGTCAGGGTTGAGCTGGGTGTTTTAATGGAATCCTGGGAGTGAACAAAGACTTGGTAAATGTGTTGGGGGTTATTGAGAGGGTGGAGGAGGAATCTTTCCAACACTGCACTGAGGCTCCCTTGGTTTTCATACTTGTGACCAAGAATGAGTCTTTCAAAAAAATTTATGTAATTCTCCTCATTTTTCCTTTCAAAACCTTTGTCTTCCTTTACCTCCCCGAATAATCTCACATCTATTCCCATGGCTTTGCTCATTTCATAATAAAAATCCTTTTTTTTTTCCTGTGGAGTCTCTTTCTCTGTTAAGTAGACCATATATTTTGTTGCCACACAAGATGAGTAACCTGGTTTTATGGAGAGAAAGGGACAAAAGAATCCCAATCCTCATCAGCTAGGGGCGATATGAAGGTCAGGATTATTCTTTGTCATATCTGCACCTGCATATTGCCAGTGAAAACCTGCAGGTCACATTAGGTAGACTTCCAAATTGATCATCTGTGGAAGGTCTTATGATTGGCTTACATCCTGTCCCTGAGTAAAGAATCTGATCTTGACTTCATGAGTGCCTGAGACTCTTCAAGTACTGATGAAGGCTTCACCCAGTGACAGTGAGAAGGACACTGATTTGATTCTGATCGTGAAGTTTTGCTGGTTGTCTTGCAAGGAAAATATTTTTGCCTGTCATGTTGTCATCTAAAGTCAATGATTGTAACCTCTGTATTGTCCCTTCCAATGGAAAAAACAAAAACAAAAAAGCTCAACTCTATTAGAGCCTTGCCAGGATAAAACAAAAGAAAATTAAAAAAAAAAAACAACTGATAGGAGGAGTCCCATTCCCTTCTTTCAACCTTTC
Source organism: Homo sapiens (assembly GCF_000001405.40). NCBI lineage: Eukaryota > Metazoa > Chordata > Mammalia > Primates > Hominidae > Homo > Homo sapiens. The sequence goes on from NW_012132914.1 coordinate 264,922, forward strand.
TTATAAAAGCATTCCAACTTGTAACAGACTTTGGAAAACGCTCATTTTGTCAGTGTGTGTCTTCCAGGTCGATCCTGACATTTAGCTTCCAATGAAGCTTTATTTAATTATTTCTGCCTCAACTGCCTTAACGTCTATTGACAACAGGTTGCACGGTAATGGTTGGAATTGGGGTGGGAGGAAAAAATATTTCTGTGTGTTTTATAAAGTAATCCTTGCATGCCATCTCCATTGAAGAAAGAATAGTTTCCTCTCCAAATATATCCTGAGTATTGATGCATCCAATAAATAAAACTATTATTTCATACAGTAGAGCTATAGATGCATTCTATTTGCCTCTAGAGTTTCCAAAGAACCAATGCCTAGTTTCAGTAAGTTCTCTGATTATATGGCAGAGGGTAACATGGTCATGTTCTGACTCTATGTCTATGTCGATATCTATAGCATTCCCATCTACATAATGCATGTCAAACCAAAGAGTTTGATTCTAGTGGGAGTCTGGAACACTATCTAGGTTAGACCCAGTTACACTAATGTTTTCTAGGCATAGAGATAAATTACCAGTAATGAAATCAATAATAGTCATAGGCCACCCATTTGCACCTATAGCTTCTTCTCAGTACCAAGTCATTTAATTATCAATATTAACCAACCTTCCAAAGGAAGGATAACAAACCTTATCATGAAGTTAGCATCCTCAATTGCTACCCAACTGTGTATGAGAGCAGGTTCTACTATTATCTGTGATCCTTCCCTTTCATCTAAATGACCCCATAGCCAGCAATTGCTTTGGTTAGTGAGAGTGGCTACATTTTGAACAGGAGACCTTAGAAAGTGTTTGGTTTGAGTGATGAAAGTACCTAACAATATAAAATACAGGTTTGAGAATTTTGTGTTAATACAAAACAAAACCAAGTCTCAGTCAATGGAAGAAGATCAAATGGAGTCTTGTTCCATTGTCTTGGAAAAGCTGTCTACCATGTGATGATGTCTGCTTCTAGGGAAGGCTTTTCCTCGGATATCTTTACGTTTCAGTCATCTGGTACAGTCCCATCCATTGCTGCTCATGCGCAGATTTCCCTTGGTGTCATTTCCAAAGGATGCAATCTCCAAATGCTAGGGCAGGAAGATCTAAGCATCACTGAAAGCCTTCACCTACTGGAAATAGTCTTTGAAATTCTGCATCAAGGTCTTGCAGTATTGATTCATATTGTTACTGAATGATGGGCTCACTCTCCTGAGTGCATAGAACCCAATACTATGACAACATCTTTGAGAAAAGAAAAAAAGATTCGGCCAGGTGTGGTGGCTGACGCCTATAATCCCAGCACTTTAGGAGACCGAGGCAGGCAGATCCCGATGTCAGGGGTTCAAGACCAACCTGGCCAAAATGGTGAAACCCCGCTTCTGCCAAAAATACAAAAATTAGCTGGGTGTGGTTGTGTGTGCCTGTAATCCCAGCTACTTAGGTGGCTGAGGCAGGAAAACTCCTTGAACCTGGGAGGCAGAGGTTGCAGTGAGCCAAGGTAGCACCACTGTACTCCAGCCTGGGCAACAGAGACTCTGTCTCAAAAATAAATAATAATAATCCAGTTTTCTTTGTCAGTTTAGCTAATTTTAGTTTAAATATACCATTTGTTCACTCAACCTTTATAGAATACCAAGGATAATGAAGTTAATGCTAGTGTCATTGGGTCTGTAAAATTTTATGTGTGATAACCTGCCCAGTAAACTGAATTCTCATACCATTAGAGATTTCTCCAGAATTGCCCAGAAAGGAAACACATTTTATAATCACTTATTTGCTATGACTGCATCATAAGCCTTTCTAAAAAGGTAAGCTACAACTCATCCTGAAAATGGAAACACAATCACAAGAATTTTAGCCTTTTTACACGGCTCACTGTCATCATTGGTCCATGACAACCCCCTTTCTTGCAGCTATATATGTGTATGTCTACCTATTCATATCTATATCTATATCTATCTGTTTCCTTTTATTACCATTATTCACTTCCACTCACCTTTCCATATATTGCCACTCTACTCTTTGACCTAGCCTTGAATTTGCATGTGACCTTATATAATATAAGTATATGGAAAGTATATAGCATATATACTTGCATTTTTATGTGTATTTATTTTAATCCACATATATGCTATAGCGTAGGGTGCTAGAGAAGAGGGCCTCACAATTAATTGTCCAGTCCCAGACACTTTGGAGAGTGAATGGACATGCTGTTATAATTATTAGTAGTATTTTTTGGAGATGGAGTCTTGCTCTGTGGCCAGGCTGGTGTGCAAAGGTGCTATCTTGGCTCAATGCAACCTCCACCTCTCGGGTTCAACTGTTTCTCCTGCCTCAGCCTCCCAAGTACCTGAGATTACAGATGCCTACCACCACGCCCGGCTATTTTTTGTATTTTTAGTAGAAATGGAGTTTCTCCATGTTGGCCATGCTGGTCTCAAACTCCTGATCTCAGGCGTTCCACCTGCCTTGGCTTCCCAAAGTGCTGGAATTACAGGTGTGAGCCACCGTGCCCGGCCTCTCACGTGCCTTTTTAAGTTGATGGGAAAATGACACCCAGGATAATTTATGGCCATAGTGAGAATTATTGGAAATCTTTAAGACTGTTTTTCTTACAAAACCACAATGGTAGGATTAAACAGTCTGAATGGGATGCTAGCATGTAGAGCCTTCTAAACTCTCTTTCTCTCCTTTTTTGGGGAATTTGGGATCTGCCTACTGATTACAATTAATTGCACTTTTTTAACTGTTTGATTAAGATTTTTTTTTTTCAACAGTCTGACTCTGCTGCCCAGGCTGGAGTACAGCACTGGTGTGAGCATGGCTCACTGCAGCATCAATCTTCTGGATTCAAGGGATTCTCCCACCTCAGCCACCCAAGTAGCTGGGACTACAGATGCATGCCACCATGTGTAGGGAAAAGAAAGAGAGATCAGACTGTTACTGTGTCTATGTAGAAAAGGAAGACATAAGAAACTCCATTTTGACCTGTGCCCTGAAGAATTGCTTTGCCCTGAGATGCTATTAATCTGTAACTTTGCCCCAACCTTGAGCTCACAAAAACATGTGTTGTATGGAATCAAGGTTTAAGGGATCTAGGGCAGTGCAGGATGTGCCTTGTTAACAATATGTATACAGGCAATATGCTTGGTAAAATCATCGCCATTCTCCATTCTCGATAAACCAGGGGCACAATGCACTGTGGAAAGCCACAGGGACCTCTGCCCTGGAAAGCCGGGTATTGTCTAAGGTTTCTCCCCATGTGATAGCCTGAGATATGGCCTTGTGGGATGGGAGAGACCTGACCATCCCCCAGCCCAACTCCCGTGAAGGGTCTGTGCTGAGGAGTATTAGTAAAAGAGGAAGGCCTCTTGCAGTTGAGATAAGAGGAAGGCCTCTGTCTCCTGCCTGTCCCTGGGAATGGAATGTCTCGGTATAAAACCCAATTGTAGATTTGTTCTATTCTGAGATAGGAGACAAACTGTCCTGTGTTGGGAGGTGAGACATGTTGGCAGCAATGCTGCTCTGTTATTCTTTTCTCCACTGAGATGTTTGGGTGGAGAGAAGCATACATCTGGCCTACATGCACATCCAGGCAGAGTACCTTCCCTTGAACTCATTTGTGACACAGATTCCTTTGCTCACGTTTTATGCTGAGCGCCGGTCCCCTGGGCCCCCTGTTCTTTCTCCATACTTTGTCTCTGTGTCTTATTTCTTTTCACAGTCTGTCATCCCACCTGATGCGATATACCCACAGGTATGGAGAGGCTGCTCCCCTTCAACCATGCCCATCTAATTTTTTAAAAAAGAGGCAGGGCATTGGTGGCTCACTGGTGTAATCCCAGCCCTTTGGGAGGCCAAAGCAGGTGGATCACTTGAGGTTAGGAGTTTGAGACCAGCCTGGCCAACATGGTGAACCGCCGTCTCTATCCAAAATATAAAAATGAGCTGCTCATGGGGGTGGGTGGCTATAATCCCAGCTACTCAGGAGGCTGAGGCATGAGAATCGCTTGAGCCTGGGAGGCAGAGGTTGGAGTGAGCTGAGATTGTGCCACTCCATTCCAGCCTGGGTAACGGAGTGAGACTCCATCCCGCCCCTCAAAACAAATGTTTTGTAGAGATAGGGTTTTGCCATGTTGCTCAGGTTGGTCTCGAACCCCTGCGCTCAAACGATCCTCCCACCTTGGCCTCCCAAAGTGTTGTAGTTACAGGCATGAGTCATTGCTCCCACCAAGAATTTTTTTTCTTTAAATTGCTGGTTTAATAAAGAGTTGTTTATTTTCAGGGAAAAGGTCCCAAACATCAAGCTGTTCACAAAAATAACCCACGGTATCAACTTTAGAAAACACATTTGAAGACTATAACACCAATTATGTTTCTGAGGATGCATTTGACATGCCAACTCTCATTCACAAAAATACATTGTTAGATTTTTGTTGAACTGCCCCACACAGCACACTAATATGGGGTGTAACACACATACTTGTAACTCCAAGCTGCTTTCAGGAGCTACTCAACTCAATGAGATTGCCTTTGCAGTTAGGGAAGCAACTACTGAACTTATGTATGAAAGAAAAGAACTGTATTCCCTGCATAACAAGAGATTATTTTGGAGACAGTTGATAAAAACCATACATCCTTTTTACTGTTAAGTCATAAAGAGGTGTCAAAATTAAAAGCAAAAATTACAGGGTAAGACTTAGGAAAACTACTAGGGGTGTCATGGGAAGTGAAAATGGGACTAGGCGCAGGGCAATATGAATTAATGAATGTGGGAAGGACAAGGATGGGGAGAACAGTAAGCATGTGCTGAAGATACTAAGGGAGAGGATCTGGTGAAAAATTTGTTGTTAGACAAGCTCCTAGGTAAAGAAACAATGGGATAAGATTTCTCAACCCCACTATGTGCTTAAGAGTCATCCTGGCCATTGGTGCTGTCTCTGTTATCCTCTCCTTCCTCAGCATCTTTTTCATTATTCTTGATCAAATGAAGCTGGTTGTCCCCCTGATCTTCATTATCATCATCATCCAGTGGGTCCCCCTCCTCAGCAGAGTCTTCTGCACCCCCCTCAGACTCCATCTTTACATGAGTCTCATCTTTCTTCATGGAGCTACTGCTCTGCTCCTCTTCTGACTTAGCATTTTTCACCTCTACCTCTTGTTTGCTCTGTTCCTTTTCAATTTTTTCCAGGTTTTCCAGGAGAGAATCCACTTTCTGTTTTATCTGGGTCAACTCCTGCTTAATGGCCTGAAGGTCATCTCCTTTCAGCTTTCCAGACTTGGAAGATCCCCGCTTTCCACTCTTAGAATTGAAGCCACTTTTGCCCCTTCGTGAGGTGTTTCCTGATATGCGCTGGCGTTTCGAGGGCACTACAGCCAGAGCAATGGGAGGAGGAGGAGGTACACGTGCTGGGAAACTGTACATCCCATCATAATAATCCCGTTGAAAGCCATAGTCCAAGTCAAAAGAGGAGCCGTACATCTCCGCTGCGGATCGTTTCACACCTGCGTTTCCTCGGTTCACTTTTGGCTCTGCAGCCAGGTTAATAACTGCAACCTGGCTAGCAATCATTCTGCCATCCTCTCCTGCTACAGCAGCCCGGGCATTTTTCTCCTTATCATATTGAACGAAGGCAAAGCCCTTATGAACAGAGCAGCCCGCAATTTTGCCATACTTGGAAAAGATCGCCTCCACATCAGATTTCTTGACAACAAGAGTGTTGAGATTCCCAATGAACACACGGGAGTTCACGGAGTGAGGATCCATCTTGTTGGTAACGTTGCTGGCCATTGTGTTGGATGATAAGGTTTCTCAAAAAGCCAAAAACAGGAGGCGGGAGGGAGAAGAGATTCGATTCTAAGTCTCCTACTGCCGGGTTCTACGGGGAGAAACTGACTGCGGCTCGAGGCCAGAAATGCAGCCAAAACAGCTCAGTCTTCGTCTCTTCACAAAATGGCTGCCAACAAGAATTCTGAAATGATGTAAAGAAAAGCACAACAACATTTTTGAAATCACGACAAAATTGCATTTAGAAAAAAAAATCAAAGCTTCAAAGTGTTCATATGAAAAAAAGAAAAAAAGACATGATATAGTTCTATGCCATCGTAGGCTGCACTGTCACCGTTCTAGACCGGCTGACTGTAGGTCACATGGGAGTGTCCTTACAGAAATTAGTGACTTACCAGATCTGGTTGTAGTTTAGAAGGTGCTCAGACCTCAGGAAGAGCCAAGCAGGAACTCCAGGCTTGAAGACTTTGAGTTTGTCCTGTGGGTCTTTAGAAGCTTTTATTGACCTTTCTAATCACAACTCCCACCCACGCCCCTCCACGTATCCGCTGCTAGCTTCCAATCAAAAAGCGATATCTGATTGCATTTCTGAAGCTCCACTCAGTTAATCCTGATTGGGTTTTTGACTGTCCGAAGACTAATGGATTGAACGAGATATCCATTCATATCACATATGCATAATCATTTTATGAATTAAGAAATTGACAGAGTTAGGGATAGAGTGGAAATCAAGAATTCATTCACTCAAGGCCAGGTGAGGTGGCTCACACTTGTAATCCCAGCACTTTGGGAGGCCAAGGTAGGTGGATCACCTGAGGTCAGGAGTTCAAGACCAGCCTGGCCCACATGGTGAAACCCTGTCTCTACAAAAATAGAAAAGTTAGCCAGGCACGATGGTGGCTGCCTGTAGTCCAGTTACTCATGCGGCTGAGGTGGGAGAATCCCTTGAACCCTGGAGGCTGAGTTTGCAGTGAGCCAAGATTACACCATTGCCCTCCTGACTGGGCGACAGAGGGAGATTTTGTCAAAAAAAATGCATTCATTCATGAAATCCACAAACACTGATGGAATTTTACTGCTATTTCGCCTTCAAGTCCTGATGTGAGGCAGGGAAGGGGTTGATCTGTTCCAGACATTAGACAGAAAAATAAAACCTGAAAGTAGTGTTGTGGGGAGATCTTTGGCCACATCAAAATTATAAAATTTATAAAAATATTTCTAGTTAAAATAGCTGTATAAACACAGAGGAGTCGTCCCTACAAAATAAGAATAAAGATCTCCATGTATGGAATGGTCTTGTGGGTTTTATATCACCTAAGGTAGCAGTTTCTTCACTCGTGCTGGTGGAAGAGAGGTGCCACTGAGGGCTTGAGTGGTCTCAGGGCTTAGGTTAAGTCTTCTCTGGAAGAAATTGAAATGATACCTGTAAACTTTATAAGTTTAATCAGTGAAGAAGGGAGGGGGAGAAACAAAAATAAACCAAGCTTGCAGCGCATTCAGCATTCACCATGAGGTCAGCTTGCTCTCTGACCTTCTTCCTCATGGTTGCTGGCAGCTTACTGTCCCCAAATCAAGTAGACCTTAGCTTACAGTTCCCCTTAACTACCCTGCAGACAACAATTTAAGCCTTGTAAAACATTAACTTTCTCATTTGAGATATTCTTTCAGGTTCTGCATGTCAGTGAAACTACTGATGCCAGCTGATCTGAAGGGCTCTGCAAGGCACCAACTCACCAAAGAATGCAGTTTTGACATCCTGATGACTTCATCCCTCTTACCTCTACACCAACTTTCCAGCCCCTTGCTATCCAGGATCCACTGGAAACCCTCAGTACTACTTGGGGAGATGAATTTGAGGATATCCTCCTAGCTTCTCATTTAGCCACCCTGTGATCATTAAACTGTCTGCTGCAAACACTGCTGTCTCAGAATATTGGTCAGCTACTGTGCAGCAGGCATAGGAACCTGATGGTCCTGTAATAAAATCATGTCAAAATTACAAAGAGAAGTGAGGGTAGAGGATGGGCATGGTTGAGCTGGGTGTTTTAATGGGATCCTGGGAGTTAACCAAGACTTGGTAAACATGTTGGGGGTTACTGAGGGGGTGGAGGTGGAATCTATCCAACATTTCACTGATGCCCCTTTACTTTTGATTCTTAGGACCAAGGTTGAGTCTTTCAAAACAATTTGTATAATCCTCCTTATTTTTCCTTTCAAAACCTTTGTCTTCCTTTTTCTCCCAAAATAATCTCACATCTATTCCCATTGCTTTCCTCATTTCAGGATAAACACATCTTTTTTTTTTTTTTTTCTGACAGTCTCCTTCTCTGTTAAGTTTACCATATATTTTGTTGCCACTGAAGATGAGTAACTTGGTTTTATGGACAGGAAGGGTGAAAAGGATCCCATTCCTCAACAGCTGGAGGTGATATGAAGGTCATTGTTATTCTTTGTCATATCTGCACCTGCATATTGCCAGTGAAAACCTGAAGGTCTCATTGGGGCAAGCTTAAAAATTAGCCACCTATAGAAGGTCTTAGCATTGGCTTACATCCTGTCCCTGAGTAAAGAATCTGATCATGAGTTCATGAGTACCTCAAACTCTACAAGTACTGATGAAGTCTTCACCCGCTGACAGTGAGAAGGACACTGATTTTATTCTGATCATGAAGTCATGCTGGTTGTCTTGCAAGGAAAATGTTTTAGCCTGTTATGTTGTCATCTAAAGCTAACGATTGTAACCTCTGTCTTGTACCTTCCAATGGGAAAAACAAAAACAAAAACTCAACTCTATTTGAGCCTTGCCAGGTCAATAAAACAAAAGAAAATTAAAAAAAATTGATAGGAGGAGTCCCATTCCCTTCTTTTAACCTCTCTTACAAAAGCATTCCAACTTGTAACAGACTTTGGAAAACACTCACTTTGTCAGTGTGTGTCTTCCAGGTCGATTCTCACATTTAGCTTCCAATAAAGCTTTATTTAATTATTTCTACCTCAATGGCCTTAACTTCTATTGATACCAGGTTGCATGGTAATGGTTTGAATTGGGGTGGGAAGAAAAAGTATTTCTATGAGTTTTATAAAGTAATCCTTGCATGCCATCTGCATTGAAGAATGAATAGGTTCCTCTCCAAATATGTCCTGAGTATTGATGCATCCAATAAATAAAACTATTATGTATTTCACATAGTAGAGCTATAGACACATTCTATTTGCCTCTAGAGTTTCCAATGAACCAATGTCTAGTTTCAGTAAGTTCTCTGATTAAATGGCAGAGGGTAACATGGTCATGTTCTGATTCTATGTCTATGTCGATACCTATAGCACTCCAGTCTTCATAAGGTGTGTCAAACCAAAGAGTTTGATTCTAGTGGGAATCTGCGACACTACCTAGATTAGATCCAGTTTCACTAATGTTTTTTATGCATAGAGATAAAATGCCAGTAATGTAATCAATAATAGTCATAGGCCACCCATTTGCACCTATAGCTTCTTCTCAGTGCCAAGTCATGTAATTATAAATGTTAACCAACCTTCCAAAGGAAGGATAACAAACCTTATCATGAAGTTGGCATCCTCAATTGCTACCCAACTGTTTATGAGAGCATGTTCTACTATTTAGTTGTGATCCTTCCCTTTCATGTAAATGACTCCATAGCCAGCAATTGCTTTGGTTAGTGAGAGTGGCTACATTTTGAACAGAAGACCTTAGAAAGTGTTTGGTTTGAGTGGAGAAAGTACCTAACAACATAAAATATAGGTTTGAGCATTTTGTTTTAATACAAAACAAAACCAAGTCTCAGTCAATGGAAGAAGATCAAATGGAGTCTTGTTCCATTGTCTTGGAAAACTGTCTACCATGTGATGATGTCTGCTTCTAAGGAAGGCTTTTCCTTGGTTATCCTTAGTTTTAAGTCATCTGGTACAGTCCCATCCAGTGCTGCTCATGGGCAGATTTCCCTTGGTATCATTTCTAAAGGATGCAATCTCCAAATTCTAGGGCATGAAGGTCTAAGCATCACTGAAAGCCTCCCTCACCTACTGGAAAGACTTTGAAATACTGCATCAAGGTCTTGCAGTATTGAATCATGTTGTTACTGAACGATGGGCTCACTCTCCTAAGTGCATAGAAGTCCTTTGAGAAAAGAAAAAAAGATTAGGCTGGGCAAGGTGGCTCAAGCCTATAATTCCAGCACTTCAGGAGGCTGAGGCAGGGAGATCACAAGGTCAGGGGTTCAAGACCAACCTGGTCAACATGGTGAAACCCCGTTTCTGCTAAAAATACAAAAATCAGCTGGGTGTGGTGGTGTGTGCCTGTAATCCTGGCTACTCAGGAGTCTGAGGCAGGAGAATCTCTTGAACCCGGGAGGCAGATGTTGCAGTGAGCTGACATAGCACCACTGTACTCCCGCTTGGGCATCAGAGACTCTGTGTCAAAAAAAAGAAAAAGTAATCCAATCTTTTTTGTTAATTTAGCTAATTTAATTTTAAGATACCATTTATTCACTCAACCTTTGTAGAATACCAATGATAATGAAGTTAATGGTAGTGCCATTAGATCTGTAAAATCTTATCTGTGTGATCGCCTGCCCAGTAAACTGAGTTCTCCTACCATTGGAAATTTCTCCAGAGGTTCGCCAGAAAGGAAACACATTTTATAATCATTTATTCACTATGACTATGGCATCAGCCTTTCTAAAAAGGTAAGCTACAACCAATCCTGAAAATGGACACACAATCACAAAAATTGTAGCCTTTTTACATGGCTCACTGTCATCACTGGTCCATGACATTCCCTTTTCTTGCCGCTATATGTGTGTATGTCTACCTATCCATAACTATATCTACACCTTTTTTTATTACCATGATTCACTTCCACTCCCCTTTCCATAGATAGCCACTCTACTCTTTGACCTAGCCTTGAATTTGCATGTGACCTCTTAGAATATAAATATATAGAAAGTATATAGAATATATACTTGAATTTTGTATGTGTATTTATATTAATCCACATATATGCTATAGTGTATGGTGCTACAGAAGAGGGCCTGACAAGTAATTGTCCAGTCCTAGATACTTTGGAGAGTGAATGGACATGTTCTTATAATTTTTTTTTTTTTTGGAGATGGAGTCTCACTCTCTCGCCAGGCTGGAGAGCAATAGTTCAATCTTGGCTCACTGCAAACTCTGCCTCCTGGATTCAAGTGATTCTCCTGCCTCAACCTACCGAATACCTGGGATTACAGGTGTCCACCACCATGCCCAGCTATTTTTTGTATTTTTAGTAGAGAGATAGTTTCGCCATGTTGGTGAGGCTGGTCTCGAACTCCTGACCTCAGGTGATCCGCCCACCTTGGCCTCCCAAAGTGCTGGGATTACAGACGTGAGCCACCGTGCCTGGCCTTGTTATAATTAAGATTTTCAGAACAACAGTGGTGTATGAAGGCTTATAATCACCTTTACCATAGGCCTTGGTCTCTTACCTAAGTTTGTAACTAATATATTTTTCAAATATAATAACAATAAAAATATCCTTGCTTGCCCTATGTCAAATCCAGCTCGAAGTACTTAAATAGATTAATTTATAGCACTCTGTGAAGTCAATATTGCTATTATCCCATTTTATATGTGAATGAGCTAAGGCACAGAGAGGTTAAGTAAGTTGAGTAAGACCACACAGCCATTGGCCACTGAGCCAGTTTTTTTTCTTTTTTCTGAGACAGCGTCTCATGCTGTCGCTCAGGCTGGAGTGCAGTGGCGCGATCTCAGCTCACTGCAAGCTCTGCCTCCCGGGTTCACTCCATTCTGCTGCCTCAGCCTCCCGAGTAGCTGGGGCTACAGGCACCTGCCACCATGCCCGGCTAATTTTTGTGTTTTTAGTAGAGACGGGGATTCACCGTGTTAGCCAGGATGGTACTGAGCCAGTTTTGAACCTAAATTAAGCAGTCTGGGTCTGCTGGATCTGGAGTCTTTACTATTAACCAAAATACCTACGTGCGTCCAAATCCTAAGGTGCTGAGGTTCTTACCTTGTTTCATATCTCAGTAGGAAGGGAGCTAATGTTTATCCATTACATCTGATGTTTAATGCAAGTTTTCAACATACAACATTTCAGTTTCCGAAATATGTTATGATAAATTTAATTTGATTTTTCTGCAATTCTTTTCTGCATTTTGTAGGAACCTTGCTTTTCCCCCTTTAGTTTGTCAGTATGCTGAATTACACTTAGATTTTCCTGTGATTGGCTGGCATTCCTGGAATGGCCATTATATATCACTATATTGCTTTCTTTTTTTCTTTTTTTTTTCTTTTTAAGGTGGAGTTTCACTCTTTTTGCACAAGCTGAAGTGCAATGGCATGATCTCGACTCACTGCAACTTCCACCTTCTTGGTTCAAGCAAATCTCCAGCCTCAGCCTCCTGAGTTGCTGGGATTACAGGCATGCGCCACCACACCTGGCTAATTTTGTATTTTTAGTAGGGATGGGGTTTCTCCATGTTGGTCAGGCTGGTCTCGAACTCCAGACCTGAGGTGATCCACCTGCCTCGGCCTCTCAAAGTGCTGGGATTGCAGGCATGAGCCACGGAGCCTGGCCTGTCTATCACTTTCTAATGCAGTGTTGCATTTAGTTAACTGATAATTTATTAAGTACTTTTTTCTGGCTGACCGTGGTGGCTCATGCCTGTAATCCCAGCACTTTGGGAGGCCGAGGCAAGTGGATCACCTGAGGTCAGGAGTTCTAGCCAACACAGAGAAATTCTGCCTCTTCTAAAACTACATAAATTAGCTGGATGTGGTGGCATGTGGCTCTAATCCCAGCTACTAGAGAGGCTGAGGCAGGAGAATTGCTCGAATCTGGGAGTAAGAGGTTGCAGTGAGGTGAGATTGTGCCACTGCACTCCAGCCTGCATGACAGAGTGAGTCTCTGTCTCAAAAAAAAAAAAAAAGAAAGAAAAAAGAAAAAAAACTTTTGCCAAATAAGTTTAAATTTACTTTCCTTCTAATATCCTTAGCCATTTTTAAAATATGGGTTACTGCTCTCTTATGAAATGAATTAGACAACTTTCCATATTTGCCTTTCTTTCTGGAACATCTTGTACAAAACAGAAAATACCGGCCAGGTGCAGTGGCTCATGCCTGCAATCCTAGCACTTTGGGAGACTAAGGCAGGCGGATCACTAGCTTCCAATCAAAAAGTGATATCTGATTGCATTTCTGAAGCTCCACCCAGTTAATCCTGATTGGGTTTTTGGCTCTCCCCAGATTAATGGATTGAATCAGATATCCATTCATATCAGATATCCATATTAATTGCATGAATCAGGAAATTGACAGTGTTAGGGATAGGGTAGAAGTCAAGAATTCACTCATTCAAGGCCGGGTGAGGCAGCTCACGCCTGTAATCCTTCCAGAAGGACTTCCCTGTACTGGTTTAGGCTTTGCATACCCTGTCTTTCATTTGGGTCCCACTGGGGGTCTGTTCCTGCTAGTTGGATCCTCACATACCCTCGGGGATTTTGTAATCAGCTGGAACATGTTCTTCCAGCCACTTAGTTGCCACTTGGAGCACTCTCCACCTTTCATCTGTGTTAAAGAGGTGCATGAGCACCTGGTGGCAATCAGCCCAGGTGGGGTTGTGGGTCTGGATAACAGTTTGGAGCAAATAAATTATAGCTTGAGGCTTTTCGGTATAGGATGGGGTATTGTTTTCCAATGGAGGAGATGGGCAGAGGTGAAGGGTTGGTACACAAAGGCACGTCTTTCCACCATAAGCCCATCCTCGTCTACTCCAGTATACTGTTGCTCTCTCAGGGACATTTGTATCCCAGTTCTAGGCCTCATACGGGCAGCCAAGGGAGGGTCTTGCATCCTGAGGTCTTGCACCCTTTCTTCTCTACTCTGGGCAGCCTAGGGGTATGTAGGCCTTGTGGAAGCTTGGGCGCAGTGGGCTCAGGAGTGGGAGGCCTTCCTTCTTGGTGAAAGGGGGGGGCACTGGCACAGTGTCTTGCCAGTGTTCCTTTGCTTAGTTTCTTTTTTTAACTGTTGTTTGTGATTTTCCATCTTCCTGAGACCAACCACTACTTGCTGGACCTTCTGAATTGGGAAAGAATGGAAAGTCTGTCAGCCAGTTTTTTCCAACATTTAGGTTGTTGAACTGCTTAGGGGATCCTCTGAGCCTCTCACCTGAGGGGTCTGCCAATCATTTGTTGTCTGAACATGGGCAGATTCCTCTTGCTAGCCAAATCTCAGGGTCACCAACATGCTTTAGATTATTTGTGAGGGAGAGCTGAGATCTTGGATGAATGATACCAGCCCCTGCTGTGCCTCGTGGATGCTCAGTCACCAGAGACACTCACGATCACCCTTGGTGCTGAGCTCAACCTCAGCCTCAGGCTCACAAAGTGAGGGCAGGCAAAGTAGAAGCCCCACTGAACACATTTCAGTTTAACTCAATTGCACACATAGCAGGGCATTGACAGTGAGGTCAGAAATGTGGAGAAAGAACATTTACAGAAACATTTCAAGATAGAGAACACCCTTCAAAGTACTCCAGTTTTGGAGGCCAGTGGCATCTCAGAGCTGTTTGGTTTTCATATAGAATGGGAGAGAAAGGCCTGGAGGACTTTCTGGAGGCAGGGGAGGTTCTTGCTACTTTGTGCCCTAAAACATCGGAAGAATCACTGTGTGATCCCTCTTAGGATGGGAGCCATCCGTGAACTTAGCAGATATTTCAACATGAAATAGAGCTTCCAGGTTTTGTGGGGGAAATGTATTTTAGGTGTGCACCCAATATAACAGTATATATGCGCTGCTCTTAAAGACAAGAAGGCTCGCTCTTTTTCTTTCTTTCTTTCTTTCTTTCTTTCTTTCTTTCTTTCTTTCTTTCTTTCTTTCTTTCTTTCTTTCTTTCTTCTTTCTTTCTTTTTCTTCCCTTCCTTCTTTCCTTCTTTTTCTTTCTTTCTTTCTTTTTCTTACTTTCTTTCTTCTTTCTTTTTCTTTCTTTCCACCTTTCTTTCTGTTTCCTTCTGTCTTTTTCTCTCCCCTCCCTCCCTCCCTCCCTCCCTTCCTTCCTTCTTTCCTTCCTTTTTTTTGAGGCAAGGTTTCATTCTGTTGAGCAGGCTGGAGTGCAGTGGCACAATGATGGCTCACTGCAGTCTCAACCTCCTGGGCTCAGGTGATCCTCGCATCTAAACTTCTTGGGCAGCTGGGACTACAGGTGCACACCACCATGCCTGGCTAATTTTTCGTATATAGTTTTTATAGACAGAATTTTCCATGTTGCCCAGGCAGGTCTCAAACTCCTGCGCTCAAGTAATCTATCTGCCTTGGCCTCCCAAAGTGCTGAAATTAGAGATATGAGCCACCACACATGGCCTGAGTTTTCTTTGTATACCTAATGGTATCACTTTAATCAGAATCTCTCTGTTCAATATCAGGGACAAGGGAGGACTTTAAGGATGGCAGAACATTAATTATCAAAATATGCTGGGGAATGGCACGAGGGTATTGATGAGGATGAGGGGCCCTGGGAAACACCTGTGGGTGAGGGTTGCTGGGAAATGTCCCACTGTGGGAAGATCCCTGAGTCTAAAAGAAAGGTTTCCAGACCATAGCACCATGACAGAGACTTGGACCCTTGTTCACTTTCTCCCACATCCTGCAAAACCCACAGCTCCCACCTTCGATGGCTTCCAGGTTGGGAAAGTCTCCCTTCCCAGGTCTGGCCACACTGCTTCTCTCTGGCATCTGCCCCAGCTCAGATTCTCAGATTCCATCTTCCCAGGCTGATTTTCTGAGGCGAGCCCATCATTTTTGGGAGTAAACACGCTTTCCCTTCTAGTAGGGGCCAAGACTGTTTCTGCCTTCTCTGCCCTCAAAGACAATGTTGTGTTTGAAGAGTCTGCACTGTCTCTTCTGTAACTATTCCCTTTTTAATTTTTAAACTCAATCCAGACAGAGTCTTTCAATCCTTCTGTGGAGATGCCCACAAAATACCCACCATGTTTTATGCTGTCTTGGTTCCTTCCCAGGGTTCTACTAGAACACCCGGTCCCATCCTGCCCAGCCCCCACCTCACTTTGTCATTCTGTCCTGATTTCCTGCAGTGAAGCCTTGACCTTAGTCTTGTGATCAATAACACCCTCAGTGGTTCCCCTCTTCAACCTGAACCCACATATGACCTGCCCCGTTAGGAAGCATAAAACCCAGGTAACTGTTGGATAACAGAGCTTTGTATTCTGTTTTCTTAGGGTTGACATCACCGTCTTTTTAAAGCTGTCTTAGCTCTGAAACGTTTGGATAATTTCAATGTGGCCAAATATTCTCCCATAAAGATATCATCAGGTTTTGTTTTTTCTTTCTAATGCCAGGAACAGATTAAACCTTCCATGTCACTATGAAGGTCACATGTTAGTCAAACTTCATCAGTGTTTGGGGAATAAATGAATTAATGACTTTTGGACTTTCACCCTGTTATTTATTCTTTCACTTTCATAAATGCACATCTAATTTAATCAATGAATCAGAAGAAAGTGTGAAACTCAATCAGGATTAACTGGGTGGAACTTCAGGATCTAATCAGGTATCACTTTCTGATTGGAAGCTGGTGATTGAGAAGGGGAGGGTGTGGTTAGAAACATCAACAAAAGCTCCTGAGTTTGCACAGGACAGACCCAAAGCCCTGGTGCCTGGAGCTACTGCTTGGTTCTCTGAGAGGTCCCAGCACCCTGCAAACTGAGTCCAGATCTGGTAAGTCACCACCTTCTTAGGAACATGCCCGTCTAATCTGCAGCCAGCCAGTCAGGGATGGTGACACACAGCCCAAAATGGCACAGAGAATTTCCTGTCTGTTTTTTCAGATTAAACAGATGTAGGTTTTGATTTTTCCTCCAAATATAGTTTTGACTTCATCCCTCAAATTTTGATTTGTGCTTCATTTTCCTCATTTCAAAATTCTTATTGAAGCAGTTTTTAAAAAAAAAATATTAAAAATTTACAGTTGGATGGATGTTTATGTCTTGACATGTGAAGTTGTTGGTTTCTGTGCCTGTCAGCTATAGTTCACACACTTAGCGGTATTGTGATTTTATTAGTCAGGCTTTCATTTTACAGAAATCTTAGATCTCCCGTACACCATTCTCAAGAGACTTGTTCCGAACCTGGGATTTATCTCTTCCCTTAGACTCTGTCCCTAAGTGTGTGATTGTGAGTATGTGGAAGGGATGTGTATTGGATCCTTCTCCTCAGACTTAGTGTTTCCATTTCTACCTTCCAAGTGCTCTAGACTACTGCAACACTGCTTTTATAATTTCTCTTACAGTTTTTCAAAATAAAAACACACACCTTGGACTCCCAAAGTGCTGGGATTACAGGAGTGAGCCACTGTGCCTCATCTAGAGTTAGTATTTCTATCCCTACCTTCCAAATGCTCTAGAATACCATCACGTCGCTTTTAGTTTCTGGTTAATTCTTTTCTCTTGTTCTGAGATGGAGTCTCACTCTGTCACCCAGGCTGAAGGGCAGGGTGTTGAGTTCAGCTCACTGAAAACACTGCCTCCGGGATTCAAGTGATTCTTCTTCCTCTGCCTCCAGAGTAGCTAGGATTATAGGACTGCACCACCACACCTGGCTAACATTTTAATTAATTAATTATTATTATTATTATTATTATTATTATTATTATTTGAGACAGAGTCTAACTCTTTTGTCCAGACTGGAGTGCAGTGGTGGGATCTCGGCTCACTGCAACCTCTGCCTTTTGGAGTCAAATGATTTTTAATTTTTTTATATTTAGTAGAGACAGAGTTCATTACGTAAGCCAGGCTGTTCTCGAACTCCTAACCTCAAGTGATCTGCCTGTTTTGGCCTCCCACAGTGCTGGGATTACAGACATGAGCCACAGCACCCGGTCAGTTTCTGGTTGAAATTTTTCAAAATAAAAAATAATGGCATTGACTTTAGGGAGTCCCTTTAGTGTTCCCCCAGCATGTTCATGGTGAAAACTGAGAATGGAGGCTGTCTGGGGCCACAGGACACTCTCATTCTCATTGCTTTAGGGCGGTAAGTGACAAGAAAATTTTCCTCAAAGAGGTAGAGCTTGGCTTTCAGGATCCTCAGTGACACTTTCCAGTGGTACTGGGATTCAGTGGAGCCATGGATGAAAATTAATGGGCCAGTGGTCTCTTTGACCCCTCCCTCCTTGGTGTTTGGAAGACATTCTTCCTGGTACCAGCAGAAGCAGAAATATAGATTTGTGGCCACCAAGTGCAGAGTGGAATTGGGGTAAAGTGGTAATTTTTCTACCTCTACCAGAGCAATGCTACTGGCCTTAGGAGAAGATGAGGTGATTGTGTTTGGCCTGAAAGTGATGCCTTTTCTCTGGATTTGTCTTCTAGAGTTTTTCCTTACAGATTCATCAGGATGAGCATCCAGGCCCCACCCAGACTCCTGGAGCTGGCGGGGCAGAGTCTGCTGAGAGACAAGCCCTTGGCCATCTCTGCCCTGGAGGAGCTGCCCAGGGAGCTCTACCTCCCACTCTTCCTGGAGGCCTTCAGCAGGAGACACTTCCAGACTCTGACAGTGATGGTGCAGGCCTGGCCCTTCACCCGCCTCCCTCTGGGATCGCTGATGAAGACGCTTCATCTGGAGACCTTAAAAGCATTGCTGGAAGGGCTTCACATGCTGCTTACACAGAAGGATCGCCCCAGGTGAGGTGACCCAGGAAGGCTGGTAGATGGGGCTCAGGTGTCCAGGGAAAGAACAGCAGGGTCAGGCAAAGAAGTATCCCAAGGATGGCCCAGTGTCTTCTGGTGGTGCTGGTGACGAAGCTCAGGCATGCCTTGGCCATTGCCCAGATCCTCAGGGAAAGAACTGCCCACAATATAGGGTCCACTGTGGGAACAGAAACTTGCCTATTCCCAGTGGAAGGTAAATGGAATAGAAGTGGGGACCAGTCAGAATTGAAAGAGAAAAGGGACCAAGAAAACTCAGAGAGAACAGGGAGCAGCGAGGACAGGAGCAGCTGATTTATTGGATGAGAATGAAAGCAAAGGTCAGGGATTTGTCCTTCAAAGTTCTGAGCCTCTGCCTTACTTTACCCACAGGAGGTGGAAACTTCAAGTGCTGGATTTGCGGGATGTTGATGAGAATTTCTGGGCCATATGGTCTGAATCCAGGGCCCTGTCCTCCTCCCCAGAGGCCATGAGTAAGAGGCAGACAGCAGAGGACTGTCCAAGGATGGGAGAGCACCAGCCCTTGAAGGTGTTCATAGACATCTGCCTCAAGGAAATACCCCAGGATGAATGCCTGAGATACCTCTTCCGGTGGGTTTACCAAAGGAGAGGTTTAGTACACCTGTGCTGTAGTAAGTTGGTGAATTATCTAACGTCGATTGAATATCTCAGAAGATCATTGAAAATAATCCACCTGAATAGTATTCAGGAGCTGGAAATTTGCTATGTGTCCTGGCCACATCTGATAAGAAAGCTTCATTGTTACCTGAAGGAGATGAAGAATCTTCGCAAACTCATTTTTCTCCAGGTGCCATCCTTACACGTCAATTACCGCGAGGAATGCTCAGTCGCCAAAATCAGCTCTATGTTCCTCAGGCTGAAACACCTCCAGCTGCTTAAAATGAATATGGTCACCTTCCACAGAGGGCACCTGGGACAGCTGATCAGGTGAGAAAGGATCGTGCCCTTTCTCTGCAGACCACAGCGCAGCCTTTTTTTTTGTTACAGTAAACACTAGAAGACGTGTACTGTGTGCCAGCCAGTGGCGACGGCACAGTGCAGGGGACACCAGAATGTCAACACATTGTCCCGTTCAGTGCTCCATGTCCTGGAGTGGCTATCACAGGATCACTTCAATAAAGGCAGAGGGGTCACCTAGGGTAGAGGCTAGAGAGGGACATCATGTACAAGGTACTTAGTGGGCGTTTTGTCTCTACTGCATGTGCACGTGTGAATTTCTTGTTACAAAGTGTGTTTCAAGTTGATATGATGTAAAAGAGGTAACAAAGGAGGGTATGAAAGGAGGGACAGTGCATCAAACTTGTGCATTTCACAGTAGAAGCTCTGTCCTCACCAGCTTAGTGATCATGAATGATCCTGTCTCTGATTCCCTGTCTGTAGAAGGTTGTTTTGAACTCCAGGAAAGTCAATTGACATGGGACATGCATGCTTCTGGGATGGAGGGTGAAGGAGTAGGAGTGAGAGTGGTAAAAAGTGACAGTTGGTTTGCAGATGCAGGCAGGCCAGGGAGCCCCTGCCGGCAGGTAGCCCCAGCTAATGTCCCTAGACCTTGCTGAGTTGAGTTCTTTGTGCACATCTCCCACCGGGTACCTGTGGCCCAGAGATGAGGTTTTCTGCTAAAAGATGAAGATAAAAGGCTTTAGAGATTTTGTGGCCTTGACCCAATCACACAAGAAATGGTGAAAGGGCTGAGGCTAAAATGGGACAGCCCCTGAATGATCAGGGTCCTCAACATGCAGCAACTTGCATGAGGACCATCATCAGATGGTGGGAACAAACTTGTGTTTGGTTGAAGCAGGTATTTTCCTTGAGTTCATTCCCCACTACCTTCATCTAACTGGTACCATTGCCCAGAACTAACTTCTTGATCTCCACAGGTGCCTCTAGAACCCCTTGGAGAACTTGGAATTAACTTGCGGCTACCTATTGGAAGAGGACTTGAAGTGTCTCTACCAGTACCCAAGCCTCGCTTACCCAAAGCATCTGAATCTCAGCTACATGCTGCAGTTCTGTATCAGTCTTGAACCCCTCGGAGCTCTGCTGGAGAAAGTTTCTGCCAACACGAGGGTCTCGAGAGAGGCAGCAATTACTCTTAAGACCCTCATCTTGGAGGGCTGTCAGATCCACTACTCCCAACTCAGTGCCATCCTGCCTGGCCTGAGCCGCTGCTCCCAGCTCACCACCTTCTACTTTGGCAGAAATTGCATGTCTATGGAAGCCCTGAAGGACCTGCTGTGCCACACCAGTGGGCTGAGCAAGTTAAGCCTGGAGATGTATCCTGCCCCCGAGGAGAGTTTGAATTCCTTGGTTCATGTCGATTGGGAGATCTTCACCCCACTTCGGGCTTAGTTGATGTGTACACTAAGGGAAGTCAGGCAGCCCAAGAGGATCTTCATTGGCCCCGCCCCCTGCCCGTCCTGTGGCTCATCACCGTCTGAGGAACTGGAGCTCCATCTTTGCTGCTAGGGAAGGCGTGCCTAGCGGGGTAGAGAAATCCAATGTTCTCTTCTAGGCCCTTGGACACTAAAATCTAGTATGTAGGTGCAAGTTATTTTCCTCTTTTCTTATTTCCTTTTTTAATAATTCCAATATTTTTATTACAAAAAAATTGAGAAAGTGTTTCACTATGTTGCCCCAGCAGGTCTCAAACTGCTGGTCGCATGGGATTCTCCTGCCTCGGCCTTCTAAAGTGCTGGGATTACAGGCATGAGCGACTGTGCCCAGGCCACATGTGCAACTTAAAGGAAGCACAGAGCTCTGTTTCAGACAGGTGCTCAGTGCGAGGGAAAAAATCCTAAGAGCAGGGGGCAAGACTTGAGGAAAATATTGAGGTGGAGTCAATGAGAGCTACAGAGTCAGAAAGAGAAACTAAAATTCTTCAGTGATGAGAATGTTATCCCTGCAAGGATGATTACCAAGAAATATCAGAAATAGAGAACCTCAGTGAAAACTTTCTGGTGTCCTCTGTAATTGATTTACTTGTTTTAGGGATTTATACATCAGAAATCTCTAGTTATTGAGTTACTGATGGAAAAATAACGAGGCACTAGTTTGTCTGTGATTGAGGTTCAGCTGCGGAACATCATAGCAGCCAAATAAAATTAGACCATTTTGAGTAATTCCCACCCATTCTTGTTCTTTTATTTCATTATTTATTTTTTTATTTTTGGAGACAAAAATATTGCTTTGTCATTCAGGCTGGAGTGTAGTGGTGCAATCTGGGATCACTGGAATCCTTTCCTGTGGGGCTCAAGTGATTCTCGTGCCTCAACCACTCAAGTAGCTGGGAGTACAGGCACGTGCCACCAAGCCTGCTAATTTTTGTATTTTTCGTAGAGACAGGGTTTTACCCTGTTCACCAGGCTGGTCTTGAGTTCCTGGCTTTGAGTGATCTGCCAACCTTGGCCTCCCAAAGTGCTGGGATTACAGGTGTGCGAATGGTCTGCACCCATCCTTTACTTCTCTTTAGTCATCTGTTTTTTCATACTTTTTCGACTGTGGGGAGCAGCTCGGTCGGGCACAAAGGCACAGGCAGAAAGGGGCCATGAGGAGAAGATGGGCTTGGGGTGGTGCCGTGCTTGCACATGAAGTGTGGTTGTCAGGTTCCAAAGGCAGAGCTGGGGCCATGCTCCAGGGCCCCGAGTTGGGAAGCAGAAATGGCACCAAGTTCAATGACCTGGCCAGCTATGCATCAACTGTGTGCCCACCCTGCTAATAGTATCAAGTTCCTAGGTCTAAAAAGGAGTTCTGTGTGAATCTTCCTGAGGCTGCATTTCCAAGATCTGCCCCCAAGAGGGGTGAACACAGAGCCTGATGCTTCCGATTGCTGGGCCTGTGGACCACGATCCACTCCTAAAGGCACCACCTCTTGGCTGGGTTGTCAGCCAGGCCTGTGCCCCATGTCCCTGAGGCAGCCAACTGTGCCACCCATACCCTCTCACGGCTAAACGGGACTTGCCCCTAGGTCCGCAGTCTCCACCACAGCCTCGACCTCACTCCCCACTTTGTGCTGTTAGCCTGCAAACTCCTGGATCAGAGCGCAGTTGGGGCTCATTAAACCGGACCCAGGAGCTTCAGATTTGTTTCTGTGGGGTTGACCAGAGCTGCTGTGAACCTGCATCTCACCTGTCACCTCTGCACGGAAACAGAGAGAGGGCAAAGCTGAGGCTGTGCACACTTTGGAGCTGATGGGATCCTGGGACAAGAGGGAGTCCTGGTCCTCCCAAGTTGGCAGGGCAGTAGCTCCAAAGGCACAACTGAAGCTGCCCAGGTTGCAGTTACCAAACAAGGTCCCCTAGTGCTCTCGAGGGCCCAGGAGGTCCCCCCTTCCCCATTCTATTGCTCAATAAAGGTCCTCTTTATCTTGCTCACTCTCCACTTGTCTGCATATTTCATTCTTCCTGGTTGCAGGACAAGACCCGCCTAATGGTGGGGCTAAAAGCAGTAACACAAACAAAGCTGAAACACGCCCCTTGCTCACCAAGTTGTAGGTGAAGAGAAAAAGAGAAGAGCTACTACTCTTTTCAGGAGCCCAGACGTGGGAGCTTCCTGAGCCAGGGCTGTGATTCCCTTTTTGTGGTTCTGCAGTTCCCAGCACTTCCAAGAAGGCCCATAATGGCAGTTAATGCTAGAAAGGGGAGGTAGAGGAACCTGTGGAAGGAAAAAAAAAAATGGTGGGGCTGAGATGGAGGGCCTGGGTCCACCCACAGACGAAAGTCCCTTCCTAGCAGACCCTGCACTGGGCCCCGGGGATCCTGGCGTCCCTGGTTCACACCCACGCTGCATATCGCACCTATGGGGGGCACCCCAAAGCTTCTAGCAAGCCCAGAAAGGAAGACAAGACTTGAAAGGGGAGGTAGAGGCACCTGTGGAGGAAAAAAATGGGCACCGTAGAGGAGGGGTGCTTGGGTCCCCCCACAGAAGAATGTGCCTTCCCAGCAGCCCCTACGGAGTCCCCGGGATTTCTGGCATCCCTGGATCACACCCACGTTGCCTGTCATGGTGGTGGGGGCACCCGGAAGGGGCAAGAAAGCCCAGAAGGGAAGATAAGGTTTGAAAGGGGAGGTAGAGGCACCTGTGGAAGGAAAAAAATGGCGCAGTCGAGAAGGGGGGCCTGGGTCAACCCACGGATGAAAGTGCCCTCCCAGCAGACCCTGCACAGGGCCCGGGGGATCCTGGCATCCCTGGTTCACACCCACAGTGCGTGTTGCACCTGCGGGAGGCACCCCAAAGCATCAAGAAGGCCCAGAATGGAAGAGAAGGCTTGAAGCTTAAAGTAGAAGCACCTGTGGAAGGAATAAAAAACGGCACGGCAGAGGAGGTGGGCATGGGTCCCCCCATGGATGAAAGTGACTTCCCAGCAGCTCCTGAGCTTGGTCCTGGGGATACTGGTGTCCCTGGTTCGCCCCAACGATGCCTGTCCCTCCCACTGGGGGGAAACCCAAAGCAGCAACAGGCACTAGTGGAAGGTAAAAAATACGTGCGGCAGAGGAGGGGGGCCTGTGTCCCCACATGGACTAAAGTGCCTTCCCAGCAGCACTTGCACAGGGCTCCGGGGTTAGTTCCATCCCTGATTCACACCCAAGGTGCATGTCACACCCATGGGGGGCACCCCAAAGTGGTAAGAAGTCCCAGGATGGAAGATAAGGCTAGAAAGGGGAGGTAGAGACACCTGTGGAAGAAAAAAAATGGCGAGGCAGAGAAGGGGTGCCTGGGTCCCCCCACAGATGAAAGTGCCCTCCCAGCAGACCCTGCACAGGGCCCTGGTGATCCTGGCGTCCCTGGTGCTCACCCACGGTGCATGTCACACTCGCGGTTTTACCCCAATGGGGCAAGAAGGCCCAGAAAGGATGATAAGGCTTGAAAGGGGAGGTAGAGGCACCTGTGGAAGGAAAAAAAAAAGGGAACAGCGGAGGTTCAGGCCGGGGTACCTCCTTGGACAAAAGTGCCTTCCCAGCAGCCCCTGGGTGGGGCCCCGTGGATCCTGACATCCCTGGTTCGCCCCCTTGGTAAGTGTCAATGACCTCATGGTATGTGTATATATATATATATACATGTGTGTGGTGTGAGCACCTAGAAAGTGACAACTCTCCAGGACAGAGCTGGCCTCACAGATTAACATGGTTTTTCACTTGGCAGGGAAAAGTAAAACGCCTCGTGTCCCTGGCTGGGCAACCCCCTCAGGAGTGCAGCAAGGAGACATGGGATCTGTGGACAGGAGGCTACTGGGCGAAACCTCTCATTGAGGATTATGTTAAAATTTGCACTTGAGACGCTGAGTGCCCTATGTCCTTCCCACTCACCAAAGAACCCCAGCTGAGCCAGCCCTGACTCCCAGACACAAGAGCCCAGGGAGAAGCTGGGAGAGAGGGAGACCCGCTGTGACCTCAGGGCATGGAAGGAGCCCTGACCTTTTTCTCCATGATGCCTTCCCCACTCCCAAGTGCCTCTGGCCTGAAGCTTCCAGGGACCCCTGCATTCCATCCATGCCCTCCTCTGCTCCCTCCAACCCAGCCTTTTCTAAAGCCCCATGCATTTGTCTCCATGAGAGTGCCCCAGTCTCAGGCGCTCACAGTGCCTCAGAAGCTCGGGGTCCCTGTGCCTGCCTGGAGGCAGTCTCACTCTATGTGGCCCCATGTGTGTTCTTGGATTTCTTTCTACACAAGGTCACCTGTAGGTGTACAGTAGACACATCACCTGTAGAAGAGCCAATGGGGATGGGTGAGGACCAGGAACCCTCTCAGGCACACACATGGAAAGAGAGAGAAGTGTTCCTGGAAGCACAGGCCTGGGGGTGGGTGCTAGCCCCCTGTGTCTCCTCTAATCAAAGAGGTCAGCGACTTTGGCCACAGAATACACACCCACTTCCCATGGGTTCACATCCAAAGAACAAACTCCTTCAGACTCCCTGGTCCATGCACTCGAGATCCCCAGGGTGTCTTGAGTTTTTATCCCAGAAGGAGAGAGAAACAAGCTTTCATCAGCTAAACAAGACCACTACTAATACTAATGTAGGTATTGACACTAATACTAGTACTACTACTAATACAAGTGCTAACACTACCAAAAGTACTGTACTAATATGAATATCAACAGGGATTTTTTTTTCTAGCTGCTCAAGGAAATGTGTGGAGTCATCCCCTATTTTCTTTTTATTGGAGCCACTGTGTCAGTGGCGACAGTGGTTAGGAGCCTCCTTTGGGTAAAAACGAGGTAACTTCAGCCCCTGCTTGCTCCACTGTCTGCCTCTCCAGGGCCTCTGTGTCCTGCTGCAGAGTCTAGCCTGTTCTTCACAGGCACACATTCCTTATGGCACAGAGACACACCAATAAAAAAAGTCCTGAGAGAAAGGAAGGAATGGCACCTGCAAGAGACCTCACACTGATGGACCTCAGAGATATTCGTGGTCTGAGGAACACAGAGGAGAATGTGTGGGGAGCAGATCCCCACTGAGAAAGAAGCAGGACAGCTGGGCGCAGTGGCTCACACCTGTAATCCCAGGACTTTGGGAGGCTGAGGCATGTGGATCATGAGGTTAGGAATTTGAGACCAGCCTGGCCAATATGGTGAAACCTCATCTCTAGTAAAAATAGAAAAATTAGCTGGGTGTGGTGTTGTGCCTGTAGTCCCAGCTACTTGGGAGGCTGAGGCAGGAGAATTGCTTGAACTGAGGAAGCAGAGGTTTCAGTGAACAATAGGAAAACAGTATTACAAGGAAAACTACTAGTCCTAAGATTTCTAACTATGTTTATTTGCTTGATGAGTCCTCAAGCTTCGGCCGTGCGTAGACTAGTCAGCTTCCAGTGTGTGACTAGAGCAGGGCTTGTTGTCTCCTCAACCTTCAGCTGTACGTAGACTGGTCAGCTTCTGGAGTGACCAGAGCAGGGCAGTCATCTTTAGCATCAGCTTGGTCTCATCTCAGGATCAGCTGTGTCTCATCTCAGGATCAGGTGGGTGATCTGGGTCCTGCTGGCTGGTCCACTTGTCCTGAGCTTCGGTTTCAGCCAGCTGTGGTGGATCCAAGGCACAACACCTGCAACTTTAACAGCAGAGGGAGTACACAAGATTACAGTATAGGGCTGGGTGTGTTGGCTCATGCCTGTAATCCCAGCACTTTCAGAGCCCGAGGCGGGTGGATCACGAGGTTGGGAGATGGAGAGCATCCTGGCTAACACGGTGAAACCTCATCTCTATTAAAAAAAAAAATACAAAAATTACCCACGCATGGTGGTGGGCACCTGTAGTCCCAGCTACCTGGGAGGCTGAGGCAAGAGAATGGTGCGACCCCCAGGAGGCAGAGCTTGCAGTGAGCTGAGATCATACCACTGCACTCCAGCCTGGGGGACAGAGCAAGACTCTGCATCAACAAAAAAAAAAAAAAAAAAAAAAAAAAAGGTTACAGTATAGGGCCCATCCCATATGGGTCCTAGAGAATTTAATTCAACTTTTTAACTCAGAGTCACTAGGTTTAAAGGGGTGTGTCTGGTCTGTCAGGCTTACAGGCATTCTTTCCTGTACCCACCCATGGACACTTTGCAAGTCTGTCCCTAATGCCTGCATTTGCTTTCTTAAGGTTAATTCTCTTAGTTCAAGGAGATAACCTTTAATTTGACTTATGATTGGGGGAGGCTGACTGAACAAAATCTCATAGGGCAAATACCCAGTTTGTTTGGTGAGGGTGCACCTGACTCAGAGGAGGACCATAGGCAAGACCTGATCCCATCTCAGATAGGTTTCCTGGAAATATTTCTTCAGAAGCTCCTTGAGTGTCTGGTTCATGCATTCCACTTTTTCTGAACTTTGCGGCTGATAGGCTGTGTGTAACTTCCATTTTATTTTTAACAGTCTTGTTAAATCTTGCACTATTTCAGCTACAAATGCCGTGCAATTAACGGACCCTAAAGTTAGAGGCAGTCCAAGCCTGGGGATGATGTCTCTTAGCAGTACTTTAGTCACTTCTCATGCTTTTTCTGTTCTGGTGGGGAAAGCTTCAACCCATCCTGAAAAGGTGTAAATAAGCACCAGCATATACTGATAGCCTCCGGCATGGGGTAGTTTGGTAAAGTCTACAAGAAAGTTTTCACAAGGCATGGTTCCTACTTCCTGAATTCTTGGGGGTTGAGTGGGCCCCTGTCACGGGTTGTTCTGAGCACAGGTTAAACATTGTTTACAAACAGCTCAAATGATGGCCACGGCACATAGAAACAGCATTTCAGTAATGTTTCCAGTGCCATTTTTTCCCATATGAGTTCCTAGATAAATTTGCTTCAGAAACGTAGGAGCTAACATTTCTGGAATGGCTAATGTCCCATTGAAGAATTTCCACCACCCTCCTTTAATATATTTTCCAGCTTCTTGAGCAAACCAGGCTCTTTCATTTGGAGTAGAACTTGGATCTTCTTGGAGAGGAGCTTCTGGGAGGAGAAGCATAGCTAAGGCTTCCTCTTTAAAATGTGATGCAATCATTGCTCCCCTCTTTGCCTCTCTGTCTGCCTTTCTGTTTCTTTTGGTTTTTGGTGTCCCTGACTTTTGGTGCCATCTGCAGTGCATTAAAGCTACTTTTCCTGGAGGCCATACAGCCTCTAAGAGCTGTAGAATCTCTTCTTTGTACTTGATTTCTTTGCCTCCAGCTGTTAAAAGCCCTTTCTCTTTGTCTATAACTTCATGTACATGCAATGTAGTAAAAGCATACTTAGAATCAGTGTAAATATTGACCTTCTTCTCTTTTGCTAGAAACAGTGCTCTTGTCAGGGCTATTAATTCTGCCTTTTGAGCTCATGTTCCAGTAGGCAGAGGCAGAGCATCTACTACTAAGTCCAATGTTATTACTGCATACCTGGCATCTTGAACCCCTTCTAGCACAAAACTACTTCCATCTGTGAAGTATTCAAAAGCCGGGTCTCTGAGGTCTGTCTGCAAGATCTTTCCGACTGGAGAACACCTCATCTACTGTTGCAACACAGTCATGGAGGGGAGCCCCCGGTTAGACTGGGAGCAGAGGAGCCAGGTTTAAGGTGTTCACTGTTTCTAAAATAATGTAAGGGTTCTCACAAGGAAGACCTGAGTCATTTTTGGGTTTGATAACCAAAGATGCCCTCTTTGGTCCATCAAAGTTATAACTGAGTGTGGCACCCGCACAGTTAGCTGCTGTCCCAGAGTTAATTTGCTAGCTTCTTGTGTTAACAAGATGGTGGCAGCTAATGCCTTAAGGCAAGGAGACCATCCTAGCACCACAGAGTCCAGTTGTTTGTATAAATACGCCACTGGGCAATGCCATGATGCTATAATTTGAGTCAGAACCCCTATAACCATTCCTTTTCATTCATGAATACATAGAAAGAGAGGCTTAATTATATCTGGTAGTCCTAAGGTTGGGCCTGACCTAAAGCTTCCTTGAGCTGTTTGAATGCTATTTCCTGATTAGTTTCCCAAAGGAGGGGCTCTTTTTCTCCGATTTTGTGGCTTCATATAATGTCTTAGCCATCACTGAAAAATTTGGAATCCAGATGTGGCAGAATCCTGCTGCCCCTAAAGGAAGGGGGCCAGCCCCTCCACACCTGTGGGTATACCTCATCAAGTGGGGTGAGAGACTGAGAAAAGAAATAAGACACAGAGACAAAGTGTAGAGAGAGAACAGCGGGCTTCTAGCCAGCAGAGAGTTGCCTGTGTTACTCTCCGACACTCCTCAGTGTTAAACAGTGGGAGAAAAAACTGCCTGCAGTCTGGCCAGGTTGGATTGTGTGTCAGAAAGATGGATTGCATCAGATCTATAAGAGCTTGGGGCTTTGCCATATAGGAGGGAGTATGGTGTTTCCAGTTCAAGAGATCAATGGTTGAAAAGGGATGATAGATGAAAGTCCATTCCCCCCACCTGACTTGGCCTTGGTCATCATAATAAATGGGTCCTCCCATCTCCCTGAGATGCATTTGCATAACTCAAGCATGGCTAGATCTGAGATGGCCGGCTTAACCATCTTGACTTCCTTCCCTGGCCTCTCAAGCCTCTGATCCTTCCTTTGGGGTGAGACTTTGGGTGTGCTAGCTCCTGAATCTGGTTCCTGGGGGACTGTTGGCCTCGGTAAAGAAGGCTAGGCTGGGACATATGGAGTAGGAATCTCTATTCCCTCTGGTGGATCCTGCAAAACTGGCTTTTTTGCTCCCTCTGGGACTTTGCCTTTAACTCTGTGTCTGCCGGTGAAGCTGTTCTTACTTTCATTTTTGGCACGGCTCTGGCCACAAGTGTTTTGCACTAACTGGCTAAACAGAGCTGGACCATGCTGGTCTTGTCTGTGCTATATTTAACCATAAGTCAATATAAGGAAATTGATCTGGGTGCCCAGGCTGTCCTCCAACCCCTGTCACCACCTTAAATACACGGTCAATTATTTCCCTATCTATAGTTCCTTTGGTTGGCCATCCAACACCAAAAGAAGGCCATTTGAATTCACAGAGAGTTCTCAACCTCTAGGAGGTTAGCGTAACTCCATAATCTCCTGCAAAACCTTTATTAAAGTTCTCTAACATGCACCCAATGGAGTGTGTTTTGATGACTTTCCTCCTATTTCCTCGCTTTACGATGCAGCACACCCACTCTTCCTTTTGCCTCAGACCCACCAGATCATCTCCTATTATGGGAGTTTTCAGATGCCACTTGGCTTAAGAAAGGGTTTTATTCCCACCATAACTCTGAGATGTGGGGCAGCTCCTATTAGCTGTATGCGGTTCGCCACTAGTGCAGGTTGGCCCCACACTTGGCTTGGAGCACACAGACCATGCTAAGAGATCTGTGACTCCCCATGCCACTCCCACATTGGTTCCTCCCTGAACTGTATCTTTCACACACTTTCACACACCTCCCCACTCCCAGTTCGTGTGTTCCTAATTGGGGTTGTGAGCCACTCTCACCACCTCCAGTTTTCTTTTCCTAACCGACTTGGGGAGCCACTCTTGCATTGTGTGCCAGGTAGGGTGTGAGATTCATCTGAATTGGCGAGCCTCTGTCACCACCTCCAGCCTCTCTGGGTCAGATTACTAGTTACACCCTTGGAGGTGATCAGGCTCCCCTTCCGTCCTTATGGGACGGATCCTGTCTTTGGTCCCAAAACTTTACTGCAGTCCTGAAGAAATCACACTGCTCCTGGAATCATCCTGTAGCCCCTCAGGTTCTGTTGTGCTGCTGGGTGGGGGCACCAGGTCACAGGAGAGCCGATCTCCCCTCTGGGCTGAAGTTCTTCCAGCAGCGCCTGGGGTCACAGGTTTCTTTCCCTTGACCCTGGGCTCCAGCCCCACAAGAAAAGGAGAAAGTAAACCTGTCATCTCCACTCCTCCTGTCTGGCTCACCAAAAAGTTCTGAGAAACTGAGGACCAGAGAGACTGATATGGGAAAACAGGAGGATTTTTTTTTTTAAGGTACACACTGGCTCAGTGGATTCATATCCAAAAAGCTGAGCATTGAACAAAGACTGAGCAGGATTTTTATAAGCAGGCTTACAGAAGCAAAACAATGGCAGTTAATCATACAATGACAGGTAATGTAATCTATTACATAACTGTGGCCTTGCATAGCTGGTGGCCTTGTAGCTGCATCAAAAGAAAAAAGAAGAACTGGCTAAATACAGACATTTGCCATTTTTCTTTCTTTTTTTTAATCACCCTTGCTCTGGAGCAGTGGGTGTCTGGAGCCTATTCCTTTCTTTCAACTTCTCCAACAGCATTATCTTATAACTGTCCTTGAAATGAGCTTGCTAGGCAGAGGAAAACTTGTTTTTTGTTTGTTTGTTTGTTTGTTTTACCTTTGCCTGACACATTCTGGGCCTTGGCTTTTACTTCTCAGACTAGGTCACTATGACCTTCTTATAGCTTTGTCTGTAACTTTTCTTGGAGTAAATGAATGTAGTATTTATTGTTATTATTGTGTTTAAATTTCTGCCTCAAGACCAGACTACGTAGTAAAGCAAGACCCCATCACTATTAAAAAAATTAATAGAAAATAGCATATATGATGGGGCATGGTGGTTCATGCCTGTAATCCCAGCACTTTGGGAGGCCAAGGCAGGTGGATCATCTGAGGTTAGGAGTTCGTGACCAGTGAGGCCAATATGGTGAAACCCCAACCCTACTAAAAATACAAAAATTAGCTGGGTGTGTTGGCTCGCACCTGTAATCTCAGCTACGCAGGAGGCTGAGGCAGAAGAATCACTTGAATTTGGGAGGTGGAGGTTGCAGTGAGCTGAGATCATGCCATTGCACCCCAGCCTGAGTGACAGAGTGAGACTTCATTTCAAAATTAAAAAAAAAAAAGAAAAGAAAATAGCATATGGAATATCTCTGTGGTTTTCTTAAAAACAAAGCAAAATCTGTCATTTAAAATCACAATAACATTGCTGGGCACCATGGTTCACTTGAGTCCAGGAATTCTGAGACTAGCCCAGGAAATGTGGTAAAATCTTTTCTCTGCATGAAATACAAAATATTAGCCAGGTATGCTGCCACATGCTGGAAGTTCCAGCTACTCAGAAGGCTGAGAGGGGATGATTGCTTGAGCCTGGGAGGCAGAGGTTGCAGTAGGTCAAGATTGCAACACTGCACACCACCCTGGGTGACACCCAATCTAAAAAAAAAAAAAGTCTTTCAATCCTTTTGTCCAGATGCCCACAAAATACCTGCCATGTTTTATGTTGTCTTGGTTCCCTCCTAGGGTCCCATTAGAACACTTAGTCCCATCCAGCCCAGCCCTCACCTTACTTTGTAATGTAGGCCTGATTTCTTTCAGTGAAACCTTGACCTTAACCTTGAGAAAAATTACACCCTCAGTAGTTCCTGTCTTCCACCTGAATGGGCATATGATCTACCATGTTAGGTAGCATAAAACCCAGGTGCCCAGTGGATACACAGAGATTTTTATTGTGTTTTTTAGGGATGACATCCCTGTCTTCTTAAAGCTGCTTTAATGCTGAAATGTTTTGATACTTTTGATGTGGCCAAAGATTCTCCAATAAAGATATATATATATTCTAATGTCAGAAACAGATTAAATCCTTCCCTGTATCACTATGAAGGTCACATATTAGTCAAACTTTACCAGTGTTTGTGGAATAAGTGAATAAATGAGTTTTAGACCTTCATCCTGTTATTACTTCTTTCACTTTCATAAATGCCTATCTAATTTAATCACTTCATGAGAAGAAAATTGAAAACTCAATCAGGGTTAACTGGGTGGAAGTTCACGATCCAGTTGGATGTCGTTTTCGAATTGGAAGTTGGTAGTCAAGAAGGGGGTTGTAGTGAGAAAGGTCAATAAAAGCTCCTGAAGGTGCACAGAAGAGACCCAAAGCCCTGGCTCCTGGAGCTACTGCTTGATTCTCACAGAGGTCCCGGCACCCTGCAAAGTGAGTCCAGAACTGGCAAGTCACCACTTTTTAGGGACATGCCCATTTGATCTGATCTTCTGTATAGCAAGTCATACAAAAGTCTGGAAGACACTAGCACATACACTGTGAAGAGAAGTCTGGGATAAGGGGAAGATTATAGGAGATGTTTGCTCTGTGGTTTTGGAATGTTTTGCATTCAGAATACTGTCCAGAGAAGGGAAAAATGATGAAAAACAAATGAAGCTCGCCCTCATGTACCTCTATGTACCTCCTACCATGCTGGACTTTCTTGTTTTGTTTCATTTTGTTTTTCTTTCTTTCTTTCTCTCTCTCTCTCTCTCTCTCTTTCTTTCTTTCTTTTTCTTTTTTTGATACGGTATCTCACTCTGTTGCCTAGGCTGGGGTGCAATGGCATGATCTTCGATCACTGCAACCTCCACCTCCTGCGTTCAAGCAATTCTCCTCCCTCAGTCTCCCCAGTAGTGGGGACTACACCTATGCACCACCACGCCCAGTCAATTTTTGTATTTTTAATAGAGACAGGATTTCAATCATGTTGGCCATGCTTGTCTCAAACTTCCGACCTAAAGTGACCCACCCACTTCGGCCTCCCAGATGCTGGGATTACAGATGTGAGCCACTGCACCTGGCCAATTGCTGTACTTTCATGATACACATGGAGTATCCACAGTATCACAAGGGCTATTTTTTCCATAATCCAACTTATTTGTATTATTGGTAGTGAGCTACTGTTGACGTCCCCACGTTAGCAATTTAGTGGCTATACTGATGATAAGCATTTCCATGCATCATGTGGTCAACAGCATTTGCTACCAAGTGCCACGTTCCATGCTCAGCAGTGGGACCACAGGATGAGCGAGACAAAGTTCCTGACCTTTAGCAGCAATATCGAACAAGTGAGATTGTCAAGAAAGAAAAAATCCTTGTAAAACATACCATACCCCTACGATTCAGTCATCATGCTCCCAGGTATTTAACGAAGGGAGTAAACCCACACCTGGATGTTTATAGCAGCTTTATTCATAATCGCCAAAACTTGGAAGCAAGAAAGATGCCCTTCAGTGGGTGACTGGATAAAGAAACTGTGATCCATCTGGTCAGTGAACTATTACGAAGCCATAAAAAGACATGAAAGATTCCTAAATGCACGTTATTGTACAAGTGAAAGAAGGCAATGTGAAAAGACTCATCCTGTTAGACATTCCAGAAGAGCCTTCTGCCTTTTTCTATGGAGATGGTAGAAAACCCAGTGGTTGCAAGGGATTTGGAGTACAATGGGATGAATGGAAAGAGGACAGAGGACTTTTAAGGAAACAAAACTACTCTCCATGATGCTCTAATGGTGGATACATGTCATTATCCCTTTGTTAAAATCCATAGAATATACAAAACCAGCAATGATCCTTCATGTGAACTATGGACATTGGGTGATAATGATGTGTCCCTGTGGCTCATTGGTTGTGACGAATGCTCTGTGCTGGTGTGGGTGCTGATCCTGTGGGGGTGCTGTGTATTGAAGGGGGAAGAAGGTAGATGAGAACTCTGCAGTTTCTGCTTAGTTTTTCTGTGAATCTAAAACTGCTATAAAGAAAAAAATAGGCTGGGCGTGGTGGCTCACATCTATAGTCGTAGCATTTTGGGAAGCCGAGGCGGGTGGATCACCTGAGGTCAGGGGTTCGAGACCAGCCTGGCTAAAATGACAAAACCCTGTCTCTACTAAAAAATAATAATAATAATAATACAAAAATTAATCAGGTGTGGTGGTGCATGCCTGTAATCCCAGCTACTCTGGAGGCTGAGACAGGAGAATTGTTTGAACCCTGGAGGCAGAGGTTGCAGTGAGCTGAGATCGTACCACTGCACTCCAGCCTGGGTGAAAGAGTGAGACTCCATCTCCAAAATAAATAAATAAATAAACTCAAGGCTGGGTGCGGTGGCTCATACCTATAAGAGCTCACTCCCAGCAATTTAGGAGGCCGAGGCAGGTGGATCGCTTGAGCCCAGAATTTCAAGACCAGTCTGGGCAACGTGGTGAAGCCTGGTCTTCACTAAGAATACAAAAATAAGCCAGGCATGATGGTGCATGCCTGTTGTTCCAGCTACTAGGGGGACTGAGGCAGG